>NC_000011.10:6120606-6423636 GCF_000001405.40 Homo sapiens | reverse complement strand
AATCCCAGCACTTTGTGAGACCAAAGTGGGAAGATTGCTTGAGTGCAGGAGTTCCTGACCTGCTGGGGCAACATAGTGAGACCCCCATCTCTTCATAATAAACAAACAAAAGAATAGTTCTGTTGAAGAAGGGTATTGGATTGAGAAAGTTTTTGCTAGGTCTTGAATTTGACTTAGGAATTCCACTTCATGTAGCATGTGGGAAGACTTTATTCCTTATAGATTTTCCAAATGAAAACCGCCATCAAGAAGAAAAGAGGTGTGTCAGATCAATCATAAGAAAATTTACAATACCAAAGCAGTACTTATATATAGTGGAGGATAAAGCTGCCTTCATTCCAGAAGTGTCTTTACTTTTAATAGAGATGAAAGCTCTATACTTTCATATAGGTGACTTGGGTGCCAACTGCCTAGTAATTCTAATTAGCTAGACTACCAAACCAAATAGCATAAAGCCACTACTCTTGGTAAATGACTCTAGATGGATTTGCTTATAATTCAATTTTTTCCTGATAGGTCCAAGGTAATAATTTTCAAAGTCTGCTGCCTCAGAGGAACCCACATTGGTCAGAACCAAATGCAGCATTTGAGGTGGCTCATAGGCTATTCATTGGTTGCTCCCACACCATAGAAAGCATCAGAAGAGGGAAGAGATTACAGTAGGGAAAGGATGGGTGAAAGGCACAGGTTGATTCCCCATTGGTCAGGAGACTTTGCAGACCTCAGAGGAGATCAGGAATTCAGGAAGATCGCCTGCGGGTCAAATACATAAGGAAAAAGATGCCCATGTGAACTGCACATGGGCATCCCTAGCTAATTAGAGTCCTCCCTTCAACCTCATCATGCAATCTATGTCCTTCTTACCTGAAGAGATTTCCCTGAATACTGCAGCCTTCCTGCTCAATGAGATTGGGAAGACAAATATTTTGGTGGGCTATCTGTAAATGGGTGATACTTCTGGATTTTTTTTTTCATTTTCTCAAAAATAAATCTAGATGTCATTTTTTAAATCTACAATTCCATAGCTAATCAACCAACTGATCACTGATTTCTGGGAATTCTACCTCTTGAATATTTATTAAACCTATGCAATTTTCTCCATCCCTAGTCCCACCACCAGAGTCCAAGCCATCATCATCTTTAACCTGGTCTCTTGCTTCCTAACTGGTCTATATTCTTCCAATTTTGCTTTCCACCTATCTATTCTTCCTCAGGAGCTGAAAGCGATCTTCTAAAATGCGAGTGTGAACATGCCCCTCTCCTGCTTCAAACCCTTCCATGATTTTCCATTGCCCTTAAAATAAAGGTCAAACCCTTAGCTCAGCATATAAGGCCCTCCTTGATCTGGCACTTTCCCACCTTCCTATTTCATCTTATGCCATTCTCCACTATCACAACTGTTAGGCTGTTCTTGTGTTGCTGTAAGTAAATACTTGAGACTGGGTAATTTATAAAGAAAAGAGGTTTAGGGCCAGGTGTGGTGGCTTATGCCTGTTATCCCAGCACTTTGGGAGGCCAAGGCGGGCGGATCACGAGGTCAGGAGATTGAGACCATCCTGGCTAACACGGTGAAACCCCATCTCTACTAAAAACACAAAAAATTAGCTGGGCATGGCAGTGGGTGCCTGTAGTCCCAGCTACTTGGGAGGCTGAGGCAGGAGAATGGTGTGAACCCGGGAGGCGGAGATTGCAGTGAGCCGAGATTGCGCCACTGCACTCCAGCCTGGGGGACAGAGCGAGACTCTGTCTCAAAAAAAAAAAAAAAAAAAGAAAAGAAAAGAGGTTTAATCGGCTCACAGTTCTGCAGGCTATACAGGAAACATAGCACCAGCATCTGCTTGGCTTCCAGGGGGTCCTCAGGAAGCTTTTACTCATGGCAGAAAGCAAAGTGGGAGCAGGCATCCCACATGGCTGATCAGAAGCAAGAGAGTGTGGGGGGAGAGGTGCCATACACTATTTATTTATTTATTTATTTATTTGAGATGGAGTTTCACTCTGCTGCCCAGGCTGGAGTGCAGTGGCGTGATCTCGGTTCACTGCAGCCTCCGCCTCCTGGGTTCAAGTAATTCTCCTGCCTCAGCCTTCCAAGTAGCTGGGACTACAGGTGCCCGCCACCATGCCCAGCTAATTTTTTTGTGTTTTTAATAGAGATGGGATTTCACCATGTGGACCAGGCTGTTCTCGAACTCCTGGTCTCAAGTTGATCTGCCCACCTTGGCCTCCCAAAGTGCTGGGATTACAGGCCTGAGCCACCACGCCTGGCCATGCCACACACTTTTAAATAACCGGATCTCACAAGAACTCACTCATCATGGGGAAGACAGCACCAAGCCATGAGAGATCCACCCCTACGACCTGAACACCTCCCACCAGACCCCACCTCCAGCATTGGGGATTACAATTCAACATGAGATTTGATCAGGGACAAATATCCAAACTATATCAACACCCATACTGACCTTCCTGTATTTCTCCTGCTACTTGGAATACTTTTCTCTTCTCCTGGCTGACCTCTAGCTCCTTCATCCCTTTCCCTCACTGAATTGTCACTTCCTATGAAAGCCTCCTAAACTTCCCAGGCCAAATTAAGCCCACTCACATAGCTCCCGGTACATCTCCTTCAAGACACTCATCACATTCCTAATTACATATTTAATGTCTCTTTCCCCTGTTAAATTTCAAGCTGTATGAGAGACGGAACTGTATCTTGTTTCTTGACCTGTTGCTAGCACCAAGGACAGTACCTCATACATAGTAATTATTTGATGAAAGAAAATGAATGAATGAATGAATGAGGACACTTTTGTTCTTCTGGGTAATTCTTCTTCATCTTTCAAGAACCCAGGTCAGATGTCATTTCCTCCAGGTGAGATGCAGTCAAATCTGATTCGTCTTTAGATCCCTAGGGCCTGGCTTGGGACCTGATACATGGTTCATATATCATAGGCATTTGTCAAATCATTATAAACTATTGGTTGTGAATTCATAATTGTTGAAACTGAATGATAGGTATATGAGGGTTCATTATATTGTTCTGTCTGCTTTAGTATATATTGGAAATTTGCCATAATAAAAAGTTAAAACATTTATATTTACCACAAGTAAAATAAAAGTATATTCAAAGATGACTTTGAAGCTTCTGGCTTGGGAAGCCAGTAGTTGGTGTCATTCATTGGAATGGATGGAATGGAGTTGTGTCCAGTGTGGGATGTGTGTTGTGTTGTGTGTGTTGAAGAGGGTTCTTTTTCACCCCAGTGAAACTCCTTAAAAGACTAATAAAGGGGGATGAAACAATAAATTGAGGCTGGACACTGTGTCTGACGCCTGTAATCTCAGCACTTTGGGAGGCCGAGGTGGGAGGATCGCTTGAACACAGGAGTTCCAGACCAGCCTGGGGAACACAGTGAGACCCCCTCTCTACTAAAATACAAAAAGCCAGGCGCGGTGGCACATGTCTGTGGCCCAGGTACTCCGGGGGCTGAGGCGGGAGGAATCTGAGCCCTGGAGGCTGAGGCTTCAGAGAGCCATGATCTTGCCCCTGGGTGACAGAGTGAGACCCTGCCTTGAAAGAAAGAACGAACTCAGATTTGGATATCTTTAGTTTTAGGCACCTGAGAGGGATTAGCATGTAGAGGCTTTCTGGATGGTAATATAACCTCTCATTATCCTTGATGGCCTCTGGGTCACTGATCTGACCATTGGGATGTATCCCACTATCCAGGGAGGGTCTGTAGTAAGTATTGCACCCCACCATCTTCCTTACATCTTTACACTTTTCATTCACAATATCCCCTTCCTTGTGAATTTCTACCGGGGAGCAATGTATTCTTGACATTTTCCAGGCCTTGATGTCAGCTTTATGCTCAGCAGCAGAGGTATTTCAGTGTCAAGAAACATCGGAGTTCCAGTCTAAATTCATCACTAACTGTGACTGCGGGCAAGTCGCTTTACCTCTCTTAATCTTAGCCTCAGCCTCTGAAAAATGAGGATAATAATTCTGGTGATTTTACAGAGCTGATGTGAAGATTAATGCGCGTTAACGGTTTAATAGAGAGCCCGGCACGGTGTAAGTGGTCAATAAATACGAGCTATTATTATGAGCAACGCTGTGTCCTCAGAGCCTCCCCACCAGGACGTCAGGGAGCGGTGCAGCAGGAGCGGCGCAGAGTGCCTCCCGGGAATCCTTCCCCGCGCGGCCGCGGCGCCGCACAGCCGCCGCCATTCGGGCTCCAGCCCCGTCCGCGCGTCTCCCGGCGTGGGTGCGGGACCAGGGCGCTGCGGGGCGCGCAGGGTGAGTCTGTGGAATAGTAGTGGAGGACGGCGCCGCGCTAGGCGGGGGTCCCAGGGAGTCGGCTGCAGGGGTGTCTGCTGGGAGGGCTGGACCGCGGGGCTCACCGAGGTCCGAGGGCCGCCCGCAGGGTGAGGCCCCCAAGAAGCTGCGGCAAGTGCCGCGCCCGCCGAGCTCGCTCCCGCGCCCGCCCCAAGATGGCGCCCCTCCCCCTCCCCTTGCGCGCGCCTCCGCCGCTCGGGGCGCGGCCCCGCGGCCCGCGCGCTCCTGGGCGGGGGATGTTGTGATGGAGAAGCCGCGGCGGAGCCCGAACCCCGCAGCCTGAGCCACCTCCGTCATCTGGGCCCGGGGCCTCACCGCGCAGGTAGGAGGTGTCCCTGCCCCGGCCCAGCCCCGGTGGCTGCGTCCCGATCACCAGCGGCCGGCGGACCCTGTAGCCCCTACCCTGCGGCAGCCCGGGTCCCCCGGCCGGCCCCATCCCCCATCCCCGGGTCGCCCTTCCACCGCGCGCCCGCAGACCGTCCTCTCATACCCACCATCGCAGGGTCCACTCGGGCCCTCACACCGTCCCTTCCGCTGCCCTTTACCTCCTGCCCCTCGGGGTGACTAGGGGCGGGTATGGAGGACGCGAAGCGAGGGGCAGTGGGTGTTGGGGGAGGGGAGGCCCAGGTCCGGGAAGGGGACGTGGGGTGGGGTGGGCTGGCAGGCCGCGCCGATTCCAGCAGGGGTCCCAGGCCCTGGATCTGTCAAGCCGCATTCTGTTGCCCTCAGCGACCGAGGGGTGTGCCCTGGGGCGGCTGTGTCCCCAGCTCAGCCAGGAGGCCTAGCACTGCCAAGAACACTGATTAGAAGCAGTTTTCCCACTGCCAATTCCTAACCTGTTTTGTATCGGCCTGTGTATCTCTTGCATTCTGAGCCCCTCTAGCTATAGTCCCAGCTCTCTCCGCCCTTCAGAGTCAACGCTTGCTGTCTTCATTTCCTTACTTCCCATTCATTCTTAAAAGCACTCCACTCTGTGTCCCTGACACCCACTGAAACTGTCTAGGCCAAGGTCACCGGAGACCTCCTTGTGGAGAACTCCAGTGGACACTGTTATCTCCTTTACCTTTGAGTAGTATTCGGTGGGGTATGTCAACTCACTCTCCTTGAAGCATTTTCCTGCTTTCTGCCCTACAGCATTGTCTGCTCTTCTCAATCTCATTTGCTTCCTCTCCTCCTCTCTTTAGATGCTGGTGAGGCTCTTGGCTCTGTCCCGAGCTGTCTTCTCTCAGTATCTGTTCTTTCTCCCCAGATATTTTATCTACTCCCAAAGCTTCAAATTTCATATATATGCTAATGATTCCCAAATTTATATATCCAGCCCAGACTTCTTTCCTGAAATCCAGACTCATATGTCCAGCTGCTCTCTTGACATCTCCTTGAAAGACAAACAGGAGTTCCAAACCTATAGATTCCAAGCTAAATTATCTTCTGTGGTTTTCTCTGTACCCCACTTCCAAATCTGTTCTTCCTTCGAATCTCAAAAATGGCTCTTTGCCAATCTGGAGTCATGAGCAAGACTTGAGATTAACCCCTCTCTCACTCTCTGCATCTCATTTCACCAAGTTCTGTCACATCCACTGCCTAAATATTTCTCAAATCCATTCATTTCGCTCTTTCCTCACTGCCACCAAAGTTAATCTGGGCCACCACCATTTTTTTTCCTTGACTACTTTAATAGCATACCCTCTTGCCTACCTCCCTTTAACTGTTCTCAACACAGTACCCAGAGTAATCCTTTGAAAAATGCTTCCAATCACTTATTCATGCAATAAATATGATTTCAGCACCTAATATATGCCAGGCACTGTGTTATGTCCTGAAGATATAATTGTGAGCAAAAGAGACTGAGTCCTTGGAGCTGACAATCTAGGAGAAAAATCAAATAAGAATAACATTACAAATGTAATATGTACCATGAAGAAAAGCTGTATGGTGCCTTGAGAACGCACAAGAGCAGTAGCTAAACTGGTCTCGGGGATAGGGAGAGAGGGTTGGAGGACAGCTTCTCTGAGAACATGACGTTTGAACTAAAATATAGTGGATGAGTAGAAGTTAATTCAGCTTAGAGAGTAGGAGAAGAGGTCCCAGGAAGCATGGAAATCACATGCAAACACCTTGTAGAAGGAAAACACATGTCTTCGAGGAATCAGAAGAAGGCTACTGAGGCTGCAGAGCAGTGTGACCAAAGCCAGGGGCAGGGAGGAGGAAGGCAGGCGCCAGACTGAGCAGGAAATTTAGGCCATGTTAAGAATTTGGTCTTAAGGGCCAGGCGTGATGGCTCACGCCTGTAATCCCAGCACTTTAGGAGGCCAAGGCGGGCGGATCACCTGAGGTCAGGAGTTCAGGACCGGCCTGGCCAACATGGCGAAACCCCATCTCTACTAAAAGTACACAAAAATTAGCCGGGCATGGTGGTGTGTGCCTGTAATCCCAGCTACTCAGGAGGCTGAGGCAGAAGAATCGCTTGAACCCGGGAGGCAGAGGTTGCAGTAAGCCGAGATCTTGCCACTGCACTGTAGCCTGGGTGACACAGCAGGACTCCATCGCAAAAAAAAAAAAAAGGGAATTTTGTCTTAAGGTCTTTGTCCTTGATGGTAGTGGATGTGGAGAGTAGATGAAGTCCAGAAATTTTTCTCAGAGAGGAAATCATCAGTACCTAGAGATGGATTGAACATAGCAAGTGCAGGAGAAGGACATGTCAAGATGTACCCCTACTTCAGATTCACAGAATAGGATGGATTCTATCATTCCATGAGCCGGGATCCTGAAAGAGGACCAGTTAGTGTGTGGGAGTGGGAAACATGAGTGGGTCTATTAGCTTGAGACATCCAAGTGGAGATGTTGAGTAGAAAGTTGAATGTACTTGTCTGGAGCTCAGGTGAGGGGTCTGAAATGGAGATTTGAATTGGGAAATCATCAGTGTATAACTGAAGCTGTGGGCATTAATGAATACTTATACTGATTATAGGATGAGAAAGAGGAAGGGGCATGAGAATAAGCCATAAGAAACTCCAGCAGGTAATGGCTAATAGAGGAAGATGAGCCAGCAGAGGAGTCTAGGAACCCAGCAAACAGTAACAAGAAGTGTAAAAGATGAGATGAGATGAGGAGTGTGGAGATGAGAGTGTGGAGGCCCCGGATAGAGGCTGGATGAGAGATTCACGGGGTCAGATGCTGCTGGGAGGACAACCAAGACGAGCACTGTGTCTGTTGGATTGAATGACACAGGGGTCATGTTGACCTTGGTAGGAGCTGTTACTGAGTCGTGTTGGGAGTGGAAGCAGGTTTGGAAAGGGTTGAGGAGTGAGTGGGAGGTGAGGAAGTGGCAACAGTGAGTGGAGACAACTCTCTCAGGAAGTTTGCCTGTATGGGGGAGGAAAGAGAGCAGTGAGTGGATCTGGAGGAGCGTCAGGTCAAGTTGGGAGACCGTGGATCCTATTGAGAAGGAGAGGTTGATCATATAGAGGAGAAAATAGATAAACAGTGGTATAAAATTCCTGGAAAGGCATCATAGGAAGAATCCAAATCATAGGTGAAGCAGTTGGTTTTGGGAAGGAGAGAAAGGGATAGGTGCTGAAGTTTGGTTAGGTTTTTATGTTTGAGGATGTTACCCAGTTGGATGGCTTCCCTTTCCTCTGTGAATCAGGAGGGGAGATCAGCCTCTGAGACGGGTGGCCAATGGAGAGTTATGTCCTAGTCTCAGGCAGGCCTTTGCTGATGTCTTGGCTGTAGTAAGCCCCAGGTTCCTGTAATGCCCTCCTCTTCCTCCTTCATGATATTCAGTCAACAAATAGGGAATGCTATGGGTGCCAGGCACTGTTCTAGATGTTGGTGTTACACTGCATTGTAACAAGTTGTTCAATGACTGTTTCCCGCTGAACTGAGAACTCCTCCAGAGGAAGAACCATTTCTTTTGTCTTCATCACTCTCCCCTGTGTCTAGCACAGTGCCTGGCATATGGGAAGCTGTCAGATTAGACAACTCCTGACTTTGAGCAAGACTCAACCCCAACCCCTGTGGTCTGATGCCAGGATCTTCAGGCTTAGTGACTACTTCTTTCACTTCCTGCCCCGAGGCCCCTGCCCAACTCCCTGCCTTGAGCCAGAACCCAGTTGGCTCTTTGCATCCTTTGGTAACTCCAATGAGAGGGGAGAGATTAGGTTGTGTTCCTTCTTTAAAAAATTGGACTGAGATCATCTTTTTGACCTCGAGCAGTGGGGTGTTGGTGACCACACCACCTCAGGCTAGATGCTCAGGCTTCAGCACTTAAACAGTTTCACCATTCTTCCTCTAATACTTCCTGCCCTGGTGACCAGATTGGCGGGGCTGCCCTGAGGTCAACTTGGCTCTTCACTGTTTCAGCCTCACAGTGCATGCACTCTTCTCAGATCATATCTCCTAGTGCCTAGGAGGTTGGTCTCTGCCTGACCTTTGAGAAACCTGGCTCTGTACACTACTGCTTCAGAGAAGGGTTTGCCATCCTTAAGGTCCTCTGAGCATGGCAGAGTCGTGGAGTCTTCTGCTTCCTGACACCCATGGAGATGCCACTCTTGAACAGTGTCTGTGCCAAGATGTTGGTTTAAGCTACCTCCCTCGCTCCCTTTTCCTAGATCTCAGCCCTCACCTCTCCAGGATTCCTGTCCCATCTTACTTCCCACTCAGGGACCCTTTGGCATTCTCTGACACCCTCCCAAACACTCCCTTTGCTCCTCCCCAGCCCATTGGGCCACACAGCCTTTCTTGGTATTTATTCCCAGCCAGTTCTGAGCTTCCTGGATCCTCCCACCCCCTGTGTCTGTCCCGTTCATCCGTCCTTTCCTTCTGCAACAGCCCAGTCTGTGTCGGCACACGGCACACTCTCTTTGGTAATGGGAATGTGAAATTGAATAAGACACCGTCTCAGATATTCTGATAGAATGTGGTTCTGGGTGTTGTGAGACACGAAGGAGAGAACAGTCACTTGATGGTGGGGAGAGAACAGGAAAGACTGCTTAGGAGCTGTAACTGCTGAGGTTAGTTTTGAAATACAAGCAGAGGTTCTCACAAGGGGAGACAGAATTCCAGGCCGAGGGAGCAGTATAAACAAAGACCCAGGGCTTTAAGAGTGTGCGACATGTTTCAGAATCCGCCACGCTTCATGTGGCTAGAGTATAAGGTATAAAGGAGGCGGGAGGTGGGGAGGGGACTGACAGGTTATAGAGGCCGGCTTAAGAGGGCTCTTGGGTGTCTGCGAACGAGTGCAGGCGTTATCCGAAAGGCAGTGGTGAGCCCTCTCATTTTCTGAACCAGGGAGTGACACAATCTGGTTTCCATTTTTGGAAGATTACTGTGGTTCTGGGAGGAGGTAGAGCTATTTTTTTCTTCATTTATTCCAGTGGCTGTGAGTTTTCTCATTGGCCAGGAGGAGTCACACTGAGCAGATCAACAGCCCCACGTGAGGCAGACACGTGCGCAGAAACCTTTTTCATCTTACAGATGTGTGGGTAGCATAGCACTAGTGTCTGAGGAACTAGAGACGTAGAAAGGTGAGCTATGGGGCCGGGCGCGGTGGCTCACGCCTGTAATCCCAGCACTTTGGGAGGCTGAGGCGGGTGGATCACCTGAGGTCAGGAGTTTGAGACCAGCCTGGCCAACATGGTGAAACCCTATCTCTACTTAAAAGAAAAAAAAAAAAAGAATTACAAAAATTAGCTGGGCGTGGTGGTGGGCACCTATAATCCCAGCTACTCAGGAGGCTGCAGGAGGTTGCAGTGAGCTGAGATCGTGCCATTGCACTCCAGCCTGGGCGCACCGCACCTGGAGAGATGGGCAAGCCCTGCTCAGGTAGCTGCAAGACCTGTGCTCAGCGCTGAGAACACAGAGGGAAGGGGGGTAGTGGTGAGTCAGGGAAAGAAAGAACTCCTTAGTAGAGGAACAGGGAGATAGGGAACTCTCAGATAAGACATCAAGGAGAAAGGTCTGTACAGTGGGAATGAGAAAGAGCACAGTGCAGTGTTTGTTGGGATGGTCAGTGAGGGAGAATTGTCTGTTGGGGGAAGGGTCGGGTAGGGCAAGAGAATCAGTGAGGCCATCGAGGGAGGAGAGAGTAATGTGGTAGGGGCTGTCTGAAGGAGGGCTTGCATGGAGGGCTCAGGATGAGAGAGAAGTGGGCAGTGGTTGGTCAGGGAGAAATAACTGAAATCGGGGGCTGGTGAGGGTCCAGGGAGAGAGCACTTTCTCTTGGGGGTCCGGGAAGGAGAGCAGCAGAGCAACTGGAAGGTCAGGGAGAGTGGGGAGGATGGAATGGGGCCGAGGGTGGGTCCCTGGGTGGCGGGCTGGAAGGATAGTTGGGACTCAAATGGTTGCGGAGAAACTGACCCACGAAGGGCTGTGAGGAGGCAGAGGGAGGGGTCTGGAGGGGGAGCTGTCCTTGCGGAACAGGACGTCCTCTTACCTGAGAGGCAGGTGGAGTTTGTTTGGGGCACCATAAGGCATAGTAACGTAACCAAAGTGTTTTCTGACACTGGCAGAGGAGATGCCAAAGCGAAGCCTGGAGGAAATGGGGACTGATTCATACATTCATTCAGCAAATATTAATGGAGTTCCTGCTCTGTGCCAGGACTACGCTAGGCACTAGGCATACTGTATTTAACCAAAAAGGCAAAATCCTCACCAACATGGAAATTATAAATTATAGTCATGAGGAGACAATCATTAGACAAAGTAAATAATAAATTGGCTTGTCAGATGGTGACAGGCGCTGGGGAAGAGTTTAGGGATTGCTGAGGAGGGGCGGAGGTAGCCTGTGGTTTTAAAATGGGTGTTCAGGGAAGGCTTCACTGAGGCTGTGACATTTGGTCAAAGATCTGAAAGGCTGGGCCGGACGCAGTGGCTCATGCCTGTAATCCCAGCACTTTGGGAGGCCGAAGTGGGCGGATCACGAGGTCAGGAGTTTGAGATCAGCCTGACCAACATGGTGAAGCCCCGTCTCTACTAAAAATACAAAAATTACCTGGGCGTGGTGGTGGGCACCTGTAATCACAGCTACTCAGGAGGCTGAGGCAGGAGAATCACTTGAACCCGAGAGGCAGAGGTTGCAGTGAGCCAAGATTGTGCCATTGCACTCCAGCCTGGGCAACAAGAGCAAGATTCTGTCTCAAAAACAAACAAACAGACAAACAACCCCCAAAAAACAAAGATCTGAAAGGCTGAGGGGCCCAGGGGAAAGGCTCCCATAGTGATCCAGGACAGGGCATTATGAGGGCTGGCAGAGGGACCAGTGCCCAAGGGGAGCTACTTCATGGAAATTGTCACCAAGATGTAGCTTCATCTGGCCAGAGAAGCCATGAATTGCAGCCGAGCGCCCTCCCTCTGTGACCTGCCTTCCAGTGCCATGCCCTGTAGGGCTGGTTCTGCAGCTTATTTGCTCCTGTCCTCACAGTCCCTAGTATGGGGTGGGCTTGGGGGCTGGTTGAGCTGAGTGATTTATGGGAATAGGAACACAGCCGGAGGAGCTTACAGTGATGGGGCTTGGGATGGAAGTGCGGCCGGAGAGGGGCAGTCAGTGATCAGTGTCCAAAACACACGAGCCGGTCCCACTCTAGTGGTGTTCCTGGCACAGTAAGCCCCGGGTGGATGAGCTGGGGGGTGGGGAGGCACAGAGAGCCATTGTGTGGAGGCCTTGCTGGTGGGACCGAGGGCAGGCGCCAGCTGTGCCATCCCAGAAAGCTCAGGGCAGGGGATATAGGGATGGGGTGGGCCTCAGACCTGGGCCTGGACTGTGATGGGGATGATAGTGCTGGGACAGAAGTTGAACCCAGTCATTCTCATAGGATAGAGAGCCATGGGTGCTAGCCTGCTTAGTGCAGGGAGATGAGGAGGCACAGGGCATAGCCCTGGGGCAGAAGCAGTGATGCTGCTGTTCTGGACCAGAGGCTCAACAGCATCTCCCCTCCGCACCCCACAGGAGCTGCCAAGGCCATGTCTGTTCCATCATCACTGAGCCAGTCGGCCATTAATGCCAACAGCCACGGAGGCCCCGCACTGAGCCTACCCCTGCCTCTGCACGCTGCCCACAACCAGCTGCTCAACGCCAAGCTGCAGGCCACAGCTGTGGGACCCAAGGACCTGCGCAGCGCCATGGGGGAGGGTGGTGGGCCTGAGCCAGGCCCTGCCAATGCCAAGTGGCTAAAAGAGGGCCAGAACCAGCTCCGGCGGGCCGCCACGGCCCACCGTGACCAGAATCGCAATGTGACCTTGACCTTGGCGGAGGAGGCCAGCCAGGAGCCTGAGATGGCACCCTTGGGCCCCAAAGGCCTGATACACCTGTACTCTGAGCTGGAGCTCTCAGCTCACAACGCAGCCAACCGAGGCCTACGAGGACCTGGCCTGATCATCAGCACTCAAGAGCAGGGGCCAGATGAGGGAGAGGAGAAGGCGGCCGGGGAGGCCGAGGAGGAGGAGGAGGATGATGATGATGAAGAGGAGGAGGAGGACTTATCTTCTCCCCCAGGGCTGCCTGAGCCCCTGGAGAGTGTGGAGGCCCCTCCCAGGCCCCAAGCCCTTACAGATGGCCCCCGGGAACACAGCAAGAGTGCCAGCCTCCTGTTTGGCATGCGGAACAGTGCAGCCAGTGATGAGGACTCAAGCTGGGCTACCTTATCCCAGGGCAGCCCCTCCTATGGCTCCCCAGAGGACACAGGTACCTTGTGGAGCTTGACATGGGCATGTGGGAGGGTGTGAGGGCAGAGGTTAGGACTCTCATACAGAGGCCAGTGCCAGCCTGATGTGAGCTGAGAGCCCATACCCTGAGGCCACAGCAGGCCATGTCCAGGCTTTTTCATTCAGAGAGTGCTTGGACATTCTGGTAGATCTGACCATCATGCATGCCCGGATGGATGGATCTATTCATTATGCATGCCACCATGGTTGATAAGTGGACTAGTTTACTGGGCACTGACTAGGTAACTGGCCCTCTGCTCAGCATTTTCAGGCTTTATCCTTACAATAAAGCTGTGAGGTAAATATTATGATGATTCCCATATTACAGATAACAAAAAAGAGATCCAGAGAGGTTTAGTAGCTTTCTCGAGACCACAGACAGGCTGAGATTACAATAGAGCTGAAATCTAAACCAGGTCTCAGTCCAGGCCTGAGCTCTTGGCCCCGTGTTATGCTGCCGCCAATGCATAGAGCACAATGCACTCAGGTGCACTTGGGACAGTCGGCCCCGTTTTTTTTTTTTTTGAGACAGAGTCTCACTCTGTCGCCAGTCTGCCCCGTTTTAACAGGTCACGCCTGTTGGGAGCAGCCAGCAGCTCCCCACAGAGGTCTGTTTGGAAAGACTGGGAATGTTGTGTGCTTATAATCCACATGCTCCAGCACCATTGCAAGGATACAGTTTTGTCAGGAGTAGGATATTGACTAAAAGTTAGAAAAGAAAACCCTTTGGGTAGGGGGAGGAGAATAGATACTAGGACTCCAGGGCTTAATCATTAAATATGTCCATTTAAATTAAGCTGAGTCTCCACATTTTCTAATGTCGTGTAGCGAATACAGGAAAAGCTGAGGAACAAAGAGTGGAGATAATGGGCTATAGTTACAACCAAAACCCTGGAGTTTTGTAGATGGAGGTCTAAGAAAGATTAGGAAAGACCCCTATCCTTACCAGGTGGCGGACACAATACCCATACCCCAAACTGTGCAATCTTTGTGGAGAACATGCAGTTCAGATGAGCCTAGGGCTGCACACCATCCCCTTTCGAAAAACTCATTCTGGACATTTTCAAACATACACAAAAATAGAGAGAAAAGAATAATGAGCCTGATTTACCCACGAGCCAGTTTTACCAATTATCAATACATAACTAATCTTGCTACCTGCATGCTCTCTTCCGTTCCTAGGCCCAGCGTAGGTTATTCTGAAGCAAATACTTTTATCTATAAATGTTTACAGCTGGGTGCAGTGGCTCACACCTGTAATCCCAGCATTTTAGAAGGCTAAAATGGGTAGATTGCTTGAGCCCAAGAGTTCAAGACCAGTCTGAGCAACATGGCAAAACCTCTCCTCTATAAAAAAGACAAAAAAATTAGCCGGGAGTGGAGGCATCAGCCACTGTGGTCTCAGCTACTCAGGTGACTGACCTGAGAGGATCATCCGAACCCAAGAAAGTCGAGACTACAGTGAGCCATGATTGAGCCACTGCATTCCAGCCTGGATGGCAGAGAGAGACCCTTTCTCAACAACAACAACAACAGTTTACTTTTGCATTTCTGAAAGATAAAACTCTTAAAAAAAAAACCCACCACAATATCATTATTGTACCTACAAAAATTTAATAATAATTCTTTAATATCATTAAATATCCTGCCAAAAAAAGGCTGGATTGAGCCTGGGCACAGTGGCTCACGCCTGTAATCCCAGCATTTTGAAAGGCTAAGGTGGGTGGATTGCTTGAGGCCAGGAGTTCAGAAACAGCCTGGTTAACATGGTGAAACCCTGTCTCTACAAAAAACACAAACATTGGCTGGGCATGGTGGCTTATGCCTGTAATCCCAGCACTTTGGGAGGCCGAGGCAGGTGGATCACGTGAGGTCAGGAGTTCGAGATCAGCCTGGCCAACATGGTGAAACCTTGTCTCTACTAAAAATACAAAATTAGCTGGGCGTGGTTACAAACGCCTGTAATCCCAGCTACTCGGGAGGTTGAGGCAGGAGAATCACTTGAACCCGGGAGACAGAGGTTGTGGTGAGCTGAGATAGAGCCATTGTACTCCAGCCTGGGCAATAAGAGCGAGACTCCTTCTCAAAAAAAAAAAAAAGAAGGAAAAAAAAAATGTAGAGACAGTGTCTCACCATGTTGCCCAGGCTGGTCTTGAACTCCTGTTCTCAAACAATCCTCCTACCTTGGCTTCCCAAAGCACTAGGCTTACAGGTGTGAGCAACCATGTCTGGCCTGATCTATCTGTTAAAGTTATGTTTGATCAAGTTCCCCTTCTATTTTTTTCGTTGTTGTTGTTTGCAGTTTTGCTTTTGTTTTTTAACTGGAGAATCATGTTGCTTGTCCTGAGTTTTCTATGGTTTGGATTTTTCAGACTCTCTCCTGTGGTCATATTTACCATGCTCCTCTTCCCCTGGATTTCCTGTAAATTGGTAGTTAGTTCTAGAGCCTTGATCAGATTCAGATTTGAGCATTTTTGTGTTTTGCTTTTGCAAGAATATTTCATAGGTGGTATTAAATACTTCTACTAGGCCGGGCGCGGTGGCTCACGCCTGTAATCCCAGCACTTTGGGAGGCCGAGGCGGGTGGATCATGAGGTCAGGAGATCGAGACCATACTGGCTAACAAGGTGAAACCCCGTCTCTACTAAAAATACAAAAAATTAGCCGGGCGCGGTGGCGGGCGCCTGTAGTCCCAGCTACTCGGGAGGCTGAGGCAGGAGAATGGCGTGAACCCGGGAAGCGGAGCTTGCAGTGAGCCGAGATTGCGCCACTGCAGTCCGCAGTCCGGCCCGGGCGACAGAGCGAGACTCCGTCTCAAAAAAAAAAAAAAAAATACTTCTACTAAAGGCAAAGTCTGATTGCCTCTCTTTTTTGTGATGTTAGTGGCCTTTGGTGGTCATTGTCTCAACTCCTTTTAAAAGGAACAGCCCCTCCTGCACTCCAGCTGATTATTTTTGGGATTGGGGTGAGGAAAAATATAGTCTCAATGCAGCCAGTTAAAGGGAAACTGAAAACTAGATATTGGTGTAAAATAGCCCAATTTCTAAACGTTAACAACAAATTCTATTTTTTAAAAAGCACTGTGCAGGCCACACACAATCTATCTGAGGCTTGCATCAGTCTGCAGGTTGTAGGTTGGAAGTTTGCAAGACTAGGGGGTGTGAGTCAGTGACCAAATAGAGGCCTAGTTGCTCACTTGCCCCTGGGATGGTCACTGTGGGGGCTGCAACTCTGAACTACCTATGAAGCTTCTAGGAGTAGGGGGATAGTACTGCTGAAGAGCTGGGGCGGGTTTGCTGGGCAGTGACCTCAGCAAGGATGTTGGAGTGGCAAGAGGATTCTCAAGGATCATGCACTGGTGGAGACATTGTGAATTGAGGATAGAGGTGGGGGCCAGCCCAGGAAAGGGGCCAAGTCACTCTTTTACAACTGTGTTGCTATGACCATGAGGGCTGCAGAGAAGGTTTGTGCTCCTGCAGAAATGAGGCTAGAATTGAGCAAAAATTATATTCTCCTTCCTATTGTAGGATATTCATAGAGCTATGGATTGAATGCATAAATGCATGAATTCATGAATTAAATGAATGATGAATGAATAAACTTTACTACCTGTATTGAATTCATACTCTGCTCCAGGCCTTATCGTAAATGCTGGAAATGTATACTATGGGGCAAAGATGTTCTTACCTCCTGGCCTTCACAGCCTGGTGAGGAGACAAAGAAAGAAACAAGTGGTTATGATCAGTGCGATGAGCTCTCTGGGGCTGGGGAAGTACAGGAGGGGCCCCTGACCCTGCCTGTGAGAGTGGTGGGGGAGAGGGCAATGGGTCAGTTTTAAGAAGGGACCTGTATACTGATGTCTGAAGGAGAGGTAGGTGATAGCCAGGTGAAAATCGAGAGTAAGGGAGGTGGGCTGGGAGAGGACAAGGGGGCATGTCCCAAGCAAAGAGAGAGAAGGGGAGTGGCTGGAGGTAAGGCTGAGAGGCAGACAGGGGTTCATGACAGCACATAAAACCTGGGGAGGAATTTGGACTTTATCCTGAGGGCAGTGACAAAACAATTAAGAGGATTCCGTTGGAAAATTACTTGATTAGTTTAGCATCTCAGAAGAATCATTTGGGCTGTACTGTGCAGCTGAGATTGGAGGAGACCAGATAGGAAGAGAAAGACCAGTTATGATGTTTTTGCAATGATGCAGGTTAAAAAAAAAAAAGCTAGTAGCCTGGGCTATGTTAGTTATGTGGGGTGGAGAGAAGGGGAAAGCTTTAAGTCAATCACTGATTCCTGAGCAAGTGAGTACACCTGGCTTCACCACTAAGGCATTTGTGGATGAACGAATGAAGGAAGGAAGGAATGATACGTGAACATTTAATGTATTTTATATGTAAGTGTCGCATGAATCGATGCAGGAGTGAAGGTGTGCGTTCTGGAATAAATGCATGTGTGTGAAAGCAAAGGCCGGGGTGGGCTGCGCTTGGAGGGAGATGTGCCAAGCTCCAGAAGGGCCTCCCAGATGGCCAAGGGGGGAGAAACTGCCCTTCCAGGACAGATCGGAAGGATGAAGCTCTTTGAAGCAGGAAGGTACAGGCTGACAGGGATGGCAGATGGATTGGTGTGTGTGACTCAGTCAGGAGATGGTGAACTGGTCCCCAGATTCCAGAAGTGTCCAGCCAGCCCTCATGAAGCAGGCTGTGGCTGTGGAGGGCATGGAGGCCCTAGGGTGCTGTTCCTGGAAGGTTTTAGCAGGAGAGTCCTGAGGCAATGGAGGGTCTCTAGGGAACAGCAGGTATTCCCTGAGCCTCAGCTAAGTTTCAGGTGCCTATTGAAAACCTTATTCCATAGAGTGTGAGTTAGGGGGAAGTGGGGGTGAGGAGAGGCGGTGATGGCTGCCTAGAAGGTGGATGGGCAAGAGCCCCTCCTCTTTGGGTGTCTGTGGGCCCACGTCATTTGGAAGCTGAGGATGGTGAAGCACCCTGCCTGAATAACTCTCGTCAGGTGTGCAGCCACCTTGGCGTAACCACGCCCACTCCCAGCCCTGCTGTGTCTGGTTGCCCAGCAGCAGGGTCTTGGGACTGCCTGTCCCTTAGTACTGCCTCTTGGACCAGTCAGGATTCCTGGTTTCCCTGGTAACGGGAAGCACGTCAGCAGTCTGGGCGCTCCCAGCCGGTCCTGGTGCTGCGGTTGCCGAGGAGACGCTGCAGCCTAGCTGGGCCCTGGCAGGTGAGGGGTGGGGGGTGGTGCTGGGAAGCCCCAAGCCCAGCCTCAAGCTTGCTGGGGCTCAGGACCTCAAAGCCCACCCTTGGGTTCAAACTGCTGTGCAGGTCCTGGACAGGGGCGGGATCCCTGAAGGCCTTGAAACCACACCCTATTTATGCTGACAGCTATAGGCTCTGCAGGGCCCCAGGCAGCTGGGGTATTCCTTAGGGGCTGAGTCTCCTGGTATCCCTAAGACTGGGCTTGGCTTAGGCACTGAGGTAACCACTGGAGGGTGGGATGGAGATTCAGGATTGGGGGAGGGGAGCCAGGGCGAGGAAGAAGAGGTGTGAGCAGAAGGGGCTGGGGTCTCATGAACCTCCCTTTCTCCTCCCTTCCCCACCCCCCAAGGAGATTCCCTAGCATGGTGGTCCTGGCCCCTCCCTAGCAAGCTCCAAGCGGGGGAGGATCTTGCCTGGCAGACGCTCTGCCCTGGTGAGAAGGGGGCGGGATGAGCTTTTCTCTGCAGCCCAGCACCAGGCTGTGAGCCCAGCTGGCTGGGCTGGAGGGGCTGTGAGGAGGGAGGGTGGAGGCAGGAGGGGCCGGGAATGAGCGCCATGTTCTCCCAGGACTTTTTCCTGGCCATTATCCTGCAGGACAGCAGCGCAGGTGAGGGGCAGCATGAGGTTGGGCCTCATGTGGGGTGGGGCTGACAGGGAGAGAAGAGTTAGAGGACGCATGAGCGGGTTACAGGGTTGGAGTGGTGTGGCTCTGCCGGCAGACAAGGGTGTATGACACAGATGCGAGGTATGTGTGTATGTGCATGACATGTTTGCTTGCATCTGTGTGCAGCAAGGGTCAGGAAGTGAGCGTCTGTGGTGTCTGCACACATTTGGCAGGGTTTGACGTGTGCCGTGTGTCTGAGTGTGGGTCCGCCTGTGTGTGTGGTACCCACACGTGTGTTGGGGCCATTGTGGTGTGGTATCTGCACACCTGTGTGGCAGGGGCTCGTATGTTTAGCTGCATGCACACACACCTCTGTGGTGTCTGCATAAGTGTATGGCTAAAGTTTGTGTGTGTGTGCCCCTGCACATACATGTGCACCTGTGTGTGATACCTGCCATCTGTGCTGGCATTTTCTGTGTTGCATACCCTGGTGTTTGTGGCTGCACAGGTGTGTGGTAGGGCTTGTATGTGTTGTGTGTCTGTGTATACATGTACGTGTGCAGGAGCTAGAAAGTGTTCACCTTCGTGTTAACTGAGATAATAGATATGTATGAAAGGAGGTTAATTGGGGTCACCCAACATTCATTGCTCCCTTCCTTCTTCCCTCCCTGCCTTCCTCCTTTCCACAGTGTGGCCACATTAGCCACCAACAGGGCCCAGGAGGAGACCTGAGCCATGTCCCCTACTGGTGGCCCCACATGTGGTGACTCCAGACTATAGGCTCTAGGCAGAAGCAGGAACTGTGTTGTGGTATAGCTCTTCCACCACCCCTTCTCAACCATGGGGTCTCAGAGGGGACCGGGCATAGGCACCAGCTGTCTGCTCTTTGGGTAGGCTGACCCTCACCAAGCCTCCCACCTGGCAGATTCCTTCTGGAACCCCAACGCCTTCGAGACGGATTCCGACCTGCCGGCTGGATGGATGAGGGTCCAGGACACCTCAGGGACCTATTACTGGCACATCCCAACAGGGACCACCCAGTGGGAACCCCCCGGCCGGGCCTCCCCCTCACAGGGGAGCAGCCCCCAAGAGGAGTCCCAGGTGAGGCTCACAGGCCTGTTGATTTTGGGCCAGGGGTGGAGGGAGTGTGTGCTGCTGGAGTAGGATAGGACACTCACTCACTACTCCCATCCCTCCTCCTAGCTCACCTGGACAGGTTTTGCTCATGGAGAAGGCTTTGAGGATGGAGAATTTTGGAAGGTGGGTAAGGGGACCTGCTTTACCACGGGATAGCTGGAGGAGGGGCATCATTTTGATACTGATTCCTCAATCCCCTTCCCAAGGATGAACCCAGTGATGAGGCCCCAATGGAGCTGGGACTGAAGGAACCTGAGGAGGGGACGTTGACCTTCCCAGCTCAGAGCCTCAGGTGAGCTGCCAGATGCAGTGAGCTGGCAGTGGGATGGATCTGTCTGGAAGGGGCCTTGGGACAGCTCCATTTATGGGAGCCCTGTGCCAAGTATTACCATCTGCCTTCAGCCCAGAGCCGTTGCCCCAAGAGGAGGAGAAGCTTCCCCCACGGAATACCAACCCAGGGATCAAGGTTTGTTCAAGACTGACACCCATTCTGAGTCTGGGGCCCTCTTATTTGTCAGACAGCCCCTAATGTTGTGCTCTGAGGGGTCTCAGCGCAGTTCCCCAGGTCCTGAGTTAGGAGTTCTTCCAGTCTCAGCACAGAGCCCTGTGTCTGAGCTGGAGGCACTTCAGTTTTTAAATCAACCAGCCCAACAGCCAGGTTGGGGGCCCTTGTAGTCTTAGTTCAGGTGCTTTTTTGTACTAGCTGGGGTCTCATCTGACATCTCCCTCACCCTAACCACATCCCCCTCTCCCTAACCACATCCTGTTTGGGGAGCTTCTCCGTCTTAGTTCAGAACACCCTGCCTCCTGCCACACTCTGTAGTCAGGAACTCTCCAGTTTTGACTCAGATCCTCTACCTCCTGCCCCTCTTCTGTGTCTGGCAGTGTTTCGCCGTGCGCTCCCTAGGCTGGGTAGAGATGACCGAGGAGGAGCTGGCCCCTGGACGCAGCAGTGTGGCAGTCAACAATTGCATCCGTCAGCTCTCTTACCACAAAAACAACCTGCATGACCCCATGTCTGGGGGCTGGGGGGAAGTAAGGACCTGAGCCGGGGGTAGGGGGTGGTACTGTGAGAGTGTGAAGGGAATTATGAGAGATGGGAGGTCTGACCTGCCCACAAGCAGGCTGGGGAAGGGGGATATTGGCCCATCCTAAGTGGCAGCCCTGTGGGATGGATGAGCGACCCCAGGCCAGGACCTTGGGAGATAGTCGCCTAACAACGGTGGAGTCAATGTGAGAGATGACACGTGACCTCCACTAGAGTGAGGCCTGCAGGGCGGGCGGTCTGACACCAAAGCAGGGGCCCCAGAGCTGTGGCTAACATCCCCTGAGCTGCAGGGGTCAGAGATCAGCCACCATCCTGGCTGGAGTCCCACTGAGTGCCTGCTTCTGGTCCTGCAGGGAAAGGATCTGCTACTGCAGCTGGAGGATGAGACACTAAAGCTAGTGGAGCCACAGAGCCAGGCACTGCTGCACGCCCAACCCATCATCAGCATCCGCGTGTGGGGCGTCGGGCGGGACAGTGGAAGGTGGGAATAGGGCTTGGGATTCGAGGGTGGGAGTTCATCCAGCATCAGAGTCCTCCTCTCTAACTCTGTTATTTGCCTCTCTTGTGCTGCTGGACCCAGAGAGAGGTACTATGCCTATTTTCCCCCTCCTACACCTGGACCAGATGCCTGGAAGCACCCAAGCTCCCCTCTTCTGCCCTGCCCCTTCCCACCCGCTATGCTCCACCATTACCCTCCACCTCAGCATGCTTGCCTGTCTACCCCTCCCCCCCAAGAAGGCAGCACCTATGGGGGACCAGCTGTGGGCAGAAGCCCTGGAGGAGCTGTGATGGGCAGGGAGGACGTGGGTGGGGTGGGGACCAGGCTCAGCACTGGATGGTACTGGGAGACACTGAGGTGCCCCTTCCCCAACAGGGACTTTGCCTACGTAGCTCGTGATAAGCTGACCCAGATGCTCAAGTGCCACGTGTTTCGCTGTGAGGCACCTGCCAAGAACATCGCCACCAGCCTGCATGAGATCTGCTCTAAGGCACGGCCCCCTCCACTCCCTGGACTAGTTGCCACCTTTGCTCTACAAGGGTGTGGGTGGGGTCACTGAGTGCTGTAGGGGGGCCCCAGGGCAATGAGGCTCTAATAGATTCTCCCTGGCTCCTCGCCTCCCTTCCTTCCTCAGATCATGGCCGAACGGCGTAATGCCCGCTGCTTGGTAAATGGACTCTCCCTGGACCACTCTAAACTTGTGGATGTCCCTTTCCAAGGTCAGTGTCAAAACCCCTCCAGGTCCAGCTCAGCTTTGTTGGCAAAGGTGGGTGACCCAAGGAAAGGCATGAGCTCCTGGACAGCGCTGATAGAAAAATGAACACATGAAGACTGAATACTCCAATACGTGGAGGGACTCCGGTTAAAGGGAGGCAGGGGACGAGATGAAAGTAGGGCCTCGGCTGGGCAAGTGTCCAGCTTATGCCCTGCTGGTGGGGCTGCGGGTGAGCAAGGTCTGCCACCATGATCAACCTTCTCTTCTTTCCCATAGTGGAATTCCCAGCGCCTAAGAATGAGTTGGTCCAGAAGTTCCAAGTCTATTACCTGGGGAATGTACCTGTTGCTAAACCTGTTGGTATGTGTGTCCTTCTATACCCAGGGGCTGCTACCTTGATCCTAAAACTCTGCCCCTACCCTCTGCCTTCCAATACTTCTTCTACCAGACCTTCCTCATGCTTGGTGTCTCCCTACCCTTTAAAATGCATCCCACCTCCCCATACTTCTGTCCTAGCTCTATTTCCTGTCCTGCCTATAGCAGCAGTCAGCACGCCTTCGCTGAGCATCAGCCACGTGAGTGGTGCTGAACCAGGCACAAAGGGAGACCCCACTCCTTCATCCCATGGAAAAGCTTTGGTGGGATTGGGAGGCTGATGTTAGATGACTGGAGGACACCAGACAGCAGCCTGTAGCTGGGTTTAGTGTTACAGCACCAGCTGTGGGCTGGGAGCATCTGGAGAAGGAAACAGTGAGCATAATTGTCACATACTTCATTGTTGCAAAGAATTTTTTTTTTTTTTTTTTTAAAGACAAGTCTCGCTCTGTCCGCCAGGCTGGAGTGCGGTGGCGTGATCTTAGCTCACTGCAACCTCCGCCTCCTGGGTTCAAGCAATTCTCCTGCCTTAGCCTCCTGAATAGCTGGGATTACAGGCTCCCGCCACCACGCCTGGTTAATTTTTGTATGTTTAGTGGAGACGGGGTTTCACTGTGTTGGCCAGGGCTGGTCTTGAACTCCTGACCTCAAGTGATCCACCTGCCTCGGCCTCTGAGAGTGCCGGGATTACAGGCGTGAGCCACTGTGCCTGGCCTGATCTGGTTAACTCTTATATTTCAGTGCTTTCCTAGTGTCTGCTATTTATTTGTTTATTCACTTAACAAATACCTTTGAAGCTTACCATGTGGCAGGCCCTGGACTAGGCACAGGGAGAACAGTGGCCACAGTCCCATTTTCCTAGAGGTTATAGAAGGTTATGGTAGAAAAAAACCAGGAATTAATAAAATAATCACACAAATAAATGTGTGAGTTATTCGTTGAGAGAAAGTAGCAAGATATAACAAAGGAATTTCATCTAGTCTGAGGTTGTAAAAGACTTCCCTGTGAAAGTGACATTTGAACTGAAATCCAAAAAATAAGTAGAAGTGAATGCGGTCAAGTGGAATGGAGGTGGGGGTGGGATGGGGGAAGATCAGGGTCTACAGTGGGAGGCACTTTGGCATTTCCAAGGTACTGAAAGAAGGCCAATGCAAGATGAGGCCGACAGCTGGGCAGTGGTCAGGCTGCCAGGTCAGGGACCTCAGGGGCTATGTTAATGATTTTTTCTTCATCCTAAGGGCAGCAAGGAGTTATTGAAGTCTCCGAGAGTGCACTTGCCTTAATCAGATTTGAATTTTGAAAGCTCACTTTGGCTATTTCATGGAGGGGACTGTTAAGTGGGTGGAGGTGGATGTGAGCAGCTCAGTTAGGAGGCTCTTGCTGTAGTCCTGGCCAGTAATGAGAGTATCTTGGGCAACAATGGAGCTGAAGAAGAGTGCGTGGATTCAAGAGCTGTTTAGACGGGTATAGTCAACAGGCCTCAGTGATTGGTTCGATGTGGGTGAGGGACAAGGATGACTCCTAAGTTCCTGGCTGTTGGACCTTCTGGATAGTGGATTATTTCTTTCAAGGTGGCAGATGCTTGAAGAGGCCAATTTGAGCGTAGAGATTGTGAGCTCACTTTTGGACATGCTGAGTTTGAGATGCCTTTGGGGAATCTGAGAGGCAAAGTCAGGTTGGCAGTTAGATTCACAGATCTGGAGCTGAGAGGAGAGGTCTGGGCTGGAGATAGGAGTTTTGGCATTATTGGGTTGTAGAGGTAATCAAAGCCATGGATGTAGAGTAGCTTGGCCCTGGAAAGTGGGCATCCTGAAGTGAGAAGGGAAATGAAGCTAGTCATAGCCTTGAGGCCCTCCAACATTCAATGGATGTGTAGAGGATGAAACTGCCAAGGATAGTGACAACTGGAGAGAGGCAGGAAGAAGAAAAGAGGCTACTTGAAAAAGAAGTGGTAGGGTATCATGTCAAAAGACACACAGGAAGAACTCAACAAATGTTTGATGAATGAAATAAAAAATGAATTAATGAATAAATGAGACTTGCTTCAGATTACATGGCCAGGAAAGCTAGACCTGGGAGTCAAACCCCGGTCATCTTTAATTCTCTGCACTTTCCCTTATACCGTGCTGACTTTCACGTCCAAAATCTTACATTGAAAGAGGGGACCCTTCTTAGAAAAGGTGGGGATTGAACTGAGGTTTTGAAAGAAGGTTTGGATTTGCAGAGTGGAGTGGGTATTTCATTTGGATTCGATGGCACTGCCAAAGACTTGGAGCTGGAGGTGAGAAAAGCATGCTGACCCTTACGCCTTTGCTTTCCTCCTTCTCGTCCTCAACTTCTAAACCCTTGTTGGCTCTTCCATTTGTTACCCCCATTCCCATATGTGCTTCTTTCCATCTACCACTTGACTCTGGTCCTCCCTATGCCAGATCAACTGCCTGTGACCCTTGACTGCTCCGCTTGGACAAGTGGTCTCTAAACTTACTTCCTGCTTTATCTTATGCTCGTTTTTAAACATTAGCCCATCCAGAAGCTGCAATATTCATTCATTAATTATTCATTTATTTAACAAGTGGTAATGAATGCCTGATACATGTCAGGCACTATTCTAGCTTCTTGGCATGCATTAATCAACAAAACTGACAAAGATCCCTGCTTTTATTTAGCTGACATTCTAGCAAGGAGAGACAGACAATAAAATGAGTAAACCATGGAGTATGTTAGAAGGCAACAACTGATACAAAAAAAAAAGAAGAGAAAAGCACAGCAGGATTAGGGGGATTGCATGTGGGGCTGGAGGTCAAGGTCACAGTGTAGGTTTTAGTCCTGAGTTATCAAATCTGACAGCCTTTTTCCATACCTTGGTCCACTGCTTTCACTGCTTCCCTGCCAAACTTCCCAAGACTCTGAGGCCAGGCTCCATCTCCCACAGCCCCATCTATTCAGCAGTTTGACTATGATGTCCCTTTCACACACCTGAACTTTGAGATTTCCAATTGCCCTGGCCTAAATGTCATAAACATCACACCCCTCTGCCTGGCTTTTGAAGCACTCTGCAATCTGACCTGGCCCATCCACTTCTGTGACACTTGGTTTTACCAGTTCGGGTGCATTTGCCCTTGTTGCCTTGAGAGTGACTTGCTCATGCATCTGGAATTTCTTCAGCAGATAAGCCCTGTGTTAGAATTGGGGACAGAGGGATGAATTAAATTCCATTTCTGTTCTTGAGATGGCCACGGCCCAGTGTGGAAAAAAGTTTTCCAGCAGTTACAAGACGTTATGGTAAGAGTTGTCTCAGAGTTGTCCTCTCCCTGCCCTGCAGCAGGCATGGCTTCCTAGACAGCACCTAGTTGGAGCCCTGAAGGATGACAGTCTGAAGTTTCTCAGTCCAGCAGGGAAAGGGCACTCAAGACAGAGGCTTTTCCCTCAGTTGCAGTCTGTGTCTCTCAAGGGCATTCTCTTCTCTTGCTTTGTATTCCCCATCTGCTTTACAGGCCATTTGCCAAGATTAGTTGTTAATAATAATGCTACACAAATCATCTGAAGCTCAGGGAGCAGTAAAATATGAAGCTTGACAGCTCTGGTGAGGCCAGTTTTTGGAAGACTTGTATGCTTTTGGGAGCAGTTTGGCCTTGATCCAGCTAGAAGTCAGATGAGCAAGGCCAAGATGGGAGAAGACATGCAAGGAAGACATTTGTCCTCTGCCCAAAAGAGTCCACGTGGTCTGCTCCTAGTGGGAGCTGAGAGCCACTAAAAGGGGCAGAGGGCCTGGGAGTGGACCACAGAGGCATGTGCCTTTTGCACTGGCATTGTGCAGAGACAGTAGATCACACAGCCAGCGTATGAGTGTGGGGACTAGAACTGATGCCTTTGCCACAACATGTGCTCCTGCCTTGGTGCTCTGCTGAGTGCAAGCAAAAGTGGGATCCATGAGGGGAAATGTTTAACAGCAGTTTGAGGTGGAGGAGGCCATGTGTTATAAGGGAAAGTTGATTGATCTGAAAGTCAGGAACCTTGGGTTCCTTGGCTCTTGAGCACATTATAGACATTCTTGAGTAGAACTAAGATCTTGAAAGCCCTTCTAGTTCTGAAAACTAGTAATATAGAGAAGAGGTAGGAGAAAGGCATGGCTAAGAACCCAGGCTCTGGAATCAGACTGCCTGAGCTCAGGTCCCCATTCCTCGATGTGACCTAAGGCATATTACCTATCTCTTCCGTTTCCTTATTTGTAAAATGGAAATAAAGTAATCTATTGTGATGTTGTTGTGTGGGCACAAATGAGGTAATACACTGTAATGACTTAGCACAATGTGATACAGAGTAATCACTCCTCAGATAGATATCTTAAAAAATAATTGGGTCTTGGGAGAGGACTGGCCTGTAGGGTCTGATTTGGGAGTTATTGTGGTGTGAAGCAATGTGATGTCTGAGTGTGATGAGCGCTGAGAGAGCATGATTTGGGGAAATCAGAACTTTGAGAGGTCAGTCAGTTCAGAAGTGTGGAGGAATAGGCAGAGCCGGTGAAAATAACGAGCCTAGGATCCAAGATTTTAAAAAGTAGGAAAATGTCCAGTTACTGAAGCCAGGGGAGGAGAGCCCCAGGGAAGGGATACTTGGACAGCGTTGTCCAAAATGTAGGCTGGCAAAGTGGGGATGGGGCAAAGGCCCTGGGTTTGATTGGGTGGAACTAGAGGTCCAGGGTAGAGCTGGGGTATCCTCTGTCTACCCTCAGTGGTATCTTGTGTCCATATGTTCTAGGGGTAGATGTGATTAATGGGGCCCTCGAGTCAGTCCTGTCCTCCAGCAGCCGTGAACAATGGACCCCAAGTCATGTCAGTGTGGCCCCTGCTACCCTCACCATCTTGCACCAGCAGGTAAAGAGCTGGGGTAGAAGTCGTGGCTGCGCCTTGCCATAGAGGGGAGACTGGGGGTGAGGGGAAGAGCTGCTAAGATGGATGTGGAACACAGTGTGGGGTTGGTGTTCCTTTTTAACTGAGTTCCCTCCATGCAGACAGAGGCAGTGCTGGGAGAGTGTCGGGTGCGTTTCCTCTCCTTCCTGGCCGTGGGCAGAGATGTCCACACGTTTGCATTCATCATGGCTGCCGGCCCAGCCTCCTTCTGCTGCCACATGTTCTGGTGCGAGCCCAATGCTGCCAGCCTCTCAGAGGCTGTGCAGGCTGCGTGCATGGTAAGCTACTAGTAGGGTGGTGTGGTGGTGGCGTGGCCCCATGGGAGGTAGGCTGGGGAGTGACTGCCCTGCTTGCCTCCGCAGCTTCGCTACCAGAAGTGTCTGGATGCCCGTTCCCAGGCCTCCACCTCCTGCCTCCCAGCACCCCCTGCTGAGTCTGTGGCACGGCGTGTAGGGTGGACTGTCCGCAGGGGTGTTCAGTCGCTGTGGGGCTCCCTGAAGCCCAAACGGCTGGGGGCCCATACCCCATGAAGAAGCCCCCACCTTCCCTCCACCTGCTTGTGTTGGGCCCCAGGGAACTAAAGGGTGTGGGTCAGGGAGGGGTCTAGAGGCTATTCCTAGGCCTCAGGCCTCCCAAATATGCCCCTCCCCAGTAGCTACGGTTCCCTGCCTAGGAGCTGGGGAGGGAGAGATCTAATCCCTTCAAGGAAGTGATAACACTGGAGTGGTAACAAGAGGAGCAGGAAGCAAGGCCAGCCCTGGTTCTCCATCCCCATGTGTTTCAGGTGGAACAGGAGGAACTGGTCCAGGCCAGGCCTCATCCTCCTGGACCCAGCAGGGGCAGAAGGAGGAAGGGACTGGTCCAGGCATGGGTCCCTTCCCCCTGCTCCATGGGCACCTCTGCTGTATTGATATCACTAATAAAGTCTGTCTGCACTGCTGTGTGCCTTCTTATGCCTGTACCACACCATCAACCCATTAGCCTGTGCCTCAGTTATGATCTTGCTCCAAAGATCTCCTTGCCCTGCTTGCCTGGAAAGAAGAAATTGGGACAGTCACACAGGGGTCTGGAGTCCAAGTCTCTTATCTTTATTTTAACAGACTGGCAGCATCAGGTCGCAGCAGCAGTACAGGGTTCCTGGCTGGGCAGCACAGGCCTGGGGCGACAGCTCCTGTCTTGTCTGCCCAGGGCAGTGTCAACTTAGGCCTCTACTCCATGGCTGTGAAAGGACAGCAGCCTCAAGGCAGTCTAGCTCCTGGGCACAGGCAGCCAAACCCCCTCCCATATCCAGCTAAACCAGCTCCAGGAAAGGAGAAGGTCCTGTTTCCCCGGCATCCTTGGGGCCCAGGGACTGGTTCTTTCACCGGATGATCTTGCCTGGTTGAACCACAGCAGCATTTGGGCTTTTTCACCCTTTCCTACATCAAGAACTTTCCCAAATGTGGGCCCTGGGGCCCTAGCAAAACAGTGGCCTTGGCCACAGGCTCTGGGCCTCTGGGAGGCTCCCATCTGGCATCAGGTGGCGGCACAGAGCAGGGCTGTCAGCACGGGCAGAGAGCTGGGCACAAAGAGTAGCCAGACGGCAGGGCGTGCCACAGGGCTCCGAGGGTGGGTGGCCCTTATGGTAGAGAAACCAGAAGGTCTGGAAAAGTTGCATGTCGCCCCGCATGCGATATACCAGGTTGTGCCAGGCGGTAGGCAGTGTGTTGGGCAGCCCATAGGTTTCTCGAGCCCTGTAGAGAAGCTGCCAGTGCGGTATGGCTCCCGGTATGTTTGCCTGGGTCAGATTCAGGATGTAGGTCTCATGGTCCAGGACCACGTGAGAGCTCCCGGAGTAGTTTCCATCTATTTGGTACACACGGTAACCTGCAAGGATGTGGGGCTGACTGGAGGGGCAAGGAGCAAGGGTAACTCCAGGGAGGGGCCACACATCCTGCCCATGCTTTGCAGGCTCTGGCTCCAACCTCCTTCCCCTATCCCACCAACTCCAGGATAAGGGAGGCTCCCTTCTGCCTCACTCACCAGGATTAAGGCCGATGTAGGTAGTTGCACTGGGTGCCAGGAAGGCTACAGCCAGCGGCCGGCTCAGAGTCTCTTCATCATAGAAGACCTCAAATTCATCCACATGAGTGTGGCCAAAGAACTGAGCAGCCAGGGTGTTCTCATACCTGGCCAGAAGGTACTACATTCAGAAGATTCTAGGGAGGGGTAGGAAGACATCTGGGGAGATAGGATGCCCTCTTTCTCCAACCTGTTCTAGTGAGGAGCCTCCCCACTCCATGGGACAACAGGGATGGTGAGATGCTCAAGGGAATTTTCAGCCTTCAGACACTCACCCTGTCCCTATTCCCACCCTCATCTCCGTCCTACCTGGCTACAATTCGGTAATAATTCCAGCTCCAGCTCTTCAGACAGTGCCCTGGGGGAATGTGGCCAATTATATGCACCTAGTAGGGAGAATTAAGGATGGTAATCAGGGCATCCAGGGGTCCAGGCAGCCCTGGCTAGAGAAAGGGGGACTGAATGAAGGCTTTCAACAGTGACCATGAGCTGAATCCCCAGGGAACACTTGTTGGGAATGCCAGGAAAATAAAACTTCTGTGCCCAGAGGTGCTCCAGCTCAACAGGAGCCTGCTTGTCCCCCAGCACCACCGTGTTCCCACTACTGGCCCTCACTTTGTCTCCTCGATCCTCAGCAGCCTGAAGCTCCCCCACCAGCCACTGGAGCTGTCCTGCGGGATCCGTGGAGTTGATCAAGAGCCAGAAGTTCTCACGGGAACAAAAATTCATATTGAGAGAGATGAGGCGGAGACCGGGGTATGGGGAAAGAGCATAGAACCCCCCAATTCTGAAACAAAGTAAACATGAGAGGTCAACACTTGTTCCAATCCTGGTCCTCCTGTGCTGGGCATTTGGGTGGAGGGTAAAAGCATACATGACATCTTCCCCACCTGCAAGGAGCTCACAGTCTAGCCAGAGACCAAACAGTTCTAATTATTGGGTCTGTGTGACACAAAAGACTCTGAGGGCAGAGGGCTCCAGGAGTATGGGGGAGGGATAAGAGTTAGCTAGAATGGGAAGCAAGGACCACACAGAGGGAAGATGACATGGGATGGATAAGGTGGGAAAAACTGGAGCACTTAAAAAAAAGGGGGAAATCATTTCCAGAGGGCCAACATGAGCAAAGACACAGCTGGGGCATAGAGAGGTTATGCTGCCAGACCTTTGAAGGAGGGTGGCTGGAGATAAGAGTAGAAAGGGAGGGCTGGAAAGCTGGGTGCAGTGGTTCATGCCTGTAATCCCAGCACTTTGGGAGGCCGAGGTGGGCAGATCATGAGGTCAGGAGATCAAGACCATCTTGGCCAACATGGTGAAACCCCATCTCTACTAAAAATACAAAAATTAGCTGGGTGTGGTGGCGTGCACCTGTAGTCCCAGGTACTTGGGAGGCTGAGGCAGAATTGCTTGAACCCAGGAGGTGGAGGCTGTAGTGAGCTGAGATGGTGCCACTGCACTCCAGCCTGGGCAACAGAGCAAGATTCCATCTCAAAAAAAAAAAAAAAAAAAAAAAAAAAAAGGGAGGGCCAGGAGCAGTAGCTGATGCCTGTGGTCCCAGCATTTTGGGAGGCCGAGGCGGGAGGATTGCTTGAGGTTAGGTGTTTGAGACCAGCCTGGGCAACATAGCAAGATCTTGTCTCTACAAAAACTAAACTAAAAAAAAAAAAAAAAAAAAAGCCTGGTGCGGCAAAACAGTAGAAAGGGAAGGAGGAGTCAGATTAGGGGAGCCAAATGAAGAGCACTAAGGACTCATGCTAGAGCAATCAGAGACAATGCCCCAGGTTCCCTTCTCCCTTCACTTTCATTCACCTTTCTTTTCCCTTCCTGGGTTTCCACGGACGATAAGTACCTGAGGGTGCGCAGGGCTTCGGCAGGCAGCCAGGGCTCCCAAGCCTTGGCCATCGCTTCATAGAGCCAGCGGGAGGAGTGGTTGCCCTCAATGAAGGGGGGAGGGAAGCTATTGACAGGTGTGCTTTCATGGTTACCCACAGCAGGGTACACTGGCACTGGCCCCAGGAACTTCCTCACAAGTGCTGTGACGGTGGTCAGGGCCCGCAGTTGGTCCTGACGAGTCTGGTGCCAGACATCATGTGCGGGGATGTCTCCTGTCCAGTACACCATATCAAAAGGGCCGGCTGGGCCCAGCCCACTCAACAGGCTCTCCAGGGTCCTCAGGGGCAGGTCACACTTGCTGTATTCGCCCCAGTATCCGGCACCTGGCCGGGATGCGGGCGGCAGGCCAGAACCCCGGCGGCAGCACAGTGGGTCTGCACAGTCAGGGTCCGTGCCCTCCAGGTAGTCATGATCCCAGTGCAGGTCAGTGAGGAAGAGGATGCGGCTGACAGGGGCACCTGGGGCTGGGGGGCTAGGGGGTTTGGGGGGCGGCTTCGGCACAGTAGGCAAAGAGATGTTCCAAGATGAGAAAATGTCCCAGTGCCCACAGGTGGAGCCCAGGAGCAGGCCACAGGCCTCAGATGGGCTCAGCACTGAGCGTCTCCACACCTCCACCATGTCATCCTCAAAGAGGTGGACAATGGATTGGCACACGGCAGGTGGTGCTATCTTCAGCAGATTGCACAGCTTGATGGCCACGGAGCCCACGCGAGCCACATTGGGTTCCTTCTGCAGTGGGAGGAGCGCATGGTGAGAAATCAGAGGCAGAGCAGAGGAACCAGGCCAACCCCTGGCCACCACCCCTTGGGCCTCCATTTCCAAACTGGGGCTGGGCAGGACTCAGTGCACCAAGCTCAGTGCACACCTTTGCCTTCCAGATATTGCCCTGTAACTCAGGCAGCACCAGGCCATCGCTTCTTCTTTAGCTCAGCGGCCTGTGGCATGAGGCCTTTGCTTGGCAAGCTGACTTCCTCAGGCACTGTCTGCATTATTTTCTTACTTCACAAAGGTCACAATGGGGTGATGGTGGCATGTAGCCATGGGTGTCCCCAAAGGGGAGCAAACTCAGTGATGGATTGTAGATGCCACCCTCTCCATCAGGGATGCATTCTGAGCCCAGCGCACCAGCATCAGCCCCAGCCCCCAGCCCCAGCACTCCTTTCGGCCTCCTCCACTGCAGCCCCTTCAGTGCTCACCTTCAGCCCGAGGTTGATGGCGGTGAATAGACCTTTGCAGATTGGGCAGGTGAGGTTCCCCCACCCAAAGACATCTCGGAGCCGGGGCACTATGCGATGTAACCTGGCAGGATGGCCTTGGGGAGAAAGAGGGTGAGCCTCTGCCGGAGCCCAGAGAACCCGAGAGTCAGACAGAGCCAGCGCCAGCGCCAGCGCCAGCGCCAGCGCCAGCACCAGGCCCATCCAAAGGAGTCCGGGGGCTCCGGCGGTCCCGTCTTGTCCCTGCTCCCGGCCGGACCTGGGGCAGCTCTGGCGGAGTGACGCTCCGTAGCGGGGCATTGTCGCGCTTCCTACACGGGGCTGGTTCGTCTGTCCCGTCCCCCCCGGCCTGGACCCTAGCCAGCCCTCAGGGCCCCGGGCGGCGCCGGGGACACCCGATTACCCTTCTCTGTAGTCGGCTGACTGCTCCGCGGCCGGCCGCAAAGCAGCTCCGCCCCTTCCTCTTCCTCTGATCTCTGACAGCTGATCTCTCGGTGGCGGGCGGCTGTCAACGCTGCGGAGGCGGAGGGGGCGGGGCGCTCCCGGGACCGCCCCGATTCCGCCCCCTCTCCCTGCCCCCGCCCTGCCCCGGGCGCACGGGCTGCGGGGGTGGGGACTCTCCCTGAGGTCACCAGGGGCTCCGCCTTGAGGTCACAGCCGCGGGAGGCCGTGCTCGTGCTTTGGAGCTCCATGTGATGTGGTCGGTGGAAGACGTCTCCTTTGTCAGAATCCGCGCTCAGATTCCCGGAATAGCTGCCAGACCGACCCCAGCGTTTAGCCCGGGAAGGGGAGGTAGGAGAGAGCAGGGCGGGCAGGATCCTCCCACTGGGTGTGTTGCCTCTGACAGGAAGGCGCCTTCCCTCGATTCCCCATGCTCTGCCACTGGCACCAGCCCTCTTGAGTCACCCTGAGAATCACTCACCTGTGATTCAGATGAGGAAACAAACCTTAGAGATGGTGAAGAGACTAGGAAGCCGTAAAGACCATATAGCCGTGGGGGCCAATAACATGGGCGGGAACCCAATTGGGTCTCCCACCTCCGTGTATCCACGACAGTAAAAGCGAGCATTTATGGAGTTGTTTATGATGTGCCAAGCACCAACCCAGGCACTTTATAATTAATAATCTTCAATTCTCACAACAACCCTAAGAAGTACCTATTATATTGGGGCTCAGAAATCCATACCCAAAATATGGTGGTTTGACTTACTAAGTTAAGCCTTAAGGTGTGTCTGGCCTTCCTACTCCCGCGCCCTCTCTCCCAAAGCCGTTACCTAGCGTCCAGACCCATCAAAAGGAACAACGGTTTTTTTCTTCCCCTCCCTACAAAACCAAGAATATAATCACACCTGAACAGACCCCTTCACATGATAATGTGCTAGTTAATCTGTTCCCTGATCCATTCCTTCTCCCTCAGCAGAATTCCTCTTCCCCTCACTCCCACAACCCCCTTTGCCTGAATGACACCTAAGCTTCTGAACTCGTCTGGGAAGTGGGTAGTCACTCTGTGGTTCCCCGTGGACACATTAATACAATTTCTATGCCTTTTCTTCAATTAATCTGTTTTTTGTGGGTTGATTTTTCAGCAGAATTTCAGAGGGCGAAGGGAAAGTTTCCCTTGGTCCCTGCAAATACTATTATTACCCTCCTTTACAGATAGGATGAGGCACAAAGAAGTTAAGTGGCAGAATAGCAATTAAACCCTAAGCTGTTTGACGAGTGCTTCTGAGGAATCCTCAGAGCTATCAAGTCCTGTCAGTTCTTTCCTTTGATAATTTTTTACAAGTGTTTTTTCCCCCCAGTTCTGGGGACATCATCTCAGATAGAGTACTCACAGTAATAATTAGCATGCATTTTTAAGATTATGTACTATGAAAAACAAAACAAAACAAAACCTTTTTATCTAAGGAAGATGAGCCCCTTTAAATTATCAGGCCCAGACAGGCATTTAAAATGTAGCAACAGTCACTCTCACTCTTCTTTGAGCTAAGTAATTATCTCTTGAAACCACTTGCTATGCCAAGTAGCCATTAAATGCCATACACCTTATAGTTCAACAATGTATAGCCAAGCGCTAAACAATGTATAACCAGTGTTATTTCTGTAAACAATGAGAATTCCTGATGAACAACTTTTGTATTCATTTCCTCTCCTAATTCATCTTTTTTTCTTTGAAAATATGAGCCTCTCTTTTGTTGTCCAGAGTGCTCCCCCAAGACAACTTGCAAGTGTGTCCTGGGTCGCAGTCCTCAACCTTGGCCCTTGGCCCGAATAACCCTCTGTAGGTACTTTTCTGAGGACTCTGCCTTACGTTAATCCTCACAACAAATTTGGAAGTCGGTATTATAATTATCCCCATTTTACGGAGAAGGAAAGTAGGATTAAGTAAGTGGCTCAAGATCCCACAGCTAGCTAGTAAGTGCTGGAACTGGAATTTGGATGTGTCAAGCAAAACATGTCTGAGACAGGTCTCAATCAATTTAGAGGTTTATTTTGCCAAGGTTAAGGACATGGCTGGAAGAAATAAACACGGAATCGCAGAAACAGTCTGTGGTCTGTGGCTTTCTCCAAAGATGATTTTGAGGGCTTCAATATTTAAAGGGGAAAAGTGAGCTGGAGGGAAAGAAGAAGGGTATGGTAATCCACATGTCGCAAGAGAAAAGGAGCAGGTAGGGAGATACTCAATTATGTGTTCGTCTGGCACTTTACATAAGATAAAGTAAATATGCCTGTGGAGATATTTAACCTTTTGTGTTTTTTTTGTTTTTTTTTTTTTGAGACAGAGTTTTCGCTGTTGTTGACCAGGCTGGAGTGCAATGGCGCAATCTCGGCTCACCACAACCTCTGCCTCCCGGGTTCAAGTGATTCTCCTGCCTCAGCCTACTGAGTAGCTGGGATTACAGGCATGTGCCACCACACCCGGCTAATTTTGTAAATATTTAACCTTTTGTCTGTAGCTATCTGCTTAGGAACAAAAGGAAAGGCAGCTTCTTGCATGACTCAGTTTTCAGTTTATTTTTTTTCCTTTTGGCATAGTCAACTGGAGTCCTGAGTTTTTATTTTCCTTTCACAAATGCAACATTCTGGCTCTATTCTTTGCTGTGTGGGGACCCATTCAGAACACCAGAGTTGGTATAACAATTATTTTAAGCCGAAGACATTTCAGATTCAATAGATGCAGAAATAAACCTTCTGGGAGCTTTCTTCATCTGATTAAAACTTCTGGGAAATGTCAACCTAAAGGGAAAAATCTAAGGCAAACTTGATATAAGTAGAGAGTTTATTTGGGCCAAGTTTGAAGACTGTGAAGCGAAGATTCAAGTTGCCCTGAGTATATGCTCCCAATTAGCAGAAGTCACAAGTGGGTTTTTAAAGGAGAAGAAGAGGCAGTTCCTAATGAGGACTAAGCTCTGATTTTTTCTTATCTTGCTCAAATTCCTATCGAAAGGGTCTGGGGAGTCATGCCCTACAAACCATAAATTCTTATCAGTTGGGTTTTATTTAACACTATATATTGTGACTGCCTTTTCAGTCATACTCTGGCATAAAATTACGTGATAAAGAAGAAAGTCAAAATATTTTACCCCAAAACATGTTTCTTTGCCATATATATATATATATATATATATATATATATATATATATATATGTTTTTTGGTTTGGGGTGGGGGGCGGGACAGAGTTTCACTCTTATTGCCCGGGCTGGAGTGCAATGGGGTGATCTTGGCTTACTGCAACCTCCCCCACCCAGATTCAAGGGATTCTCCTGCCTCAGCCTCCCGAGTAGCTGGGATTACAGGCACCCACCACCACCATGCCCAGCTAATTTTTGTATTGTTAATAAAGATGGGGTTTTGCCATGCTGGCCAGGCTGGTCTCGAACTTCTGACCTCAGGTGATCCGCCTGCCTTGGCCTCCCAAAGTACTGGGATTACAGGAGTAAGCCACCGCACCCGGCCACTTTGCCATATTTTGAAATGGCCCTGCAAAGTCGTACCTTATGGGGGAAAATTTACATCTGTAAAGAATCTCTAATAACACAGATCTTTTTCTTCTGGGCCCTCCAATCCTGAAGAGATTAACTGAGAGTCTAGCACCTTTTAAAGGTCTGAATAGGAAACATTTGTCGACTGTTGTCTCTAAGGGCAGCCACTAAGAGACTTCAAAGAACCTTGGTCTCCACAATCTTTTTTTTTTTTTTAAAAATGGCGTCTCACTCTGTCGCCCAGGCTGGAGTGCAACAGTGTAATCTCGGCTCACTGCAACCTCCGCCTCCCGGGTTCAAGCAATTCTCCTACCCCAGCCCCCCGAGCAGCTGGGACTACAGGCATCTGCCACCACACCCAGCTAATTTTCATATTTTTAATAGAGATGGGGCTTCACGATGTTGGCCAGGATGGTCTCCATCTCTTGACCTCGTGATCCGCCTGCCTTAGCCTCCCAAAGTGCTGGGATTACAGGTGTGAGCCACTGTGCCCGGCCTCCACAATCTTTTATCTTAACCTGAACATTTCCTTTCTATTGATCCCAGGTCTTTAGACAAACTCAACCAATTGTCAACCAGAAAATGTTTAAATTTCCCTATAGCCTGGAAGCTCCCCATCCCCCAGCTTCAGATTGTCCCACCTTTCTTGACCAAACCAATGTATTTCTCAAATTTATTTGATTGATGTCTCATACATCCCTAAAATGTATAAAACCAAGCTGCACCCTGACCACCTTGGGCACATGTTCTCAGGACCTCCTGAGGGCTGTGTCACGGGCCATGGTCACTCGTTTGGCTCAAAATAAATCTCTTCAAATATTTTACAGAGTTTCACTCTTTTCATAGACACTAAGTTGTTCACCAAGAATTTACATAAAAATAACATAAGCTATTGATTGGCTATGCCTTGTTCTTTGTATCATAAATCCCAGGAATGTGAAGATAAAGGGTGAGGCATGTCTGACTAGGAACAAACAATTGCACCCCACTTCTTGGTTTTGTGGGAGCAAGGGTGGGGGTGAGGGGTGGAGTGTATGACTGAAGTCCCATACTCATGTCTCTCTGGGCCTGATACATTTTGCGTACCTCACATAGTTCAGAGTGCTCTGAGCTATTTTTCTTTTATCAGAAATGAAGACTGCCATACATACCCTCTTCAGCAAGGCTTCCACTCTGAGGAGGGAGACCAAGAGTAAACTCAACATAAATACCCTTTTCAGGGAAGTTTAATGGCTCTGAAGAAGACAGGAAGACCACACATGCTGGCATAGACCACAGCATCACACACTTTCTGGCCTCATGTTTGTTCTTTTGAAAACCCTTTTGTCTTTCCTTAAGAAACCTCTTTCTCCCCTGGAACTTTCTCCCCTTTCCCTTTCTCCTACTAAGTTAGATGTGTAAGCCTTTTCCTTCCTTCCTTCCTTCCTTCCTTCCTTCCTTCCTTCCTTCCTTCCTTCCTTCCTTCCTTTTTTTTGAGACAGAGTTTCACTCTTGTTCAGGTTGGAGGGCAATGGCGTGATCTCAGCTCACCGCAACCTCTGCCTCCTGGGTTGAAGCGATTCTCCTGCCTCAGCCTTCCGAGTAGCTGGGATTACAGGCGTGAGCCACTACGCCTGGCTAATTTCAACCATTTGATGAGCCAGCTACTTCTTTTGTGGTTCCCTGTGCATATGAATAAACCCTTTTCTCCTGTTAATTTGTCTTTTGCCAGTTTAATTTACAGGCCTCAGCCACTGAACTTAAGAGGATAGAGGAAAAGGCTTTTCCTTCCTTATAGCTACTTCTTTTTCGTAACTGTAGGCTTGGATCTGTAATCTTCAAGGATTCAAATTTTGGCAGTAGGAAAAGGAGGGAGGAGGGATGTCATGAACAAAGTACAAGGCATGAAAGAGCCTGGTAAATTTGCTATGAAACGTCATCTCCCATTTCCCTATCAGGGATTTCAAGTTGCCTCATTTCTCCGTAATTGTTACTGTCCATTCAGGACAGTAGATTCAGGACAGAGATTCACTCTGTCCTTCCTTATGGAGGACACTGATGACCCCAGGGTCCAAATTTATTGATCTTCAAGGCCTTAGCACATACCCAGTAACAACATCTTTCCTGATCACATCCTCTTTTCTCATTTGCTGAGTCCTCTTTTTTTTTTTTTTTTTTTTTTTTTTGAGATAGAGTCTCGCTCTGTCGCCCAGTCTGGAGTGCAGTGGCACGATCTCGGCTCACTGCAACCTCCGTCTCCTTGGTTCACGCCATTCTCCTGCCTCAGCCTCCCGAGTAGCTGGGACTACAGGCGCCCGCCACCACGTCCAGCTAATTTTTTGTATTTTTAGTAGAGATGGGGTTTCACCATGTTAGCCAGGATGGTCTTGATCTCCTGACCTCGTGATCTGCCCACCTCGGCCTCCCAAAGTGCTGGGATTACAGGCATGAGCCACCGTGCCCGACCCGCTGAGTCCTCTTTTATGCAGTGTTTTCATACATGTTGTTTTTGATAGAACCATCACTTGCTGCCATATCACACACCCTTATCCTTCTGGATAGGTGATCAAAAGCCCGTCTTCCCTCAAAATTAATGACACTGTTCTCTAGGAATCAGGTTCTAAGACAGAGACTAATGAGAGAGAAATGTATTAGAAAGTGCTTTTTAAATGAACACCTGTGAAAGGAAAGGGAAGAAAGCAGACTTGGGTAAATGAGCAAGTTGATCTGTGATGCCGTCAGAGGTCTCGTTGGACCCCATAGGAGCGCTGAAGCTGGGATGACCCTTCAGAGTTGTCCTGAAATGGGATGAGAGAGCTTGTTTCATTTAGGAAAATCCCTGTAGGGGGCTGAGGACTTTCTGTTGAGACCATTCTGAGCAGCTATAATTGTCCAACAGGTTCTCCTTGCTTGCTGCCAAGACAGCCAACCTATCAAGATAAGAATTGCAATAGAGAGAGTAATTCATGCAGAGCTGGCTGTACCGGGAACTGGAGTTTTATTGTTACTCAAATCAGTCTCCCCAAAAACTCGGGGATCGGAGTTTTTTAGGATAATTTGGTGGGTAGGGGCTCATGAAGTGGGAAGTGCTGATTGGTCAGGTTGGAGATGAAATCATAGGGCGTCAAAGTGAGTTTTTCTTGCTGTCTTCTGTTCCTAGTTGGGATTGCAGAATTGGTTGAGCCAGGTTACTGGCCTGGGTGGTATCAGCTGGTGCATCAGAATGCAGGATCTGGAAAATATCTCAAGCACTAATCTTAGGTTTTACAACAGTGATATTATTTCTAGGAGCAAGGTGGGGAGGGTCAGACTCTTGCAGCTGAATGCTGCATGGCTCCTAAACTGTAATTTCTAATCTTGTAGCTAATTTGTTAGTTCTACAAAGGCAGTTTGGTTCAGGCAAGAAGGGGCCTTATTTCAGGAAAGGGCTATTATCATCTTTGTTTAAAAGTTAAGCTATAAAGCCTCGTGCGGTGGCTCATGCCTATAATCCCAGCACTATAGGGGAGGCGGAGGCGGTTGGATCACCTGAAGTCAGGAGTTCGAGACTAGCCTGGCCAACATGGTGAATCCCCATCTCTACTAAAAATACAAAAATTAGCTGGGCGTGGTGGCAGGTGCCTGTAATCCCAGCTACTCGGGAGGCTGAGGCAGGAGAATCACTTGAACCCAGGAGGCGGAGGTTGCAGTGAGCCAAGATCATGCCATTGCACTCCAGCCTGGGCAAAACTCTGTTTAAAAAAAAAAAATTAAGCTGTAAACTAAATTCCTTCCCAAGGTTAGTTCGGTTTACGCCCAGGAATGAACATGGACAGCTTGGAGGTTAGAAGTAAGGTGAACTCAGTTAGGTCAGATCTCTTTTGCTGTCATAATTTCCTGTTATAATTTTTGAAAAGGTGGTTTCGCAGCTAGGTATTGATGAAAAGAGTCAAACTTTGTTAAATATTTGAAGAGATTTATTCTGAGCCCAAAAGGAGCGACCAATGGCCTGTGATACAGCCCCAGGAGACCCTGAGAGCACACGCAGAGCATGTGCCCAAGGTGGTCAGGTTACAGCTTGGTTTTACATCTTTTAGGGAGACATAAGAGGCCAATCAATACATGTAAAATGTACATTGGTTTGGTCCAGCAAGGCAAGACAACTGGAAGCAGTGGAGGCTGGGGTGGGGGGTCGGGGAGAGGAGCCTCCAGGTCATAGATTCAAAGATTTTCTGATTGGCAATTGGTTGAAAAGAGTTATTATCTAAAGAGCTGGAATCAATAGAAAGGAATGTCGGCAGGGCGTGGTGGCTCAAGCCTGTAATCCCAGCACTTTGGGAGGCCGAGGCAGGTGGATCACCTGAGGTCAAGAGTTCGAGACTGGCCTGGCCAACATGGTGAAACCCCATCTCTACTAAAAATACAAAAAATTAGCCAGGCATGGTGGCAGGTGCCTGTAATCCCAGCTACTCGGGAGGCTGAGGCAGGAGAATCGCTTGAACCCGGGAGGTGGAGGTTGCAGTGAGCCAAGATGGGTCCATTGCACTCCAGCCTGGGCGGCAAAAGCGAAACTCTGTCTCAAAAAAAAAAAAAAAAAAAGAATGTCTAGGTTAAGATAAGGAGGTGTTGTGAGACCAAGATTTTTGTTTGTTAGTTTGTTTTTGTTCTGTTTTGTTTTTTGAGACAGAGTCTTGCTCTGTCACCCAGGGTGGAGTGCAGTGGCACGATCTTGGCTCACTGCAACCTCTGCCTCCCGGGTTCAAGTGATTCTGCAACTTCCGCCTCCTGGGTTCAAGTGATTCTCTTGTAGCTGGGATTACAGGTGCCTGCCACCATGCGTGGCTAATTTTTGTATTTTTAGTAGAGATGGGATTTTGCCATGTTGGCCAGGCCGGTCTCAAACCCCCGACCTCAGGTGATCCACCCGCCTTGGCCTCCCAAAGTGCTGGGATTACAGGCGTGAGCCACCAAGCCTGACCCGGAGACCAAGATTTTATCATGCAGATGAAACCTCCATGTATCAGGCATCAGAGCGCTTATCAGACCTAAACAGGTGCCAGACTCTTAATTTTCTCCTGGATCAGAGGAGAGACCTGGAGAAAAAAAGGGATTGTCTACAGAATGTAGGTTTTCCCCATTAAGATCTTTTATTTATTTATTATTTATGATTTTATTTTTTATTTTTTGAGACGGAGTCTTGCTCTCTCGCCCAGGCTGGAGTGCAGTGGTGCGATCTCGGCTCACTGCAACCTTCGCCTCCCAGGTTCAAGCAATTCTCTGCCTCAGCCTCCCAAATAGCTGGGATTGCAGGCACCTGCCCCCACGCCCAGCTAATTTTTGTATTTTTAGTAGAGACGGGGTTTAACCATGTTGGCCAGGCTAGTCTTGAACTCCTGACCTCATGATCCACCTGCCTCGGCCTCCCAAAGTGCTGGGATTACAGGCGTGAGCCACTGCACCCGGCCAGATCTTTTTAAATGTTAATGCTCGTCACTTGTTCCCAATTCTGAGAGAGAAGAGTATGATGAGGCATGTCCAATCCCCACTTTCAATCATGGCCTGAACTAGATTTTCTGGTTTAGTTTGGAATGTCTTTGGGAGAGAGGGGACTCTGTCAGTTGGTTGGGGGAGCTTAGAATTTTATTTTTGGTCTACATGGGGGAATAAGCCCTTTGTTCCTGAAGGCAGGTCAGGTGGCACATCACAGTGTCCACCACAGACTACCTCTTGTGCCACTTGGATTCATTTCACAGAAGTCTGGAACAGCTCCTCTAGCATACTAATGACTAATGAGTCTCTCTTCATGGTGGAAATTAGAAGAAAGATAGTGGAAAGAATTATAGCTCTCTGAAGCCTCTCTCAGGACAGCAACTGATACTCATCATTTTCCTCTTTTATCCATTTTAGCTTTCCTTCACCCTTAGAGAGCACCTCTGCTGATTTCAGTGGCTTACCTGATGGTGTAATGCAAACTTTCTCCCTGGGGGGTCTGAGCCTCACTATCCATGCTCTCCTCAAGCCATGCTCCTGCACTTGTCTTTTTACCATCAAAATAGGGCAGGGACTACCAAGAGGCACCCAAGTGGGCCAGCTGGATGCCAAGCATATTCCCCCATGTCTCCATTTTGTAACAGTTGTATTATCAGGATCAACAATGACAATCAGGATCAACGCTACAGCCACCATGATCATGCCTCTTCTTGCCTGCTGGCCCCTGCACGCAGGAGCCCAGAGTTCCTAGGCAACAACCATAACCCATTCACCTGCTGGACACATTTCCCCATTGGGAATCAGAGCCTCTAAAGCAGCAGAGCCTAGAGTTGTAGGGGCAGAAAGCACAAATTTCCCAAGTAGATTCCTGGGAGTGATGGCGAACAGAGCCACGCCTGCTTTCTCTCTTTGGTTCTGAACCCATGTGTTTTACCTTTTGGGAACAGAACACCAGGTTGTTGGTTTAAAGTGTATACTGCATGCTAGAAGGTGGCACCTCCTCCTCTCTAGGAATTACTTCCATGTTTGTGCTTCAGCTGTGCATCTACAGCTGATTCTATCACTGTGTTAGGCTGGCAGTTTCTGGGTGGTCGGCTGTAATGTGACCAGTGGACACAAAAGTCATGTGCCCGCTTTACACCTCTTTTGCTGAAAAGTGGTTCCTGGTACGACATGATAGGATTCCGTACCTGTTGCTCAGACACTGTCTCTGTAAGCCCTTGGATAGTGGTTGAGGCCTAGGAGGTGGGAAAATTCATTATGAACAAAGTTTTCTGCAGGGCTGGTAGTGGGAAAGGTGAGACAACCTTATTCTTGACTTTCTCTGGGTTTTAGAACTTCTGAAACCTATTGTGCAGGCTTCTAGGCTATTGGATAATGACTAGAACTTGGGGAAGGGAGAGCAAGGCTGGTGTTTAAAGATCTAAAGTTATACAGCCTCTGCCTCAGTGGCGAACTGAGTCCCTGGCTTGGAGAGTGATTGGCAGAGGGACAAAATGGGCTGCTTGGTTGGGACAGATAACTTCTTAGTTAATCTGGGTTAATTTAAGCAGACATTCGCTTAGGGTACTTACATTTTGTTGTGTCAGGAAACCTGTACAAACAGCTGAGCACGGTGGCTCACGCCTGTAATCCCAGCACTTTGGGAGGCCTAGGTGGGCGGATCACCTGAGATCAGGAGTTCGAGACCAGCCTCAATATGGAGAAACCCCGTCTCTACTAAAAATACAAAATTAGCCGGGCGTGGTGGTGCATGCCTGTAATCCCAGCTACTCCGGAGGCTGAGGCAGGAGAATTGCTTGAACTTGGGAGGCGGAGGTTGCAGTAAGCTGAGATCAGACCATTGCACTCCAGCCTGGGCAACAAGAGTGAAACTCTGTCTCAAAAAAAATTAAAAATAAAAAAAAAGGAAACCTATACAAATTCTGTTCAAGTGGCCAGCCAATTCTTGAGCTGTCTGTGAAACTGCAAATTGAATTCGAAATTCCAGACAGCAGCCCAGCACTGATGGGGAAAGGTCTCCCTCTTGTGGAAATTTTAGGGATTACTGGAAAGCTAGTAATCTATACCTTTAAGAGCTCAAATCCAGAAGAAATTTTTCTTGACAGGCAATTCCAACGCAGTGTATGTAGAACCCCCAATAGTAGGGGCTGCAATTTAAATTCAAGCTATCTGGATTAGAATCTTTGTTCTGCCACTTATTAGTTGTGTGACCTGGACAAAGCACATCACTTTTTGAGCTTCAATTTCTTTCTGTGTGACATGAAGATAATAGATAATATAAGGTTGTGAAGTTACAATGAGACAGTACTTAGATTAATAGATGTGACAGAGGAAGACTTTTAGTATCTGATGCAAACTTTTAAAGTTGCATCTTATATTTCATTACCAACTATACAGAATCTACCACCTTATACATAGTAGATGCTGTATCTGTATTGACTATCATTGATTTAATGAGGTCTAGCTGATAACTCTCCCCAGTTTTCCATGCCTTATCCACACTGTCCATTGACAGGAGAGAGGAAATCTATGGTTACAGTGAGGTGGAGGCTGAAGGAAAAGTTAAATGTTAAAAACTGCCCTTCGCCACCCCGCCCTGTGGAAGACGTAGGGAGTATTTACTTAATGACAATAACTTAGCTCCATCTATTGTCAGGAAATCATCCATTTATTCCCACCCACCGCCGCCAACACACACACTGTTCTGTGTCAGGCCCAGACCAAGAAGCTGGGGATATACCTGTTAGTAGGAAAAGCCCTGCCCTACAGAAGACTCCAGCTCAGGAGAGGATAGGGGCAAGAATAACATACTTGCCTCACCCCATCAGCCAGCATGAGGAAGCAACATAGAAGCTGTCCCCTGCAGACCTCCTGTCAACAGTCACGTGAGCACCCAATGTCACCAGTGTTGACAGATGATCTTCCAGTCGTTCCTGGGAGAAGGCTTTCCATCCGCAGCTACCTACATCTTATATAGGATGAAGGTCACCTCTCTGTGTCCTGAGATATTGCCACACTCCAACCACACTGTCTCATGTGGACATTCACTTAAAACGACTCAGGATACTTGTAAGCTCCACTGAAGCAGTCAGATCTTTGACACACAGGAAGGGGAGTGTAATGTGGAAGGAAGTGTCTCAGCCCTGTACTTGGGTAGGCTGAACAAGGGTGAAATCTAGTCCTGAAACCTAGACAGTTTTACATTTTTTTTTCTTTACCATCTCTATTCTCTGAAGAAGCTAATCCTTGGGAGGATATTTTTCAGCTTCCAAACAGAAATTGAACTAGGAAACCAATATATATGGTTGTGCATGCACATTTGTGTGCACATGAGTGCATGGGTGGTGTGGTGGATGGGCACCACCCCCAATGCAATAGCTCTCTGACTTCATCAATGCATCCAGTCTATCTTCCTTTTCTCTCTGTTTACCCACCTGCTCCTGGCTTCCTGTCTGTTTAAAATAATACTTTATAATCTAACATTATAGTAATTCCTTTGCAGATATGCTCAGCTCCTGTGTTCCCCTCTCCTCTGTCATTTTCATCTGGCTGAACTCCAGTCTCAAATGATCCCAATTACTTTCATTTTCTTCTTCTGAACCAGAGTAGCTGAAATTGTTACAGCAAATTCTATAGCTAGAAAAAGTGATATAAGGCCGGGCGCGGTGGCTCACGCCTGTAATCCCAGCGCTTTGGGAGGCCAAGGCGGGTGGATCACGATGTCAGGGGATCGAGACCATCCTGGCTAACACGGCGAAACCCCATCTCTACTAAAAATACAAAATATTAGCCAGGCGTGGTGGTGGGCGCCTGTGGTCCCAGCTACTCAGGAGGCTGAGGCAGGAGAATGGCGTGAACTCAGGAGGCGGAGCTTGCAGTGAGCCGAGATCGAGCCACTGCACTCCAGCCTGGGCGACAGAGCGCGACTCCGTCTCAAAAAAAAAAAGAAAAGAAAAAAAGAAAAAGTGATATAATGATAAATTCATGATCCCCAGACTCACATGGTCCCTCAGTGCTGCCTGGCAATTTTTCCGTGTTTCTCTAGTGAGCTTGCTCTTTTTCTACTTTTTCTAACTTTTTCATTGCTTTGTAGATCTTTTCATATCTCTGCATCCTCTGTCCTCACACCACCCACTCTTACTGATTTTGCCTTCTATTTTACAGATAATTTAGAAGCCATCCAGAGAGACATTCCCTTGTCTTTGTTACAACAAATTAAAACCCTGCTTGCATCTGTACCCATCCTCTCCCTTTCCCCCTCTGTTATATCCTAATATTTTACAGATGATGAAATACAGGTGCAGAGAAGTTACATAGCTTGCCTAAGATCACACAGCTAGCAAGTAGTTGAGCCCAGTTCCCAGCAGATGAAGCATCCCTCTTACAAAGGGCTGATACTTTTATATTGTTCTATCTCTCAGGGATCTGATTATATTAGCTATTCCCCTTCTCTTAGTTAATTTTTTTTTTTTTTTTTTTTTTTGAGATGGAGTTTCGCTCTGTCACCCAGGCTGGAGTACAGTGCCATAATCTCGGCTCACTGCAACCTCTGCCACCCAGGCTCAAGCGATTCTCCTGCCTCAGCCTTCTGAGTAGCTGGGACTACAGGCACGCACCACTACGCCTGGCTGATTTTTGTATTTTTAGTAGAGATGGGGTTTCACCATATTGGCCAGACTGGTCTCAAACTCCTGACCTCAGGTGATCCACCTGCCTCGGCCTCCCAAAGTGCTGAGATTACAGGCGTGAGCCACCTCACCTGGCCCTCTCCTAGTTAATATTAAGTTATGTCATCAGTGACAAAAAACTGAAAATAACAGCAGCTTTAAAGGAGGTCGGCATTTATTCCTCCCTCACATAGACATAGCCCATCCAGGACTTGCATGACAACGATATGATGAGCAGGAAACCAGGCTGCTTTGATCTTGCTCACCATCCCCAAAATGTGGCTTTCACCTTGTGGCTCATGCTCCAGCCATCATCTCTACACTCTTGCCAGCAGGAAAAAGAACAGAGCCCTTCCCTTTAAGGACACTTCCTAGAAGTTGCACAAGACATTTTTACCCTTATTTCCATGGCTAGAACTTGAACACATTATTCTACTGCAAGGGAGGTGAAGAAATGTCATTTTTGTTCCAGGAGGTCATTTACTCTGCTGAAATTCACAGACTGTACTACCATAGAAGATGGGAGAATGGCTATTAGAGGACAAAGACAGTCTTAGCCATACTCTTTCTTTCTGACATTTTCAACCTCTCCTGCTCAATTTGAAAATCCAATCAAGATTCTATCTTTAAAAGTCAAAATGAGGTAAATCAACACAAAACAAATGCAAGCTTCTTTCTAGACCTAACCCAGTATCCTTCACTATCGGTGTTTCTCTGCTCTGTTTAACAGAACATATCTCAAAAGAACGTCCTGCACATGCTATTCCCATTTCCTTGCATTTTGACCACCACGAATCTATTAAAATGGCTAAGGCACCTCGTGACCTCCACATAAACATATCTAAGGGGCCCTTTTCAGTCTCTGTCTTCTCGACCTCTCAGCAGAATGGGATGCATTTGATTGTTCTCATTATCTTTGACACTTTCTTCTCTTGGCTTCTCCGACACCTCAGTCTTAGCTTTTAGATTGTTAAAGCAAACTAAATATGGCCTGAGAAGGACTCCATACTTCTATATTTGAGTCCTTGTAGACAAATCGTAACATAGCTTAATAGGCAGACAAGATTGAAAACCTAATTTAAGACTATACACCTGTAATGATAGCTGTGTCTTGGCCAATCCCAGCAGCCATACTTCAACCACTCACAGACTGCTGAGTGTTCAAACTGTGTTCAAATAAGGCAAAGGCCAACCTGTAACCCATCCAGCTGTTTCTGTACCTCACTTTTTTTTTTTTTTTTTTTTTGAGACAGAGTCTCAGTCTGTTCCCCAGGCTGGAGTGCAGTGGCGCGATCTTGGCTCACTGCAAACTCTACCACCCAGGTTCATGCCATTCTCCTGCCTCAGCCTCCCGAGTAGCTGGGACTAAAGGTGCCCGCCACCATGCCCGGCTAATTTTTTGTATTTTTAGTAGAGACGGGGTTTCACCGTGTTAGTCGGGATGGTCTCGATCTCCTGACCTCGTGATCCGACCGCCTTGGCCTCCCAAAGTGCTGGGATTACAGGCAGTGAGCTCACTACGTGAGCCGACTTCTGGTTTTTGTATATTACTTTACTTTTTTTATTTATAAATCTGTTCTGACCATGAGGAACCGCTGGAGTCTCTCTGAATCTGCTGTGATTCTAGGGGCTGCCTGATTCATGAATCGTTCATTGCTCAATTAAACTCTTTTAAATTTAATTTGGCTGAAGTTTTTCTTTCAACAAGATAAATTTGTCACTAATGAGAGTGTTAATTTTTTTCCAGTTTGATTTTCTGTCTTTTGCATTTTGCTTATGGTGGGTTTTGTAATGTGGAATTTTTATTTTATATTGTCAAAATCTTGACCTTTCCTTTTATGGGTTATGTGTTATGTCATACCTAGAAAGACCTTCTATGCTCCAAGAGAAAAATCCTGTGCTTTCTTCTTCTACTTCTTCTTCTTCTTCTTTTTTTTTTTTTTTTAATTGAGACAGGGTCTCACTTTCTCACCCAGGCTGGAGTGTGGTGGCATGATCTCGGCTCACTGCAACCTCAGGTTCCCAGGTTCAAGTGATTCCCTTGTCTCAGCCTCCCAAGTAGCTGGGACTATGGGCATGGGCTACCATGTCCTACTAATTTTTGTATTTTTAGTAGAGATGGGGTTTTGCCATGTTGCCCAGGCTGTTCTTGAATGCCTAAGCTCAGGCAATTCGCCCACCTTGGCCTCCCAAAGTGCTAGGATTACAGGCATGAGCCACAGCGTTCGGCTGACTGTGCTTTCTTCTTCTGAAGAAAAGAAATAGAAATTGTGGCTCACATGGATCTTCATTCGGACTTGAGGTGTCTCACTGGGAAGCCCTGCTGGCCCCAGCTGGTTCCAAGCATCAGAGACTTAGAAAATGTTGCAGAAGTCACTCCAGAGCAGGGATCCGCTCAGAGGTGGGGCTGGGCAGAAGCCCTGTTTGAAAGGTCTAACGGCCATACTGGAATGTGGGAATTAACTTTTTTTTTTTTTTTTGAGATGGAGTTATGCTCTAATTGCCCAGGCTGGAGTACAGTGGCAGGATCTCGGCTCACCGCAACCTCTGCCTCCTGGGTTCAAGCGATTCTCCTGCCTCAGCCTCCCGAGTAGCTGGGGATTACAGGCATGCACCACTGTGCCTGGCTAATTTTGTATTTTTAGTAGAGACGGGGTTTCTCCATGTTGGTCAGGCTGGTCTCGAACTCCCAACCTCAGGTGATCCACCTGCCTTGGCCTCCCAAGGTGCTGGGTTTACAGGCTTGAGCCACCATGCCTGGCCAGGGATTGACTTTTTTTTTTAATTTTAAATTATTATTATTGTTTTTTGAGACAGGGTCTGGCTCTCTGTTGCCCAGGCTGGAGTGCAGTGGCACCATCTTGGCTCACTGCAACCTCTACCACCCAGGCTCAAGCCATCCTCCCTCCTCAGCCTCCCATGTAGCTGGGATTACAGGCATGCGCCACCATGCCCAGATAATTTTTGTGTTTTTTTTTATAGAAACAGGGCTTCACCACATTGCCCAGGCTGGTCTTGAACTTCTGAGTTCAAATGATCTGCCTGCCTTGGCCTCCTAAGGTGCTGGGATTACAGATGTGAGCTACCACACCCAGCTGCAATTCACTTTTGACCAAGAGAAAAAACTTAAGAGGAATCCAGTTGTCCATAAAGTGACAAGGAATATTTGCTGCATATTTGAGGATCTTTTGATCAACTTAATACAGAACCTGGCATCTTTACGTCTCCTTAGGGCCAGATGATCATAGCCACTCCCAGCCTCAGATACTTTTAATATGTTGATGAGCTTCTGAGCTCAGACATCTCTAACTTAACTATGTCCAAAATGGAGCTTTTGATCTTTCATTCTGATTTTGACACTGCTCCAGTCTTTCCTATCTAGGGATGGGCACCTCAGCATACCGGACACTTGGAGTCATTAAAACAATTTTTTAAAATTTTTAAATTCTTTTTCTTTAAACAATTTTTTTTTTTTTTTTAAAGATAGGGTCTTGCTGTCTTTCCCAGGCTGGTCTCAAACTCCTGGGCACAAGGGATCCACCTGCCTCAGCCTCCTGTGTAGCTAGGACTACAGGCATACACCACTGTGCCCAGCTCTTGGAGTCATCTTTGACACTTCATCTCCCTTTACCTCTACATTTTATTAATTATCAAGTCATGTCTATTTCTCCTCTAAAACCCAACCTAAGTCTTACCTCTGATCACCTCTGTAGCTACTGTCTTAGCCTAAGTTACTACCATCTCTATCTTAGATTGCTACAAGTTATCCTAACTGGTTTTCCCTGATTTCACCATTGCCCCCAAGTCGATTTCCCATAGCCCACTCCTCTCTTTTGAAATTGTATATCAGATTGTTTCATTCCCCTGATGAAAATTAATTAATTCAACAAATTAGTATAGAGATCTACAGTGTGCCAGGCACTGTTCAGGTATTGGGGGATACATTAGTGATGGGGATACATCGATGTTTTGAAACTAAGCATTCAAAAATCCCTGCTGTCATAGAGTTTACAAAAAAGCAAATAGTGCCATGAAGGAAAATTAAGAATGAAAGGGGTTGGGGAGAGCTGGGGTGGGTGTGCAATTTGAAGCAGGGTGATTAGGGGATGTTTCACTAAGAAGACTATATTTGGGTGGCCAGGTGCGGTGGCTCACACCTGTAATCCCAGCACTTTGAGAGGCCGATGCCGGTGGATCATGAGGTCAGGAGTTCAAGACCAGCTTGGCCAAGATGGCGAAACCCCCTCTCTACTAAAAATACAAAAAATTAGCCGGGTAAGGTGGTGGGTGCCTGTAATCCCAGCTACTTGGGAGGCTGAGGCAGAGAATTTCTTCAACCCAGGAGGCGGAGGTTGCAGTGAGCCGAGATCACACCACTATACTCCAGCCTAGGTGACAGAGTGAGACTCCATCTAAAAAAAAAAAAGACTATATTTGAGCAAAGACTTGAAGGAGATGAGAAAGTAAGCTTTGTGGATATCTGGGAGAAAATATTCCAGACAGAAGGAACAACATGTGCAAGGTGCTGTGGTGGGAACACATCTGGGCAGTGCTGAGGAAGAACAAGGAAATGACAGTGGCTGGAGCAGAGTGGGGAATGGAAGGAGTAGTAAGAGCTGAAGTCAGACAGGCAACGAGAGACTAAATTATGAAGGGCTTTGAAGGCCATTGCTGGGACTGATCTGAAGGCCTTGAGCAGAAAGGTGGCCCCGCCTACCCCACCAACCCCAGCTTCTCTGGTTCCTCCCTTGGTAACGGAATGCATGCTTATTGCTGTTGTTTGAATGCACTCAAACATTTCCCTTTTATGGCCTTCACACTGGCTTTTACCTCTCCTTGGAATCCTCTTCCCCCCAGATCTTTATCCCTTGCCTCGCCCCTTCACATTACTTACGTCTCTGCTCAATGGATCTTCTCTGACCACAGATTTGAAAATAGCACGCTACCTCCCTTCTATGTTGACTAGGGTCCTACTAGGAAAACAGGAACCACACTGCACATTTTCATAAGATAAAGTTTAATACAAACAACTGGCTACAAGGGTGATTGAAAAGGCAGAGACTCCAACCAGAAGAGTGAGGTGACCCAGAGACCAGCAACAGCAAGAAGTTGCTACCACCCCTAGGTTGGAGGTTTCACTCACGTCCGTGTGAAAAGACCACCAAACAGGCTTTGTGTGAGCAACAAGGCTGTTTATTTCACCTGGGTGCAGGCGGGCTGAGTCTGAAGAGAGAGTCAGCAAAGGGAGATAGGGGTGGGGCCGTTTTATAGGATTTGGGTAGGTAAAGGAAAATTACAGTCAAAGGGGGTTGTTCTCTGGTGGGCAGGGGTGGGGGTCACAAGGTGCTCAGTGGGGGAGCTTTTGAGCCAGGATGACCCAGGAGAAGGAATTTCACAAGGTAATGTCGTCAGTTAAGGCAAGGACCGGCCATTTTCACTTCTTTTGTGGTGATATGTCCTCAGTTAAGGCAGGAACTGGCCATCTGGATGCGTACGTGCAGGTCACAGGGGATATGATGGCTTAGCTTTGGCTCAGCATCCTGACATTCCTGTCTTCTTATATTAATAAGAAAAATAAAACATAATAGTGTTGAAGTGTTGGGGCAGCGAAAATTTTGGGGGGTGGTATGGAGAGAGAATGGGCGATATTTCTCAGGGCTGCTTCAAGCGGGATTAGGGGTGGCGTGGGAACCTCGAGTGGGAGAGATTAAGCTGAAGGAAGATTTTGTGGTAAGGGGTGATATTGTGGGGTTGTTAGAAGAAACATTTGTTGTATAGAATTGTTGGTGATGGCCTGGATACGGTTTTGTATGAATTGAAAAACTAAACGGAATAAGACAAGGAGAAAAACAGGAATTAAAGGACTAAGAATTGGGAGGACCTAGAACATCTAACTAGAGAGTGCCTTTTCAGCATAGCCCTGCCAGCAAAGATTATTTATTTACTTTAAGAGGGAGTTAAGAGTGGCGGTTTGGGGATAGCACCAGGAGATATCAGCTGTGATGGCTTGGAGAAACAGTGTAAACCGGCGGTGTAAACAAGAGCAGGGCATTTATGAGTGGTTGAGAACGGTAAATAGGAGTATGACTAGACAGAAGATAGTAGGGATGACAAGTTTTTTGGGGTGCAGTCCAAGTTGGTCTGGTGTCTGGAATGAGACTGGGGCCTAATAAAAAGGAGCGTCTATAGAGGAGTTCAAATGGGCTGTATCTTGTAGCATTCCGAGGACAGGCCTGAATTCTGAGAAGGGCAAGTGGTAAAAGTATTGTCCAGTCCTTTTTAAGTTGGTGACTGAGCTTGGTGAGGTGAGTTTTTAAAAGACCATTAGTTCACTGAATACTAAGAGCCTGAGAAACTGCTTGGGTGCTTTGACTAATAAAGGCCGGTCTGTTATTGGACTGTATAGAGGTGGGAAGGTCAAACTGAGGAATTATGTCTGACAGAAGGGAAGAAATGACCATGGTGGCCTTCCTAGACCCTGTGGGAAAGGCTTCTACCTATCCAGTGAAAGTGTCTACCTAGACCAAGAGGTATTTTAATTTCCTGACTCGGGGCATGTTGAGTAAAGCCAATTTGCCAGTCCTGGGCGGGGCAAATCCTCAAGCGTGATGTGTAGGGAAGGGAGGGGGCCTGAATAATCCCTGACGAGTAGTAGAATAGCAGATGGCACTGAGAAGTTATTTCCTTAAGGATAGATTTCCACGATGGAAAGGAAATGAGAGGTTCTAAGAGGCGGGCTGGTGGCTTGTTCTATAGCATAGCCTGCCTTTGCTGGTGTGTGGCGATTAGGCCTGGTGGAACTGCCATCACTAAACCAAGTGTGTTCAGGGTGAGAAACAGGAAAGAAGGAAATGGGGTGAATGTCAGGTGGATCAGAGAGATACAGTCATGAGGGTCAGGTGTGGTATCAGGAATAATGTGGGAGGCCAGATTGAAGTCCGGGCCAGGAACAATGGTAATTGTGGGAGACTCAACAAAGAGTGAGTACAGCTGAAGGAGCTGGGGATCAGAAAGTATATGTGTCAGGTGTGAGGAAAAAATAGATTTTGGAAGTTATGAGAACTGTAGAGAGTGAGTTGAGCATTGTTTGTGATTTTAAGGGCCTCTAAAAGTATTAGGGTGGTGGTGGCCACCGCACGCAGACTTGAGGGCTAGGCAAAACAGTAAGGTCAAGTTGTTTGGATAAAAAGGCTACAGGGCACAGTCCTGGTCCTTGTGTAAGAATTCTGACTGCACAGCCTTGCACTTTGGCTGTGGGTAATGAAAAGGGTTGGGATGAGTCAGAGACAGGTAGGGTAGGGGCAGTCTTTAAGCTGTCTTCAAGGAACAGAAAGAGGAGTGGGGAAAGGATTTAGGATCTACGGGGTCAGCTAGGTTTCTTTTTGTGAGTTTATATAATGGTTTTGTTAGGATGGCAAAACCAGGTATCTATAGTCGAAAGTATCTACCCATGCTTAGGAAGGAAAGGAGTTTTGTTTTGTGAAGGTGTTGGGGTTTGAGAGATCAGTCGGACATGATCGGCAGAGACAGCACGTGTGTTTTTATGAGAATTATGCCGAGATAGGTAACAGATGAGGAAGAAATTTGGGCTTGACTGAAGTAATGGGAGCTGTCTGTGAAGACTTGCGGCAGTACAGTCCAGGTAATTTGCTGAGCCTGGTGGGTGTCAGGGTCAGTCCAGGTGAAAGCGAAGAGAGGCTGGGATGAAGGGTGAAAAGGAATAGTAAAGAAAGCATGTTTGAGACCCAGAACAGAATAATGGGTTGCGGAGGGAGGCATTGAGGATAGGAGAGTATATGGGTTTGGCACCACAGGGTGGATAGGCAAAACAATTTGGTTGATAAGGCGCAGATCCTGAACTAACCTGTAAGGCTTGTCTGGTTTTAGGACAGGTAAAATTGGGGAATTGTAAGGGGAGTTTATAGGCTTTAAAAGGCCATGCTGTAGCAGGCGAGTGATAACAGACTTTGATCTTTTTAAAGCATGCTGTGGGATGGGATACTGGCATTGAACGGGGTAAGAGTGATTAGGTTTTAATGAGATGGTAAGGGGTGCATGATCGGTCGCGAAGGAGGAAGTAGAGGTGTCTTATACTTGTGGATTAAGGTGGGGAGATATAAGGGGAGGATGTGAAGGAGGCTTTGAACTGGGGGAAAAGCAGCAATGAGGTGTGGCTATAGCCCAGGAATAGTCAGGGAAACAGATAATTTAGTTAAAATATCTTGGCTTAATAAGGGAGCTGGGCAGGTGGGGATAACTAAAAAGGAGTGCTTAAAAGAGTGTTGTCTAAGTTGGCACCAGAGTTGGGGAGTTTTAAGAGGTTTAGAAGCCTGGCCGTCAATACCCACAACAGTTATGGAGGCAAGGGAAACAGGCCCTTGAAAAGAAGGTAATGTGGAGTGGGTAGCCTCTGTACTGATTAAGAAGGGGATGGACTTCCCTTCCACTGTGAGAGTTACCCAGAGCGTCTGTGATGGTCCAGGAAGCTTCCGAGGTGATTGGGCAGCGTCAGTCTTCAGCCACTAAGCGAAGAAGATCTGGGAAGGAGTCAGAGAGCCTTGGGCCAGAGTTCCAGGGGCTCTGGGAGTGGCTGCCAGGTGAGTTGGACAGTCCGATTTCCAGTGGGGTCCTGCACAGATAGGACATGGCTTAGGAGGAATCCTGGGCTGTGGGCATTCCTTGGCCTGGTGGCCAGATTTCTGGCACTTGTAGCGAGCTCCTGGGGGACATGGGCCTGGAGGAACGCCTGGCCACTGCGGTTCAGGCGTTTGGAAGTTCTTGTGTGCTGGAGATGTGGCTGGGGTTTCTCTCACAGTGGAGGCAAGGAATTGCAACTCAGAAATATGTTGCTACTTGGCTGCCTCTACTCTATTATTGTACACCTGGAAGGCGAGGTTAATTAGATCCTGTTGTGGGGTTTGAGGGCCGGAATTTAATTTTTGGAGCTTTATTTAATGTCGGGAGCAGATTGGGTAATAAAATAAAATGTATATTGAGAATAAGATGGCCTTTTGACCTTTCAGGGTCTAGGGCTGTAGAGCGTCTCAGGGTTGCTGCCGAACAGGCCATGAACTGGGCGGGGTTTTTCATATTTGATGAAGAGCCTAAACGCTAACTGATTTTGGGAGAGGTTGGATAGAGAAAAAGGAGCATTAACCTTGACTATGCTTTTAGCTCTAGCCACCTTTTTAAGAGAAATTGCTGGGCAGGTGGGGGAGGGCTAGTCTCGGAACGAAACTGTAAGCTGGACCGGGTGTGAGGAGGGGAAGTGATAAAAGGATTATAGGGTGGGGGAGCAGAGGCTGAGGAAGAGCTGGGACTTAGCTCGGCTTGGCAAGGAGCAGCCTGGGGAGGAGGTCAGATGGGTCTGTAGAAAAGGCAGATTAGAAAGACTCAGTGATGCTTGGGGTTGGGACTGAGGGGACACGCGGGAGGGAAAGAAGGAAGATTTGGGACAAGTTGCATTGGGAACAGAGACTGGGGGGGACCGGTGTGTAAAAGAATGCCTGGACGTCAGGCACCTCAGACTGCCTATTTTACGACAATAATTATTTAGATCTTGTAGGTTGGAAAAATCAAAAGCGCTGTTTTCTGGCTATTTGGAACCACTGTCGAGTTTGTATTGGGGTCAGGCAGGATTATAGAAGAAAATAAGGTGTTTAGGTTTTAGGTCAGGTGTGAATTGAAGAGGTTTTAAGTTCTTGAGAACACAGGCTAAGGGAGTAGAGGGAAGAATGGAGGGTGGAAGATTGCCCATAGTGAAGGAGGCAAGCCCAGAGAAAAGAGAGAGTAGAGACACGGAGAGAAGGGGCGGGGGGTTCTTGCCCCCTAGAAAAGCAGAGAAGGGGTAGAGACATGGAGAGAAGGGGTCAGGGGTTTCTTGTCCCCCAGAAAAGCAGTACTTGCCACTAAGGGTGAAGGACCAAGGCAGGCATCCCCACGTGGTCAGACACCTCTGAAATGTGGGTGAATAATCAGGCAGGCATCCCCGTGTGATTAAACACCAAGGGAAGACTGTCTTCCTGAGTCCGTGACCAGCGCCGGAGTTTTGGGTTCACGGATAAAATGTGTCTCCTTTGTCTCTAACATAAAGGGAAAGGTACTGAAATTAAGGGAGAGATTGAAGTGTGGTGCCAAGATTGAAAGGAGAAAGAGGTTGAGGGATAGTAAGAGAGGTTGGAGAAGAGAGTAAAAAAAAGGCCACTTACCCGATTTAAAATTGGTGAGTTGTTCCTCGGGCCGGTCGGTCTGAGGACCCAAGGTCGTAGGTGGATCTTTCTCATGGAGCAAAGTGCAGGAGGACAGGGGATTGATCTCCCAAGGGAGGTCCCCCGATCCGAGTCACGGCACCAAAATTTCACTCCCGTCCGTGTGAAGAGCCCACCAAACAGGCTTTGTGTGAGCAACAAGGCTGTTTATTTCACCTGGGTGCAGGCGGGCTGAGTCTGAAGAGAGAGTCAGCAAAGGGAGATAGGGGTGGGGTCATTTTATAGGATTTGGGTAGGTAAAGGAAAATTATAGTCAAAGGGGGTTGTTCTCTGGCGGGCAGGGGTGGGGGTCACAAGGTGCTCAGTGGGGGAGCTTTTGAGCCAGGATGGGCCAGGAAAATGAATTTCACAAGGTAATGTCATCAGTTAAGGCAAGGACCAGCCATTTTCACTTCTTTTGTGGTTGAATGTCCTCAGTTAAGGCAGGAACCAGCCATCTGGATGTGTATGTGCAGGTCACAGGGGATATGATGGCTTAGCTTTGGCTCAGAGGCCTGACAGGAGGGACAGAGAAGAGACTTTTCCCAGGAAGAAGGCCACTGTGTAGAAGGTAGAACCACAGCAGGCCTATTCAGCAATGGAGGCTTAAATGAGATACAGTCACAGCAGAGGCAGAGGAAAAGGTGGTGAAAAATCCTGGCAGGCTGCTGGATTCTGACTGCCAGTCTCCTACCAGTTCATCTGAATGGTCAAAGTCCACCAGCTAACGGGAGCCTGGGAAATGCAGCCTGCAGAGACCAGTTCCCCAGCAATTCAGAGCCAAGCAGGAGGAGGTCTGGAAGGAAACCTGAGGAACGGGTCCTCACCCTGTCCTTACCCAGCTTTATTTTTCTTTAGGTCACTTATCCCTACTCCTATTCTATTCTATTTTGTTCTACTCTAATATGCTCTGTTTAGTTCTTTTCTGTTCTAGTGTTTCTATTCTACTCTCTTCCATTCTATTTTACTGTTTCTATTCATTTGTTCTCTTCTCTTCTATTATTTACTTGTTTGCTGTCTGTTTCTTCCACTAGTAATGAACTGCACAAAAGTAGAGACTCTTCACCAGTGTAACCCAAGTACCTAGAACAGTGGTTGGAATATTACAGGTGCCAAATGAATATTTGTTGAGTGAATGAATGAATAAACTTGCTTACTGTTAAGATTCAAGAGGGCAGGAAACATCTACTGTGTTCATTATGATACGCCCAGTGTCTACCACAGTACCTGGTCAGCGTGTGTATTGGTTTCCTAGAGCTGTTGTAAAAAATTACCACAAACTTGGTGGCATAAGGCAACATAAATTTATTCTCATTGTTCTGGAGGCTAGAGGTTTGATGTCAAGATGTCAGCAGGGCCACACTCCCTCTGAAGGCTTGAAGGGAGAATCTGCTCTTTCTGCTTCTGACATTTCCGGGCATTCCTTGGCTTATGGCTGCATCACTGCAATCTCTGCCTCTGTCTTCAGTGGCCTTCTCTTGCATTTGTTTCTTTTAAGGACATTTGCCATTGGATTTAAGGCCCATCAGATAATCAAGGATCCTGAGATCCTTAACTTGATTACATCTTTAAAGTTCTGTTTTCCAAATAAGGTCACATTCACGGGTTCTGGGACATGGGCATAACTTTTGGAGTGGGGGAAGCAACTATTTAACCTACTACAGAACTTACAAAACACTTGTTGGCTGACTGGCTAGACTGACTAGTCTCCCTGGGTCTACTTTTGCCCCTGTCCAATCCGTCTTCCACAATGCCACTAACCTGACCTTTCTAATTAGAAAAAGCCTTCTTTTCTTTTTCTTTTTCTTTTTTTTGGAATCATAACTTCCTACTTGGAAATTTGAAAAAACTTCTGTGTTTTTCCATCCTAGGGGAAAAAAATTCATACTCCTTAGCTCAGCTACAAGATCTTCCATCTGTTGTTCTCTGCTTCCCTGTTCAAGTCTCTCTTCTCCCTCTCTCCTCACTTTTCACTTTGTGCTCCAACCACATGGCTGACCAGGGTCCTCTGTATATTTGTGTAGTATATGCAGTTTCTTCTTCCTCAAATAGCTTCCTATCCTTTGACCCTTTGGCAAACTCCTATTCATCCTTCAAGTCTCAACCAAAGTCCCTCTTCTATGCTGCCGTCCCTGCACACTGACCCCACACCCCTATCTAGAATCCTAATATGTAGATGCTCATTTGATGTTTGTTTGAATAAGTAAATAAACCCAAGTGGGATGGGGGCTGAGAAGGGTAGGACCTGGATTAGGCTTGGGTCTGGAAGAAAAGGAAAATGGGAAAAGTCACACTTGGTATCTAGGACAGGTGCCAGGGACTGGTGGGATGCTGGGACTGGAAGCATTTGGCCTTTGGGTAATACGGCCTGAGATAGATGTGATGGGAGGCCTGCCTATGGGAGGTGGTGAGATGGCACAGGGGTGTGTGGTCTGGTGTTAGAGGGCCAGCAGATGCGAGGCCCAGGTGGGCTGCCATGCTATAGAATCTAGTCTTCTTGGGCCACAGTTCCCGGGATGGGATTAGTTAACTCAACAGAGACCACCTTTGTTATGAGACCTGGGCACAGCTGTGGCCATGTCTGAAGAGGGACCCGGGAGCACAGGCAAAACAAAATGGAAAGCCCCAGTGGCCAGAGGCCTCTCTGGAGACCAGTGGGAAGGGGACGATAAACAGAGGAAACAGATGGGACCTGTCCAGCTCTTGGGGATCAAAGAGCCCCCACAAACACCACTCCTTATGTCCTCTGAGTAATGGTCTTTAGTAACCTAGGCACAGAGGGTCCTAAAAGAGAGGACTATAGGTCACTGAAAGGACCTGGTCGTGGGGGTCTGAGAAAGGCCCTGGTCTTTGGGGGTCAAGAGCTATAGGTCCTGGTCATTGAATGACCTGATTGTGAAGCCAAGCCTAAATGAGGTGCCCTCACCACCATGGAGCTAGAATGAGGGGTTCTGGTCAGTAGAGAGCCTTAGAAAGAGGCCCTGGTCATTGGATGCATGACCTAGGGGCCCTGGTCACTGAGGCTCTGGTCAGTGGGGGGTGGGACTGGGGGCTGCACAAGGGGCCCTGATTCCTGAGGAGACTGACCTAGAGGCCATGGTAACTAAAGGACTTGAGCAGGGGGCTCTGGTGACTGAAGCCTGAATGAGGGGCTCTGGTCAGTGGGGGCTTAAGGGAAAGGCCACTTCTGTTATTCCTGAGCTGAGGTGGGGAGAGCTCAGTGCTCCTTGTCAGCCTAGCATGCTCCTGTGCCCTCCCAACCTGACCAGCATGGCTCCCAATAGCCAGCAGATGGCACTGTGGCCTTGCCTGATGAGAAGTGGGCAGCCAGCAGGCAGTCCTTGGGGTGAAGAAGCTCAGCGGAGAGACAGGCTCAGGTGCTGCCTCCAGCAGCTTTGGGAGCTGCAAGAATTTGGGAGGGGGTGTGGTAAGACAGACCTTGATCAAACTCTCTGGGGTGATGGCCCAAGGCAGACGCGCTGGAAGCAGAGAATGCTGTGCCGTGGGTCAGGAGGCCTCAGTGTCTTCCATACCTCAGAAGGCAGGACGGGCTTGGTCAATAGCTCTGGAGTTCAGAACAAACTACTGCAAATGTGGCCCAACATACTCAGATACACTTTCACTCCAAGACTAATGCAGCTGTCCCTGTCACAAGATCCAAGACAAACTAAGACGTACCCTGAACATTAAGCTGTCATTTCCCGGCACTCTCAGTATTCCAGAAGGAATTAAGAGTCTGTACCCTGGCACAGTCAGAACTTGTCACAGCCCAGAACTCAATACCTCACTCACGGGGCGTGGCCACATTCCAGAACCATGTCACAGTCCAGGGCCTTGTCATACCCCAGATATAGACACAGAGTGGGGCTCTGGCATCCCTCAAATAATGGCACGTCCCAGGAACCTCCATGTGCAGAACAACCCAGGGCCTGTCCTGTCAATCTTTATATACTGGCATTTCCCAGGGGCTTGTCACAGCCCCTGCTTGGCCCTGAGCTGTGATAGTATCTGGTGTGCAACAGCTACGATGTGACAGGGCCCTGGGATATGGCAGTATTCAGTATACAACAGAGTCCTGAAATGTCCCTGTATTGGAGGATTGACAGGGCCCTGGGCTGTGACTTTATCTACAATGTGCAGCAACTGGTTCCAAAACTCACACCTGTGGGTTTGGCCATCATCAACAAGTATTAGTGATCAGAGTGCATAGCAATTATGGTGACAAGCTCCATGGGGGATACAGAGTGTACAAAGCAGTGTTTCTCAAACTATCCATGGTGACAAGACCAATTTTATTTTAAACATTTGCATTTCAAATCCACTGCAGACTGACACTTTTGTAAAATGCAATTAAATTGCTAGAAAAACAAAAATTTGGCCGGGCGTGGTGGCTCATGCCTGTAATCCCAGCACTTCGGGAGGCCGAGGTGGGCAGATAACCTGAGGTCAGGAGTTTGAGACCAGTCTGGCCAACATGGTGAAACCCTGTGTCTACTAACAATACAAACATTAGCTGGGCGTGGTGGCAGGCACCGGTAATCCCAGCTACTTAGGAGGCTGAGGCAGGAGAATTGCTTCAACCCGGGAGGCGGAGGTTGCAGTGAGCCGAGATCGTGCCATTGCACTCCAGCCTAGGGGACAAGAGTAAGACTTCGTCTCAAAAAGAAAAAAGAAAAAAAAGAAAAAATTTAAAAAGACACAAAATATGAACCCAGTTTGTAAAAATAAACTTTTTATTTTGGAATAATTTTAGATTTGCAGAAAAGTTGCGAAGAGAGTAGACAGTTGCTGTGTACCCTTCATTCAATTTCCCCTAATGTTAATATCTTGGATAACTGTGGTACATTTATCGAAACTAATAAATTAGCTGTGGCATGGTACTATTCACTAAACTACAGACTCTCTTCAGATTTCAGCAGTTTTTCCACTAATGTCCTTTTTCTGTTTCAGAATCTAATTCAGGATACCATATGGCGTTAGGTGTACTTTTTGTTATTAAATTAAATGATAAATAATGATTCTGTCAAATTGCTATAGACATTTCTAAATGCTTACTCTCCATTTCTGAACTTATCTTCTCATGGGAACAAATAATTTGTAGGTGGATACTGGCCTGTAGGCCACAATTTTGAGTAGCGCTGGTATAAAATGGCTAGCTGTCATATATATGGTGGTGTGGCAGGGAAGTGAGGGGTGGGAAGCAACTGGCATTTACAACTAGAGTACAGGGGTACAGAGGAAGCAAAGGTGGTGGCCATGTGGGTGGGTCTTGGCCATGGAACACAGTAATGGAAATGGAGAGCTTTTGGAATGCAGTCCCGAAAGATACCTAGTAAGACAGTGATCCTGCAAGTGTGCATTGTTTTGAAGTTTTGGTGTAAATATCTGCAACAACCAGCAGGTCCTGATGACTATTTATGAGCTCATTGAGCTATAAAGGTGGGTAGAGAACTTCGAATTTTTTTTTTCTTTTTTTTTTTTTTTTTTTTAGAGAGGAGAAGAAAAACCACACACAGGGATCAGACGCCTCCAGCTGAAGAAGGTGAGGCATAGAGATCTCTCACCACTAGGGAACATATCTGAGTCAGTCAGCACCAAATATGTTAGCAGTGGCAGGTATCTGAGTTACTGGCAGCGAATCTGTATGCATCTGCAGCAACCTCAATTCTTGCCTCCTTAGAAGAAAGAATTCAGCCAGGCGTGGTGGCTCATGCCTGTAATCCCAGCACTTTGGGAGGCCGAGTCGGGTGGGTCACCTGAAGTTGGGGGTTCGAGACCAGCCTGACCAACATGGAGACGCCCTCTCTCTACTAAAAATACAAAAATTAGCTGGGCGTGGTGGTGCATGTCTATAATCCCAGCTACTCAGGAGGCTGAGGCAAGAGAATCGCTTGAACCCAGGAGGCAGAGGTTGCAGTAAGTGGAGACTGTGCCATTGCACTCCAGTATGGGCAACAAGAGTGAAACTCTGTCTCAAAAAAAAAAAAAAAAAAAAAAAGAAGAAGAAAGAATTCAACTGAGAGGCATAAGGCAGAAAAAAGGACCAAGGCAAATTTCAGAGCAGCAGTGGAAGTTTATTAAAAAGCTTTAGAATAGTAAGGAAAGAAAAGAAGGAAAGTACACTTGGAAGAGGGCCAAGTGGGTGACATGAGAAACCAAGTGCCGAGAACTTAGAATTTGAAAAGACAAATTTGGCTCTGGAGATTCCACAGTCTGACCTAGGCCCCTGCCAGTCCAAGGACTCTGGTGAGTCAACGTCTTTTAGACTTATGTCTAAGATTGTATGACATGAGATCAAGAAGCACAAAGGTTCAGGGATAGCAAACTTCCCCCGAGGAGGGAGGAAAGGAACAGAACAAGGTGGATGCGTTCATGCTTCAGGGCTTCATCCTGCCCACATTATGATCTGGGACCCCAGCAAGTGGGGAATGTAAACACTCTGGCCTTAGTCTCCCAGTGATAGTACAGTGGAATAAATAAAGTAACCCCAAGGAGGATTCTGAGGATGAACTGAGAGTTATATGCAAGTGTTGGCATGATGTCTGGCATGAAGTAGGAGCTCCCCTTTTCTGCTCAGGATAGTCCTTGCAGGGTGATCAGTTTTCTCATCTTTACCTGCTTCTTTTCCTCCAGGTTCCATTGGTTCCATAAAGCTGTAATCAAGGTCCTAGTAGGAGGTGCCTGGCCTAGGTCTCATCATGTTCTGGATTCTGCCAGCCTCCTTCTCTTTGTGTTAGTGTCCACTCATCCTTCAGGTGTCAGATGGAAGCCTCCAGTGGGTTTCTCCAACACTTCCCTCCCATCACCTCTAAGATGCAGTTTGCTGCTAAACACTTTCTGTAGTCTTATCATTATTGCTATTTGATTATGAGTATAGTAATGGCAGAAACCATACCTGTCTTATTCTCCACTCTATTTCCAGCACCCAGCCAGTGTCTGTCCCAAAGTCAACATTCAGTTGGATGTTGGATAAATAATTGGAAGTAAAGTATGTGATTTTTTTCTTTAAATTATTTTGACTATACTTAACAGGGAGTAATAAACAATGCACAGTCAGGTGTCAAACACTCTTTTATTGGAGCTGAATAGGTTGCCTGGAAAAAAGATTGACCTGATATATATGAATTCAATATACCATAAAAATGGAATAAAAAATCTATAGGGGACAGGCGCGGTGGCTCACGCCTGTAATCCCAATGCTTTGGGAGGCCAAGGTGGGAGTATCGCTTGAGTCTACGAATTTGAGATCAGCCTGCGCAACACAGGGAGATCCCCATCTCTACAAAAAAAAAAAAAAAAAAAAAAAGATTAGCTGGGTGTGGGGGTGCACACTTGTGGTCCCAGCTACATGGGAGGATTGCTTCAGCCCGAGGAGGCTGAGGCTGCAATGAATGGTGTTTGTGCCACTGCTCTCTACCCTGGGTGACAGAGCAAGACCCTGTCAAAAAAAAAAAAAAAAATCACTGGAAAAAGAATAAATTTTTTTTTGAAATGGAGTTTCGCTCTTGTTGCCCAGGCTGGAGTGCCATGGCGTGACCTCGGCTCACCACAACCTCTGCCTCCTGGGTTCAAGCGATTCTCCTGCCTCAGCCTTTGGAATAGCTGGGATTATAGGTGCCTGCCACCATGCCTGGCTAATTTTTTGTATTTTTAATAGAGACTGGGTTTCACCATGTTGGCTAGGCTCGTCTCGAATTCCTGACCTCAGGTGATCTGCCTGCCTCAGCCTCCCAAAGTGCTGGGATTACAGGTGTGAACCACCACGCCCAGCCAAGAAATTTATTCAATACAAAGTTCTGGGAAAACTAGTTACCATCAGATCAGTCTAGATCCTCTTCTCACATTGTATACCGAGTACTTTCCAGATGAACTAAATAACTTTTTAAAAAAATTCCCAGAAACACCAAAATGTTTATCAAATCTCTGGAAGGAAGTAATGTTTCCATCTTAGAAGCAGTAGAAGTGATCACAAAGGAAAAGATTAACTGACTCGGCTATAGAAGTATTTTAAACTTTAGCATCTCAAAAAATAAAAGTTAAGCAAAATAAAAAAGGCAAATAAACTAGGGAAATATTTGCAGTTAGCTGCACCAAGAACTCCCATAAACTGACTTTAAAAGAATACACTGAGGCACTGATAGGCAGGCAAAATACATGATCAGATGATTTTCCAGAAGAAGAAAGACATAAAATGGTGCTTAATCTTCATAATTAAAGAACTCCAGGAAGGAGAGGCCAGTGGTGGCCAAAGAGTCAGGGAGAATTTCACAAGGGAGGTAGAGTGTGGGCTTGTTCTTGAAGATAGACTTTAAAGAGATGGAAGGAAGAGATGCTCACATTTGTGTGGCATTCCCTGCCTACTGGCCTCTCCTGTGTCCCCTGACTTTACAGAGCTTCTGAGGCCTAGAACTGGATTCTAAATGTCTCTTGGGTCACCATAATCTGTCAGTAATGGAAACAACTTTACTCATGGAAGCATACCACTGTGGAACTTAGGAAAGTCTGGCACAGGGGAGTTCTGGAAGGAGAATTCTGCGGCAGGGGGAGCAGGGCAAGGGCTCTGAAATTCCCACGCCTATCCCCACCTCTTTCCTCAGCAGTCTGAGAGTTTTCTGACTTCAAAACTAACTGCTTGCCCAGCCTTGTCCCCAACTCCTAATTGGAGTTGGGCTGTTCCTTTTTTACAGCTTTCCCAGGAATGTGAACAAAACTTTAATTCGTCTGAACACAGTTTGAACTGGCATTTTCATTTTAGGGTCTTTTCTTTATACTGTATTACTTTGAATCCATATCTTTAAAAAATTAAACAAGCAATACATATTCAATGAAGAAAGTACAGATATAGATGGCATTTTATGAAGTTTTTTCTGCAGAACAGAGAGGAAGAGAACATATAAAATATAAATAGCTCACCTACGTCAAATTTCCAAAGCACAGGTTTTGGATCACACAATAAGGAGACCCTGGCACTGGGCTTTCTGGCGCCTCTCCACTAGGTTCCAGGCCTGGCTAGATCAGGACATCTCACTGGGAGGCCACATTGGAGAGATGGCGTGACATCATTATTGCCTCAGGGCCAAAAGCCCCGATTCATACTTGCGACTCTCTCCTGCCAGGCCTCCCACTCAGCTCCCTTTCTGGTCTAAAGATTGTGACTCATCCTCAGCCGTGCACGGCGGCCATTCTCAATCTTTTCTCCACCACCCACACACAATGGATGACAACCATATTCATACGCACTCTCAAAGGTTAAACCCAATTTTATCGAAACCCTGGAAGAATTTTGGAAGGAAATCAAAGCCAATGGCAAAAATAACTATTACATTTCAATGCAATACGATGACTTGAAAATGACATGACAATTGGTGTGTTAGCAATCTTCCTACCACTGCTGGGTGCACGTGTAGCAAAGGTTTTGGAGAAGCAATTCCTGAGAGCTGGCTGTGATGCCACTCCCTCTTCTCCCCAGTTAGTGATGGGGACATTATTATAGGGGTAACTTAGTGTGTCACTGTTAAGCCTCATGCATGTATTTTTAATAGCAGTTATTGGGGCTTATTGTGTATCTGTTTACATGTCTGTTTTCACAAATAAACTTTTCTGTTAATTACTGTATCTTTAGCATCCAGCACAGTGCCTAACATTAATCAAGAGGTAATGATTAAACAAATGAGTGAACAAATCCACTTTGCCGTGAAGCCTGTATGCCCCTTGCTCTGACTCGAAGAAATTCTGCCTTTCCTGTCTTCCAATCTCTGGCCAGCCCACCAGCAGCACTCTGCAACATTTTATAAACACAGTTTGCCTTCTTGTTTGACCTGTTGGTGCTAGTCCAATATGTCACCCCTGACACCTTGGCCCTGTTTTCTGGACGTCTTTACTCAACACTTCTGTTTTTTTCCAGTCCTCAAGAGTCTTTGAGATATTCTCAAGAACTGGAGACTGAGAGGTTTCTTTTAACTCTCCCCTCCCTAGCAGGACCTCTGGGTTGGCTCTCCACATCGATTTTGAATATTTGACAGTAGATTTATCCCTTATCCACTTATTTTATAGCACCCAGAGCATGTAGCGCAGGCCTAAACAAATATTAAGTCCATCTCCTTTGTAGTATATATCACATTTTCCTTCTTTCTTTTTTTTTTTTGAGACGGTGTCTTGCTCGATAGCCCAGGCTGGAGTGCAGTGGCACGATCTCGGCTCACCACAACCTCCGTCTCCCGGGTTCGAGCAATTCTCCTGTCTCAGCCTCCTGAGTAGCTCGGACTACAGGCACGTGCCACCACGACCAGCTAATTTTTTTTTTTTTGTATTTTTACTAGAGATGGGGTTTCACCTTGTTGGTCAGGCTGGTCTCTAATTCCTGACCTCAGGTGATCCATCTGCCTTGGCCTCCCAAAGTGCTGGGATTACAGGCATAAGCCACCACGCCCGGCTATGTATCACATTTTCTATTAAATAAATAATCATACAGTTTGTCTAACAGCTGTGTCTCCTAATTGGAGGTGAGTTTCACAAGGACATGAATTTTATATATATATATGAATTATATATATATAAATTATATATATATGAATTATATATATAATTCATATATATATATGAATTATATATATAAATTATATATATATGAATTATATATATAAATTATATATATATGAATTATATATAAATTATATATATATGAATTATATATATATAAATTATATATATAAATTATATATATATATAAATTATATATATATATATATTTTTTTTTTTTTGAGACAGAGTCTCACTCTGTTGCCCAGGCTTGAGTGCAGTGGCACGATCTCGGCTCACTGCAACCTCTGCTTCCTGGGTTCAAGCAATTCTCTGCCTCAGCCTCCTGAGTAACTGGGATTACAGGCGTCCGCCACCATGCCCAGCTAATTTTTTGTATTTTTAGTAGAGACGGGGTTTCACCATCTTAGCCAGGCTGGTCTTGAACTCCTGACCCCGTGAGCTACCCACCTTGGCCTCCCAAAGTGATGAATTCTATTTTATACACTGTTGTTTCCCCAATACCTTGCACAAGGCTCAATACGCAGGGGAGCTCAATAAGGATGTGTGGTAAGAATGAATGAATGAATGAATGAATGAATGAATAATGAATGCATTGACTGAATGGCTGACTTGTTATGCTTTTGATTAATGGGATGGTTTTGGTTTTTCTTCTGAAAAAAGGCCTTAATGCTGAAGGTTCTGTTTGTAGATGGAAAAACAGGCCTTAGGGGCAGCTGGCAAACAAGAACAGTGGTTAATGTTTAAAGGAACTCCATGGGCAGCTCAAATGCAGGGAGCCCAGCATGAGTTAAAACAGAGGAAAAAATGGCTCTGGGAAGAGGGGGAACAGGAATAGGGATGGTGAATCACAATTTCCTATATCTGGCCACCAAGTTTTCCTGTAATTTGTATTTACTTTAGACCCTGTACTAAGTTCCCAGAGGATTTGGGGTAAAAGTGGAAGCTGGTTTGTTTACGTTACACTGTTCATGTGGATTAGTGTGTGGCAGAAACATTTTGGAGGGTTATTGCTAATCATCCCTGATGTATGTGGGCTGGGGCTGGAGTGGCCAAAGCCGGCCTTTTGGGGGACAACCCTGGGATTGCACCAATTAGCCCAGCAGGGCCCACTCCTCCTCATGAGACCTGGGCGCAGCTGTGGCCCCTCTCTGGACAAAGGGCACAGGGATGGAGCAGAAGGCAGAGCCCTGGAGATAAGAGGCTTCTCAGGGGAGCAGAGAGAGGGAAGCGGAAGACAGTTGGGTGGCCTGAGGGGACCTGCCCAGTTCTTGTTATGCTCACTAGGCCTTAATTAAAGACCTTTGGTCATGCAGCTCTTAGTGATGGTCAGGGTCCCTGAGGAATGGGGCTGATCAAGACTGTTAAAGGTCTAAACACATTAAAGATTATGTTTGGTTTCTACATGTTATTCAAAACAAAATGGTATAGGCCATAAAATAAATACAAAGAAAGTTAATAAAATGTATCCCACGATGGTCATACTGATGGCCTTTTGCAAATATTGAATTCTTTAAAAATTTGTTTTCCTGTTTTGTGGTTTCTGCTTTCATAATGCCATAGCTCTTTCTTATCAGCTTATTGAAGAATCCATCCCTGATGAGGGGTCTGAGGGAGGGTTCCTGTCAATGAAACTTGAATGAAAACTAGAGAAATCTGAGTCCTCAGCTCACGGAGAAGCAGAGTGAGGACCCCAATCATTGATGGGCTCAGTGAGGACCCTGGTTACTGAGGGGCCTGAGTGAGGGTCCCTGGGAGGCCTGTGAAGGAGACTGTGGTCACTGAGGGGGCTGAGCTGAGGCACTGTTGTTGAGGTGTCTCAGAGAAGGTCCTTAGTTACTGAAAACTGGGGTGAGGGTAGGCTCTGGTCCATGACGAGCCTAAACATGATGCTCTGGTCATTGGGGACCTGTGGAAAAATCCCTGATCACTGAGGGGTCTGAGTCAAGGGCCCTACTTACTAAGGGCCTGGGTGGAGACATCTGGTCACCAAAGCCTGAAGGAGAGGGTCCTGTCACAAATTCTTACAGGTGATCAGAGGTTTCTGAGTGAGAGGCTCTATTACTGAGAGGGACAAGGAGGATGCTTGTGTCACTGACTTAGGGTGACCAGCTCCTGATGAAACTGAGGGTGGGGTCCCTGGCTCTCAGAGGGTTGAAGAAAGGGCTCTGGACACTGAGACATGACTGAGGGTATTCGGTCAACGGGAAGTATAAATGAGGGGCTTTCCCTAGCAAGCATGGGCTCACATAGGTGGGACAAACTGCCCAATGTGGGATCTGGTAGCTGAGATTTCACGGCAGGGTTAAACCACAGTGGTCCTTAATTCTTCCTCCCTCTTCCTCCTTCGGCCTGACCTGCAGGTCTTCTAGATACCAGTAGATGGCACTGCAACCTCACATGTGGAGGGGGCAGCTGGCTTAGGTCCCAAGGTGGGTCCCAAGTGCAAGCAGGTGAGAAGTGAGAGAGGAAATTAGTTGCCCTTCTGACCAGATTCCCTGGAGTCAGGGGAGAATCAGGCTTGACAGCTTAGATCCCCTAAGCACAGCCACCTAGAGGCCAAATCCTGTTATCACAGACCAACTAGTTCCAAATGCACTGTGACTTTTTATGTTGGATTCATTCATACGTTTTTTTTTCCAGCAAGTGTACATCCAATATATGATAGAATTTGAGTTAGGTGCTGAGGATACAAGGGTGATTAAGCAAGGTCACTATTTTTAGAAGCTCATGGTGTCAGAGGTGAAAATTAATATAAATAAAATAATTACAATAAATGTGATAAGGATTGAAGAACAAGGATATGCACAATGCTTTGGAGGCCCAGGGAAGGTCTGAATATACAGTTTAAGGAGGTTGTGAAAGTGTGAGGAGGAAGAGGTGACATTGAAACAGGGTCTCAAAGCATGAACAGGGATTTTGTTTGTGAGGCACACATGAGGGAAGGTATCTGGGGCAGGAGCAAATGTGTGAGTAAGGATGTGGGGTGTGTGAGAGAGCCTGGGGTGTCAAGGGATCTCCATGCGGTCCAAAACATCTAGGAAATATGGAACACTATAGGGGTGGGCTGGGAGGATGGTGAGGAGGAGGAATGACATATAGATATGGGGGAAGATCATTAAGAATCTTATACCCATATTTAATTTAAGGCTTTGGTCGTGGTTCTTAAACGGATAAAAAATCAGGAGAATTTTCTACAGGCAGATGAAATATTCTGGTTTCTGTTTAATTACTTTGGTAGCCAAGTTGTAATTAGAGGAGGGATGGACTGCAGGCAGAGACCCAACTAGGCAACCAAGTTAGAATTTATGAGAGTTAAATAAAGAAGGATGTTGCAGAAAAGAAAACAGATCTGAGGGGTGTTTAGGAGGGAGGATGAGCAGGATTTTGTGTCAAAATAGACATGAAAAGTAAGGGAGAACGAGGAATGTAGAAAAATAATAAATGTTAACATTTATTAAACATTTAACATCTGTAATACTTTATCTCAATAATCATAACAGCACTCTCTAAGGTAGGAAATATTACCCCTATTTTCGGATGAGGCAACTGGAGCTCACAGAGGCTACATGATTTGTCTAAGACCACACAGCTAGTTCTGTCCCCTGCCTGGTTTTCCTATGTTAAACCTTTTCTCTCTCCAGATTCCCCTCCAGAGTGAGATTTAGGAAATCCTTCCTTAAAATCCTCCAGCGGCTCCCTATTGTGTACTTCACAGTTGCATCAACCTTTCTCCACCTCATTCTAAAGATCAGGCAGGTAGGACTGCTGGCAACTCCCCAAAGTGCTAACCTTCCTTGCCTGTGTGCACTTTTCTATGTGGTACACTGCTGACAACTCCCCAAAGTGCTAACCTTTCTCGTCTGTGTGCCCTTGTATATGTGCTGCAGTGCTGACAACTCCCCAAAGGGCTAATCTTTCTTGCCTTGTGCACTTGTGTGTGTGCTGCCATGCTGATGCACATTCCAGCTGACACCTTCACACATGCTGGCTCCTTCTGCCTCATCCGCACCTCCCTCCTACCCACTGACCTGATTAACTTATACTTGTCTTTTGAATCTTAACTTAAATGTCGTTTCCTCAGGGTAGTTTTTTATGACTCACCCTCAAGTCCATGAGGTTAGGTCTATGTATAATGTACTGTCACAGCATTTAGTACTTTTCTTTCATAGATCACAATTATAATGAAGTCACTATTTTCATAATTACTAGCTTAACGTCAGTTTCTTCCACTGGATTATTTTCATTTTTTGAGGTGATGGAGGGGCTACTTGAGGGGTATTCATAGCAGCTTTGTTGTAGCAACAAAAATACCATGAATTAGTTACATAAAATGTGATTAAATATTCCTTATAATGAAATATTATGCAGCCATTAAAATGAATGAGAGCTCATGCCACCCTCCCTCAATTTCCATCCAGGCCCTGTTGACAGAAGAGAAGACTCAAGCCTGATTTGCAGATAGCTCTGCATAGGACACAGCTACCAGACAGAAATGGCCAGAGGGAAGGGAAGCCCAACTTTCATCCTTCCGGGAATAACACCTTTCCTGGGGACAGGTTTACACTGATTTCTGGGTGGTGTCTGGTGATTTTGTCAGAGTGGGAAGAGCTAATGCAAGGCATATATTGGAGTTAATCACTTTTGTGAGCAACTGAGCTCTATCTGCTGGATCTTATGAGAATAAGTGTAAGATGTTCCATTTATTTATTTATTTAGACAAGGTCCTCCTGCTCTGTCGCCTAGGCCGGAGTGCAGTGACTATAGCTCACTGTAATTTTGAATTACCAGGCTTAAGTGATCTTCCCACTTAAGCCTCCCAAAGTCCTGGGATTATAGGTACAGCCACCATGCCTGGCCTGCATTTGTGTATCTCCTGGCCTTACCCCTCCTTAGTCAAGGGTTGCCTCTTGGGTGTTAGCTGCCTCACAGTTTGAGGTTGTGTATGCAGGAGTGTGCCCTAGGCAAAAAGTGAAGTTGAGTCAGGCTGCTGACAGATTCCCTCTACAGGAGGCTGGTTGCCATCCTGCTTCCTGATCAACTGGCTGGAGAAAAAGATAAGCCAAGAAGATGCGGGTTGGGACCAAAGGATGCATCTGATACATCAATCAAGTCTTCTTCCCTAAACTTCCCAGTTTTTGCCCAATGGCTTCATGAATAAATTGGCAATGAGATTCGGAATGTTAACTAGGTTTTGGCTCATAATAGAATTCTCTTGGCTGTGTCTTATTTGGCTACTGCCACAGCCAAATATGCAAATTGCCAATTAACAGTGACAAACTCTTAATCCATATTATGAGACCATAATTTAATGGGATCAGCCAGCTAATGCTACCAGCTAGATTGTTTTTAGGCATGTTTCATTACATAGGTGACAGACATTTGTCCTCATTGGAATAGACACTTATTCTGAATTTGGGTGTTACTTCTCCATTTGTCACACTCCTGCCAGCACTGACATCTGCGAACTTACTGAAAGTCTTATGTATTGTCATGGAGTCATATATACTGTTATATCTTGTTATCAGTTATTTAATGCTGCATAACAAGCCATCCCAAAACATAGTGGCTTAAAACAGTAACCATATATTATTGCCCATGAATCTGTGGGTCACCATGTTGATCAGCTGCAGGTTGACTGGTCTAGGATGGCCTCACTCACATGTCTGGTGGTTGGCTGGCTGATGGCTGGGTGACATGGGAGACTGGGACATGTGTCTCATCAAGCATCAAGTTACCCTGGTGTTATTTACATGGCAGGGTCAGGTTTCCAAAAGAGAGACCAGAAGTTTGAAGCATACATTCAGAAATAGTATGATGACACTTCTGCTGCATTCTATTGGCCAAAGCAAACCATAAGGCCAGTCTAGATTCAGTGTGTGAGGAAACAGACTTTCTTGATGGAAGGATTGAAAAGTCACATTTCAAAAAGTATGGATACAGGGAGGCAGGGGAAGCATAGGGTCTTTTTTTTTTTTTTTTTGAGACTGAGTCTTGCTCTGTTGCCCAGGTTGGAGTGCAGTGGAGCGATCTCAGCTCACTGCAAGCTCCGCCTCCCGGGTTCTCACCATTCTCCTGCCTCAGCCTCCAGCGTAGCTGGGACTACAGGTGCTCGCCACCACGCCTGGCTATTTTTTTTTTGTATTTTTAGTAGAGATGGGGTTTCACTGTGTTAGCCAGGAATGTCTGGATCTCCTGACCTTTTTTTGTATTTTTAGTAGAGATGGGGTTTCACTGTGTTAGCCAGGAATGTCTGGATCTCCTGACCTTCTGATCCGCCCACCTCAGCCTCCCAAAGTGCTGGGATTACAGGCGTGAGCCACAGCACCCGGCCAGGGTCCATTTTTACAGTTAATGTATCACAGCTCTGTCAAGAAATTTTTCATAGAAAAAGAAGTAAGGCAAAGAACCAATGTCCATGCCATTCATTGATTTCATTATGGGACCTACAGTGGATTGAACTGTGTTCTTCAAAAAGATATGTTGAAGTCCTAACTCCGGTACCTTTGAAGAGGACCTTATTTAAAAATAGGGTCTTTGCATGTGTAATTAAATTAAGATAAGGTCAGACTGGATTAGGGAGGACCCTAAACTCAATGATTGGTGTCTCTATAAGGAGAGAAAGATTTGAAAACTCTTGGATACAGAGGAAAGAAGGACCTGTGAAAATGAAGACAGAGATTGAAGTGGTGCAGTTACACGCCAAGGAATGACAAGGATTGCTGGGAGCTACCAGAGGCAAAGAATGATCCTCTCCAGAGCCTTCTGAGAGTGCCCTGCTGAGACCTTGGGCTTCTAGCTTCTAGAACCATAAGATAACAAATGAATATGTTTCTGTTGTTTTAAATCACTAATTTTGTGGCACTTTCTTATAGCAGCTCTAGAAAGCTAATATAGACCCTATCAGACAGAAGTTGCTGGCATTATAGAGAAATGAATGTTCAGCTTTGACCCTAGCTGGGGGACAATTGCTTGTGAGTTAGGCATCTTGTCTTGCTGTTGGTGATTTATGCTCTCTGCCAGATTCATATATTCATGTCTCCAAGTCAGAACACATAGGCCCAGGGATTAAGAGTTGGAGATGGGAGCATCACCACTCATAATTATACTTCAATAACCATTCTCAAAATGCTGTCTTTCTCTAACCAAGATTCTTTTACTACCAAAGTATTTAGCATCTTAGTGTTCAAAGTAAAACAAAAACAAAACAAAACAACAAAACCAAAAACAAAGTGAGAGATATTTTCACTAGGTGCCTGTAATGATGATCCCATTACATTGGAAATTGGAAACTGGTCATGTCACATTTCTCATGCCATGTGCAGAAACGGAAAAAAGATGTCCTGCTGTTATCTAGGATAATTAATCTTTTTAAAAAATTAATTTTTAAGTTGACTAATATAAATGGTATAGATTTTTTAGTGTACATGTTTTGATATATGAATACACTGTAGAATGGTTAAATTGAGCCAATTAACATATCAATTACCTCAAATACTTACACATTTTTTCTGTGGTGAGAAAGCATAATCTACTCTTAGCAATTTTCAAATGTATAATACATTGTTATTAACTATGGTCATCGTATTGTACAGTAAATCTTCTGAGCTGATTCTTCCTGTCTAACTGGAGGAAACTTTTGTGCCTTTTGATCAACGTCTCCCCAATCTCCCTACTCGCCCAGCACCCCAACCCCCAGCCCCAGCTACTGGTAACTACTTTTTTTTTTTTTTTTTTTTTTTTTTTGTTGAAACGGAGTCTGGCTCCGTCGCCCAGGCTGGAGTGCAGTGGCGCGATCTCGGCTCACTGCAAGCTCCGCCTCCCGGGTTCATGCCATTCTCCTGCCTCAGCCTCCCGAGTAGCTGGGACTACAGGCGCCCGCCACCACGACCGGCTAATTTTTTGTATTTTTAGTAGAGGCGGGGTTTCACTGTGTTAGCCAGGATGGTCTGGATCTCCTGACCTCGTGATCCGCCCACCTCGGCCTCTCAAAGTGCTGGGATTACAGGCGTGAGCCACCGCGCCTGGCCGCAGCTACTGGTAACTTCTATTCTACTCTCTGCTTCTATAAGTTTGACTTTTTAAAGATTCCACATATTTCTGAAATCATGCAATATTTGTCCTTCTGTGTCTGGCTTGTTTTACTTCACATAATGTTTTCCAGGTTTCTCCATATTGTCACAAATGAAAGGATTTCCTTCTTTATAAGGGCTGAATATATCCCACATTTTCTTTATCCATTAGGATGGTTAACCTTGACTACGACTGGAGAAAAGTGCTTTTCTTCGCTCTCAATGGTTCATTTCACATGGAGGGAGCTCTTTTAGAGTAATAATACTGGCCTCCCTCTCCAGAAGAGAAGTCAATGACTTAGCTAAATGATACATTTGGGAAGAACAAGCTTCAGCTTTCCCAGTTGTCTCTTTGGGATCCAGGTTGACCTCAAAAGCATGCACTTCAAAGGACATTCTAAAGGGGCTTGCCCCATTGGTAGACCTCATTTTTCCAGTATGAACTATAGCTGTGTAGGTAAACCTCTTTTTATTTCTGGGATTCACTATTAGAAAGTTATTTTATCCAATGATATAAGCCATCTTTCTAATATTAACTTTGTCAGTCATAGAAATGATTATTGGTTTCTACCTTTTAACTGGTGTTGAACTCAGGAGAGGGAAAGATGTGCCGTTTATTGAGGCACATCTTCAACACACAACTTCAACATCTGATTCACTGGACCAGGAGCCTTAAAAAATAAACAGGGAGTGAAATTTGGAGACCCAACTATTATGTTAAGAGGCTTTTGGTGAAGCCAGTTTTGGGTTTGGACTTGAGCAAGCATACATTTGTGATTGCAGTGGTTTTGTGGAAGTTTATATTAAGCCAGAAGTCTCTTTTAATGGATGTAACTGGTTTTTATCAGTTGTAACTGGGGAGGAAGTTTCAGGTTTTCATTGCTGGCCAGGGGGAGTTTTTTTTTTTTTTTTTTTTTTTGATGGAGTCTCACTCTGTCGCCCAGGCTGGAGGGCAGTGGCACGATCTCGGCTCACTGCAACCTCCACCTCCTGGGTTCAAGCAGTTCTCCTGCCTCAGCCTCCCAAGTAGCTGGGACTACACGTGTGCACCATCACACCTAATTTTTGTATTTTTAATAGAGACGGGGTTTCACCGTATTGGTCAGGTTGGTCTCGAACTCCTGATCTCAGGTGATCCACCCTCCTTGGCCTCCCAAAGTGTTGGGATTACAGGCATGACTCCCCATGCCCGGGCCCAGGTGGGACTTTCACCTTGATGGGGCCCCACAAGTCTCGGGTAAGGATCTGTTACCCACAGGTTACCTTATCCACAGGTAAGGATCTGTTTTTAATAGAGGCAGGGCTCTGGGCTGACCTTAGGGGAACAGTAGATGGGTCTTGCCTGCCTTCAGCCAAAATGTCTCTGTCAAGGTGCATGTGGGTGTCCTTAATATTCAAAAGGGTAGGCCTTAGCCAGATGCCACTGTGGGCGGGGTTGGGGGATGGCTCAGTAAAGACACAACTATAGCCAAAGTGAGAGCCTTGGGTGTAATGTGCTGTAGATTATTCTTGAACTACACAGGTATTAGAGCAGGACAAGCTGCAGACTAAACCTCTCAGACACCGAGTTAAGAAGGAAGGGCTTTATTCGGCTGGGAGCTTTAGCAAGACTCACATCTCCAACAACCAAGCTCCCCGAGTGAGCAATTCCTGTCCCTTTTAAGGGCCCACAACTCTAAGGGGGTCCACGTGAGAGGGTCGTGATCGATTGAGCAAGCAGGGGTACATGACTGGGGGCTGCATACACCGGTAATTAGAATGGAACAGAACAGGACAGGGATCTTCACAGTGCTTTTCTTATGCAAATAACCGATTAGGTCAGGGGTCGATCTTTAACTACCAGGCCCAGGGTGTGGCGCCGGGCTGTCTGCTTGTGGATTTCATTTCTGCCTTTTAGTTTTTACTTCTTCTTTCTTTGGAGGCAGAAATTGGGCATAAGACAATATGAGGGGTGGTCTCCTCCCTTAGTATCAGAGTTAGGATATGCACATGAGCCATGTGAGGGCCATGAAGATGCTGGTGAGGTGCAGTGCCGTAGTGAGCAGGGACAGCTGAAGCAAAGCTTTAATCAAGGAGAAGAGAGAGAAGAGAAACAGAGAAAGGAGAGTCCTATATCTGTAAAAGACACCCTGAATCCTTTAGATGTGGGTGGGGTGCAGAACAATTATTTATTAGTTGTGGTATTCACCAGTGTAAGTAGGCTGCTCCAAATCTGATCCACTAAGATGTTTTGAAATGACTTTATCCAAGAAAGGGAACTATGGAGAGACTATCCTGGAATTCTTAAGGCTTATCTCAGGCTCAAGTGCTAGTCTCATATCTTGAGAAGCCTAAGATACATGAATAAAAAAGGAAAAGGTGATGCAACTAGATGTAATTGCTCTTAGAGTATCAGAAAAATATGAGCTGATTGCGTTATTATTAGCTCAGAAACAGTCATTAGGTCCTAAATAAATCTAACAAGATAAAAAAGCATAGATTTCAGTGATGGCTGAAATTACTCCTTCAAAAGGGATCTAGGTATAGAAAACTATTAAGGTGTAGCATCTCACAATCAGGGTGGAGAGAGAGAGAGACAGAAAGAGAGAAGGAGAGGGAAGGAGGGACGGAGAGCATGAGGGAGATTATAGCATGAGCAAATAGGGACTTATTCCTTAAAGATGGAGACAGATACACCAGCTAGTTACAGAAAAACTTAATGGGGTTGAGAGGAAGACCAGAAAGATTACTGTAAAGTACTCAAAGCATCACTAGGAGTTTCCAGATAACAGCTTATTGTATGTCGTATCTCTGCTATGTGGAAGTTTAAGTACTCCCTGTGTCCTGAGAAAATATGTCTGAAATATTTATAAATCAGGGACCTAAGCATAGCAGAGATAGGATGTATTAATGTGGAACCAGGAAGAAAAATGCTGCATTGGGTCTATTGGATGCTGGTCTGTTGAAAGAACACCTTCTGTGTGGGATTATCCAACTCTGGATGGAAACTTTTGAAGAGTGAGTGCTTTGGCATAACCAGAACCCATGATTTTATGTCTTAATTATTAGCCACAAAATAAAATCTAGAGAAATAGGGTAGTAAAACAAGTGTCCAGTAGCAGAAAGAGCTGCTACTCAAGTCCTAGACTATTCAACAGTCAAGAAAAGACAGTGTCTTAAGAAAGCTCATGGCTGAATTATTGACTGGTATTTATTAGGTCTGAGGCAGATGACCAACCATCCTGGTTTTTCTGGTTTTAGCATTGAAAATCCTGTACTCAAGGTAAACCAGGATAGTTGGTCACCCTATTAATAGAGGCCCGAGTTTCCAAAGTGTCAACAGCATTTTCAGTTCAGGAATCTGGTGATGGTCATTCTCTAGTGGGAACAAATGCAGAGAGAGAGAAACTTCCCTAGGAAGCAGGTTTCTTGGGTTGAAGACATTATTTAACAGGATGCAGTGGTAGCAGCCATATGGGTAACAGGACTGAAAAATGCCGCTTGCTGTCATCTCAATGCATCAGAGCGCTATAGTCTTGGAAGCTGCAACACAACAGGCATGCACTTGGGGTACACTGGGATGCCAGAGCTTGGGGCTCAATCAGTGTATTTTTTTTTTTTTTTTGGGAGATGGAGTCTTGCTCTGTCGCCCAGGCTGGAGTGCAGTGGCTCGATCTCGGCTCACTGCAAGCTCTGCCTCCCGGGTTCTCGCCATTCTCCTGCCTCAGCCTCCCGAGTAGCTGGGACTACAGGTGCCCACCACCACACCCGGATAATTTTTTGTATTTTTAGTAGAGATGGGGTTTCACCATGTTAGCCAGGATGTTCTCGATCTCCTGACCTCGTGATCCACCCGTCTGGCCTCCCGAAGTGCTGGGATTACAGGTGTGAGCCACCGCGCCTGGCCTCAATCAGTGTATTGAACTGTATAGGAAAATTTGAGCAGGCTGGATGGAAATTAAAAAATCCCTTCAATAAGGCCTAATGACTGAGGTGGCATCATTGCAAATTTCTACACTTTGCAAAAAGAAGAGAATGTTTCTGATATCTCTCTCTCAGAGCGTTGGGGGAAGATATAACTGCACGATTAGATTTACTCCAAAAAGTTATTAAATGCAGAGTACTTAAATAGGAGAGATAATAGTATAAAGATTCACGTACCCATTACCCACTTTAACAATAATAAACTCATGGTCAATATTGATTCCTCTATATAAATCAAGGGGGAAGCTATAATTTTTGTATACCATCTGTGAGTGGGTGGGTTAGTCTCCCTAATTCTGGTGTTCAGAATCAAGGGACCCATTTGCTAAATGATAAAGCCACATTTGCCAATGTGAATTTTATCAGTAATACTGTGGTTTTGATCTCTTATTACCTTGTTTTTTTTTTTTTTTTTGAGACAGTCTTGCTCTGTTACCCAAGCTGGAGTGCAGTGGATGATCTCGGCTCACTGCAACCTCCACCTCCCGGGTTCAAGCGATTCTCCTCCCTCAGTCTCCTGAATAGCTGGGATCACAGGTGCCTGCCACCACGCCTGGCTAATTTTTGTATTTTTAGTAAAGATGGGGTTTTGCTATGTTGGCCAGGCTGGTCTCGAACTCCTGACCTCAGGCGATCTGCCTGCCTCGGCCTCCCAAAGTGCTGGGATTACAGGTGTGAGTCACCATGCCCGGCCTCTTATTACCTTATTCTTTTACTTTATTTCCCAGTTCGTTGAGAACTAGAACAAGAAATTGGGATATCAGTGCCCTGAAATCCTCCAACAACCACTGAGAATAAATAGGCTAGCTACTTTGATTAGATAAACTTCTGTACCTACCTGGACCACAGATCCTGTAAGAGTGGGCCATAACCGACTTTCATCTCATTTCATTACCCCTGGGCAACAGCTGATTAGATCTGACCCAAGGCTACCAGTTAGATGCTCCCTCTCTTTATTGCTCAAGGAATTAAACTATGAGGCCAGGCATGGTGGCTCACACCTGTAATCCCAGTACTTTGGTAGGCCGAGGCAGGTGGATCACCTGAGGTCAGGAGTTCGAGTCCAGCCTGGCCAACATGGTGAAACCCCGTCTCTACTAAAAATTCAAAAATTAGCTGGGCGTGGTGGTGGGTGCCTGTAATCCCCGCTACTCAGGAGGCTGAGGCAAGAGAATCGCTTGAACCCAGGAGGTGGAGGTTGCAGTCAGCCAAGATCACACCATTACACTCCAGCCTGGGTGACAAGAGTGACACTCCATCTCAAAAAAAAAAAAAAAAAAAAAAAGTTAAATACAGCACAATGACTGCAATCATTTGATGGATTTGATGGTAGGCACATGAGCTGAATTGGGATGGCTATTATCACAACATGTATAAGTAGCCTCAGAAAGCTCAGCTTCAAGGAAAGCAGAATGGAGCAGGCACATAAAGAGAAGGGGACCGGAGGGATCAGGAGGCTTGAAAATCGGAGGGAGAAGTCTGGCTGTCTAAGCTTGATCTAGTTTCCCAGGCTTTTCTTGTCCTGGGATTTTGTGAGATGGTCATTTGATCCTAAGTTTATGAGATGAGGAAATTATACTCACCAGATTTGCTCAAGAGAACACTGCAGATTTTTGGAGAACTTTGATGACAAGCTCACTTTGGGTAGAAGCTAAGAAGTCAAGGGGTCTGAGTACGGGCAAAACATCAGCAGGAGAAAGGAAAGGCATTTGCTGATTACTCTGGAAAGGGAGGGAAGAAAGAGTAAGAGTGTGGTGTGTAGAGTCTGTGACATTTGCAGGGACAGAAAGTTGGTAATCACTTTCCTCTACATCATGAGGGTCACAGCCAACATTCCTGTAACAAACGACAGGTTAACAATTGAACAGCATAACATATTTATTTAATCATACTTTTATATGACATGGGAGACTTCAGAATGCAGACCCAAAGATACAGGGAAAACTATATTTATTTGTTTATTTATTTATTTTGGAGACGGTCTCACTCTGTTGCCCAGGCTACAGTGTAGAGGCACAATCATAGCTCACTATAGCCTCAAACTCCTGGTCTCAAGTGATCTTCTTGTGTCAGCTCCTGAGTAGCTGGGACTACTGGTGTATACCACCATGCCCGACTAATAAAGCTATCCATTTTTTATGCTTGGGTTCAATAAAGAATAGACAGCTGTGTGGAAATGTGATTGAACAAAAAGGGTATGACCTAATGGGAACAGACTGCAACTGTTTAGATGATTCTTGGCCTCTTTGTACAACAATCCTTCCTCTCAGGTATGGGGCAGGACCCTTTCTGGAATGGGGGTCTTACAAACTCCTATTAAACAAGATAGGCCAGAAAATTTCTTTCTTTTTAAAAATAATTCCCTTTTTTCTCACTTTATTTCTTCTTTTGTCTTTAGAGACAGGATCTCACTCCGTCACTTAGGCTGGAGTGTAGTGGCATGATCATGCCTCACTGCAGCCTTGACCTCCCAGTCTCAGGCCATCCTCCCTGCCTCAGTCTCCCAAGTAGCTGGAACTACAGGTTCATGCCAGTACACCCAACTAATTTTTTACATTTTTTGTAGAGATGAGGTCTGGCTATGTTGCCTAGGCTGGTCTTGAACTCCTGGGCTCAAGCGATCCTCCTGCCTTGGCCTCCCAAAGTATTAGGATTACAGGCGTGAGCCACCATGCCCAGCCGGGGATTTCTTTATGTGCAGCTCTTACACAGCAAGTCAGGGGAAGGTTAGAATAATACTTTTAGGTTTTATGGCTGGCTTTGGGGGAGAGGGGTTCTGGTTTCTATAACCCACCTTGGGGAAGGATTCTAGGTTTTTTTGTTTTGTTTTATTTTTTGAGATGGAGTCTTGCTCTGTCTCCCAGGCTGGAGTGCAGTGGCGCGATCTCAGCTCACTACAACCTCCGCCTCCCGGGTTCAAGGGATTCTCCTGCCTCAGCCTCCTGAGTAGCTGGGATTACAGATGCCTGCCACACCTGGTTGAATTTTGTATTTTTAGTAGAGACAGGGTTTTAGCATGTTGGTCAGGCTTGTCTTGAACTCCTGACCTCAGGTGCTCCACCTACCTCGGCCTCCCAAAGTGCTGGGATTATAAGTGTGAGCCACCCCGCCTGGCTATTTTTTGTTGTTGTTGTTGTTTGTTTTTTTTTGTTTTTTGGTTTTTGGTTTTTTTTGAGACAGAGTCTTACTCTGTCACCCAGGCTGGAGTGCAATGGCATGATCTCGGCTCACTGCAACTTCTGCCTCCTGGGTTCAAGTGATTCTCCTGCCTCAGCTGCCCGAGTAGCTGGGATTACAGGCATGCGCCACCACACCTGGCTAATTTTTGTATTTTTAGTAGAGATGGGGTTTCAACATGTTGGCCAGGATGGTCTTGAACTCCTGACCTCAGGTGATCTGCCCACCTCAGCCTCCCAAAGTGCTGGGATCACAGGCGTCAGCCACCGCGCCGGGCTGAGATTATAGTTTTTATGGCTTTCCTTGGGGGAAAATGAGGGGCGAGAGATGGGGGCAGGAGAAGGCCAGAGAGAAACTTTGCTTTTGAGGCCTTCACTTGGGGTATCATTTTCTGAGCCCCAACACATTCATATTACATATCCCATGACCAATCCTCAAAACCTTCAGAGTACATTTCTTTACGAAAATTGATAAAGGAGCTGTGCTTGACACCAGATTCATGAAGAACTGAATGTGGAAGCAAGAAAGGATGTGGAAATGCTGAGAAGGTGTGTGGTGTGAGTATAGCAGAATGTGTGGAACTTTGGACTTGAAGCACAGTGGCTCATACCTGCAATCCCAGCACTTTGGGAAGCTGAGGCAGGAGGATGGCTTAAGCCCAGGAGTTTGAGACCAGCCTGGGCAACATAGCGAGAGCCTGTCTCTATATAAATATATATACATACATATATATAGACTTATATAAATTATATATATTTGTACATATATGTGGGTTAGAACTAATATTAACCAAATGATAAATGATCACTTTGAATGTCCAGCCTTCCCCAATTCCTCTTTTGGAGGGCAGCATGTTCTAATTTATAGGGAAATGCAAGAGCATCTTATTGCCCCTTGAGATTTGTCATCTCTGCAGTGCTATGTCCTCACCATGGATGTTTTCTCCCTGCTCTCAGTGTGGCCTGTCACCATCGGGAGCTCCATGTTATTAAAACCACCTTTGCAAAAGTCATAACTTAGGAAATTAGGTCAGTGAAAGAGATCGGACCTAAGTGACCCCATCTTTCTTTTAACCTGTAAAGTGTCTTTGTTCATTCCTGGGTGTAGGCTGAACTAGCCTTGGGAAGGAATTTAGTGTATAGTTTAAACTCTGAAACAAAATGGATAACGGTCCTTCCCAAAAAACCCCTTCATGCCAGGGGGCCAGTCTGCCTTTGTAGAACTAACAAATTAGCTAACCTAAGATCAGTGCCTGAGACGTTTTGTAGACCCCGCATGCCGAAGCAGCAGATGACACCACCCAGACTGATAATCTGGCTCAGCCAGTTCTGTGATCCCACCCAGAAGTCAGCAAGAAGAACTCACTTTGACCCCCTGTGATTTTATCTTCAACCTGATCAATTAGCACTCCCCACTTTTGGAGCCCATACCTGCCAAATTGTCCTTAAAAACTGATCCCCTAATGCCTGCGGAGACTGATATGAATAATAATAAAACTCTGGTCTCCCGCACAGCTGGCTCCGTGTGAATTACTCTTTCTCCACTGCAATTCCCCTGTCTTGATAAATCAGCTGTGTCTAGGCAGCGGGCACAGTGAACACATTGGGTGGTTACATTATCACCCGCTTGATGTCTCTCTCCAGTAAATCAGAGGTGATGGTTGGGGCAAGTCTTTCTTTCCCTTTTCCTCTATAGTTCTCTCTTTCCAGTCTTTTCAAAATTACCAACAGCCTAAGTGGTTCTATGCAGGTTTCTTCACTAAAGAGGCAATTTCTGAAGAGTGATTGTACATCAAAGAGGAAAGAATAAAACACTCCTTAGAGTTTCTCTTTACTTCTCAAAGCGATGTTACCTGCAGGTCCAGATCCTTCACAAGCTCTCTGGCCTTTAGATGCACATCTTTTCCTTCTCCATGGGCCTCCTTTTAAGATTTTATTTATTAGAAACTCCATCAATTTCCTTGGGAAAACCCCACACCTATCCACAAGGAGGGATCTCACTTCTTGGCTCTTTCTCTCTCTCCAAATTTACCGTTCTTACCTTACCAAAGTGTCTCGGTCTGAGTGTGCCAATTAGAGGTAGGGTCCCCAGGACTTTAACCAGATAAAAATGGTGACTATTTTTATCCAAGTCTTGCAAAATTGTGTGTATAGAAGTGGGTTGGGGGTGGGGAAGGAAGAAGAGACTCCAAGATTGCAGTTTGTTGTGGATTTAGATCTTCCTGGCTGAATTTCCTTTTCAATATTTCTACATGTGTTAGGAGGAACAATGTCAGTTCATTTGATTAATAGAATTGTTATATTAGCTCATGCACTGCTCCCAGGAACAAACATTAATTTTTAAAGAGTACAATCTAGACTCATATTGAAAAAGGATATATTTCCTCAATTAGAAGGTACCTTACCTTTTCCCCAGAGTTAGTGGGCCCCATTATTGTGCAGAAAAGAGGTCTGGTTTCTTTCCTGCTTTGCCTGGGAAGCTATTGAAATAATAAATAAGCTGTGTTATCCTTTAATGGATCCTCCCTTTTGTTAATTCAGGAAGGGCTCCAGACTCAACAAATTGTTTCAACAGTCTACTTTAGGGGCTGGGGTGGCTGCCAATTCTCTTACAATAAACCCTCCTTCACTTAAGTTACCTGAGATAATTTCTGTTCTTTGCAACCAACTGACCTATGTCTAGAAGAGAAATGGATTCTGGGAAGTAGGTTTGCAAGCAATAGAGCCTCAAAAGAATGTGGCTACTGTCCTCAGTGTTTTGGCATGGTCCAGAGTGGTAAAGATTCTCTCATCCCAGGAAGGCCTAGCTAGCTTGAGTAGACTTCTTCTCATTGCAAAAAAGTGGCACCTGACCAAGGTGCATTATGATAGGGGCCTGGAGGAATAGAATTAGAAAGTGAGAGAGCTGGTGGCATGACTTCTTATACCGCCATGCCTGGTGGCAAAGGCTATTTAAAACATTGACATCATTCTAGGCTAATTCATGAAGGGTTCAGACTTTTTGGGTATGAATGAAGGTTTGAGTCAGTTCACTTGGTAAAGAAACTGTAACCAGTGTAGATACTGGTTAAAAGCATAAACAGGCTGGGTGTGGTGGTTCATGCCTGTAATCCCAGCACTTTGGGAGGCCAAGAAGGGTGGATCACCTGAAGTCAGGAGTTCGAGACCAGCCTGGCCAACATGGTGAAACCCTGTCTCTACTAAAAATACAAAAATTACCCGGGCATGGTGGCACGTGCCTGTAATCCCAGCTACTTGGGAGGCTGAGGTAGGAGAATCACTTGAACCTGGGAGGCGGAGGTTGTAGTGAGCCCAGATTGTGCCACTGCGCTCCAGCCTGGGAGACAGACTGAGACTCCATCTCAGAGAAAAAAAAAAAAAGCATAAACAACATGAAATGGATTAAGGAGAAAGACAGACAAGGTGAGGTGGCTCATGCCTGTAGTCCCAGAACTTTGGGAGGCAGAAGCAGGAAGGTCACTTGAGCCCAGGGCAACATGGAGAGGCCACATCTCTATAAAAAAAATTTTAAAATTAGTTGGGCATAGTGGCACATGCTTGTGGTTCTAGTTACTTGGGAGGTTGAGGCAGGAGGATCACTTGAACCCAGGTGGTTCAGGCTGCAGTGAGGCATGGTGGCACCACTGCACTCCTGTCTGGACTACAGAGCAAGCAAGACCCTATCACACATAAAATAAAATAAAATCTGGACAAAATAAAGACCAGCTTTACTTTTTAGACTCAAACATCAATTTCTTATCCAATTGACAGTGGATTTTTGACTTTAAATTTAGCTTATTTTTTTCTGTCTATCTATCTATCTATCTATCTATCTATCTATCTATCTATCTATCTCATTGCAAGTATGATTCATTTCTTACTGGTGCTTTATCTTTCTTAGGAAAACAAACATTATTTTTTCTTAAATCAGTAAATTTGTATCGGGCCCTTTTATGTTCTAGGCTTTTCTGTGCTGGACACTTGTTATTAAAACTGAGAACTAAAATATCTGTGGGAGCCAGTTGTAGTTAGGCACAAAGTTACATTTACTTTTCATGCAAATTTGCATGCTCCGCACTGAACATACTCTTCTTTCTCATTATCCTCACATCTCTTTTCCAGGGTGAGGCAGGCTGCAGTGAACATCCTGAGCATTTTCACTATATAGACAGAAAGGAATCTTATTACTTTGTTAGACACAATTTTCATTATACTTTCTCAAAAACGATAAAATCTGTAACAACATTGTTCCCATAATCAAGGTAATCTACATTAAAAGGTATATACACCACGGAATACTATGCAGCCCTAAAAAAGAATAAGATGATGTCCTTTGCAGGGACATGGATGGAGCTGGAGGCCATTATCCTTTCGTATCCTAAGGATACAAAAACCAAATACTGCATGTTCTAACTAATAAGTGGGAGCTAAATGATAAGAACATATGAACACATAGAGGGGAACAGCAGACATTGGGGCCTTTCAGAGAGTGGAAGGTTGGAGGAGGGAGGAGATCAGGAAAAATAACTAATGGGTACTAGGCTTAATACCTGGGTAATGAAATAATCTGTACAACAAACCCCCCAGACACAAATTTACCTTTGTAACAAACCTGCACTTGTATCCCTGAACTTAAAATAAAAGTTAAAAAAAAAGTATATATTTTTGAAAGTCCCGATCCAGGTCCTAAAGCATGGGGCTGTTTCGGAAACTAGTCTTCTATATCCTTTTGTATCTACTTTAAATGGTCCAAATGCTGATGGAAGAGATCACTTCTCCAATAATTGCCCTGTAATTTTATTTATATTGATCTTTTCTTGTCAAGACATGGCTTTTTGGCTAAATGAAAGATTTCCTTATTTTTTTCTTCTCATCTCTCAGAGAAGCCTGTGGTGTTTACTTGGTGACTTGGAAGTTTGGGAAGGAGTTTGAGGACCACACTCACCCTGTGGGATTGTACTGAGGAGAGGGATGCATCCAATATGGTAGCCACTTGCCACATATGTCTGTTAAGCACTTGAAATGTGGATAATGTAGCTGAGGATTAAGTTTTACATTTTATTTAATTCTAATTCATTAAAATTTAAAACTAAACAGCCACATGTGGCCAGTGGCTATCATATTGGACAGTGCAGGGCTGGAGAAACCCTTCAACAAATTTAGGAAAATGGCTTTTGGGTCACACTGCTTGTTTCAGGTGGCTGGATTGTGTTTTTCAATGTGATAATATAGTATCTTGCACTTTGTTGTGGATTTAGAGCTTCCTGGCTGAATTTCCTTTTCAATATTCCTACATGTGTTAGCAGGAATTATGTCAGTTCATTTGATTAATAGACTTGTTATATTAGCTCATGCATTACTCCCAGGAACAAACATTAATTTTTAGAGAGTACAATCTAAAAGCATTCTTGGGCTGGGTACGGTGGCTCACCCCTGTAATCCCAGCACTTTGGGAGGCCAAAGTAGGAGGATTGCTTGAGCCCAGGAGTTAAAGACCAGACTGAGCAACATAGTAAGACCCCATCTCTACAAAAAACTGAAAAATTAGCCAGGTGTGGTGGCATGTGCCTGTAGTCCTGGCTACTTGGGAGACTGAGGTGGGAGGACCACTTGAGCCTGGGAGATCGAGGCTGCAGTGAGCTGTGACTGCGCCACTGCACTCCAGCTGAGCAACAGAGCAAGACCCTGTCTCAAAACAAAACCAACCGACCGACCAACCAACCAACCAACCAAACAAAGCATGTATCTGCATGCTTGTCTGAGGGACTGTGGATGAGCGGGTGGGTAGAGAGCTTAACCCTCTTGAACTTACACTCTCCTCTTGAGCATCAGTGGTGGGAGTTCCAGAAAGGTACTGCAGCTGGGCTGAGGCTAGATGAAGACACCATCTTAGTAAAAGGCTGTGGGGCATCCTGACCAGATGGGGACAGTTTGGGGAAATATTTTGAGCCACCACTCAAAGAATGGCAGCAGTCCCCCGCTTTGCAGGTCTCTCTCCTCTTTGAGGTCCCATTTTTCTGCTACATAGTCATAAGACCTATTTATGCTCTGGCAGCCTTTTGCAAAGTTCTCTCTTACCCACCATCTCTTTGGGGAGGACATGAGGTAGGCCTGAAGATCAGAGAGGATAAATGAAGTGGCTAAGGTTACCCAACAAGTAAGTGGTGAGTGGCAGAAACAGGATTCACAGCCAGTTCTCTGTGTGTGTTCAGGACTTGTTGCACCTTATCGAATCCATCCTCGTTCCTCTTTGCTGCCAGTCATGCATGATCATTGAAAACACCCAGCATTCAGAAAACATTAAAAAATTATTTTTAAAAATTTCATTTCACTCTTGCATGGTCATAATGCTTACTCTAGACCAGGATCAAAAATAACAGAGTTCAATAAAGAATATAGGTGGGAAGAAAAAACATATTGATAATTCATTGAGGGACATCAGTGTGATCAGTGTCACTATTAACTTTTTATCAATTTTATAAAAGCAGCAAGATTTAAATTAAGTGAATTATCCAGAGTATATACAACCAAGGAGGGTGCAGCCAGGATGTGAACATAGGGGTGCTGATAAAAGCCCTGGCGTCCTGCAGAACCCTGGTGGGGGGCAGAGAGCTTACCCCTCTGCTATTCCGCCCCTTCCCCAAGGTTGTTGTGGGCATCAAAACAGACCAAGTACCTACAAGTCAGCTCCTACTGGACCCTCAAATTCACAGAGCACCTCTTTTCAGCTCACCCTGTGTTTCATTTATCTCCTTAATTCTCCTTTTGTTTTTCTACAGTGTCTGCCTAGGTCATGGGTTGGATTGACAGGTAAAATATAGGATGCCCTAATAAAATTAAATTTAACATAAATAACGAATAACATTTCTAGTATATTGCATGGGACGTACTAATACTAGAAAAGGTATTCGTAGCTTATCTTACACTTAAATTTAACTTGACGTCCTATATTTTGATTTGCTAAATCTGGTACCTCTAGCCACTTGCAAATCCGCTGTCATCAGCATTAGTGCGGTCAAGGTCCCAGGCTTCCTCTAGTTCAGAAGCTGAGTAGCATCTAGTCATTCAGTCCAGAGATAGGACATAATACCTGTTTAGCTTCAACTTCGTGCAAAATACTCTGTTGGCTCTCTGGAGGGATGAAACTGTAACTTGTTTGGCCCCTCCTGTCCTCAGTTTCTTCCTATGGGAAATGGAGATGAAGTTTAATTTGGACCAGGCTCAAACCCTGATGCTGCCACTTAGAGTTATGGCCTTTGTGCATATTCCTCTTCCTCTCTGATCCTCCTGATTCCTTCACTGGGTAGCAAGTGAGAGAAATAAATTGAAAGAGTATGTGAAGCTATATGCAAATAGTTATGTGGCAGTGAATGTTTCTTTTTCAACAATTCCAATTTCACTGGATTCAGATTGCTTCTCCAGCCGCTGTGATATTTTTGGTAACATGGTTTATTTGCCTAAGGAGCAGATGCCAGGGTTGGATCCCAGCCCTGCTATTTATCAGCAGTGTGATCTTGGGAAGTAATCTAATCTCTTTGTTTCCCCATCTCCTCACTGTGAAATGGGATAGTAATATTGCATATCTCAGAGGGTCATTGTGAGGATTAATTTAATTCGTACACATGAAAGGCTTACTACTGTCTAACAAAAATCAATTCTGTTAGAAATCACTAGAGTAGCTACCCTCCAGGGCCAGGGTGGGAAGGAGGTAGAAGGCAGTAGTTTTTGTTTTTCTTGTTTTTTTCTTTTTTTTTAAATAGAGTTCAGGAATTAGCAAATATTTCTGGGAGAATTTATTTATTTATTGACAGGGTCCCGCTTTGTCACCCAGGCTAGAGTGCAGTGGCGTGATCTTGGCTCACTCTTGGCTGTTCTCCTGGACAGGTAGAGCAGCCTCTACCTGTCCTGGAGAACTTTAGACTTTCAAAGGCAATAGAATTGGTAGGGTCCAAACTCAGATTTCTAAGGAACAAAGGGGGACCTAGGTAATACCTGGGTTATAAGTTGAAAAAACAGAAAATTGCACTAAAATTATATATACATAGTCAATTTTCATTATCTGCTGTAGTTATAATCTATAAAATTGCTGAGAACACTGAATTAGTGACCACTGAACCATTTCTTCTGCGGAAAATGCAGAGTTAGGTCCCTACAATCCCATAGTCATAACATTTTCATAAACCAATCAATACATAACATAGTTTTATATGTGTTTCTGTTCAAAAACACCTTATTTAATATATATTGTTGGTTCTTTAACATTGAACTCCCAGCTGACAGCATTATAGCTTGTGTCTGCACAAAGCCTACCTAACCCCTGTATTTTCTCTGTTAAGGCACGTCACAGCCTGTGCTCAGGAGCAACAGACTACTTCAACACTACCCTTGGGGGCCACAGTAAGCAGTGAAATCACCAATAAAAACCACAAAAATTGAAAACACGGCACTACATAGATCGTGAAAAAAATACGTATTAATATTTACAGTACCAGTGCTGAAACAAGAAGGGAGAGAGTTGTCTTACTGGATGTCATTTGGGAATATTCCCTGTTGAGCAACTGATATTTTTGGCCCCTTTGTGTATGTCTGCAAATGACCACAAAAACTCCTGGGTGTTGATTTTGGGGTTACAAATACATTTTTGTAAGTAGGCGAATTTGCAAATGCTGAATCCATGAATAATGAGGATTGACTGCATATATAAAAGGGTAGAATCAGCAAATAGGTGGCACAGAGGAGGGTGGAAGGATCTAGAGGTCCAAAAAGCTGGGCTGGATGGTGAGGGGAGCAACTTCAGGGTCACCTTTTATCTCCTCCCCCATCTTCAAGAACTGATTAGCAACTGGTCCAAGCTCTGTGATGTGAGTCAGTAACTCTAGACCAGAGAGCATTTTCTCAGTGCCCAGTTGCCTGAGGCAGCAATGTGCTCAGTTTGATGGAGGACTATTTCTTTTTTCTAAAGAAATTTAGAGCCTTGGGACATTAATTCCACCTTTTCTTTTCTTTCTTTCTTTTTATTTTTTTGAGATGGCGTCTTGCTCTGTCGCCCAGGCTGGAGTGCAATGGCGTGATCTCTGCTCACTGCAACCTCCGTCTCCTGGATTCAAGCATTTCTCCCACCTCAGCCTCCCAAGTAGCTGGGATTACAGGCACCTGCCATCATGCCTGGCTAATTTTTGTATTTTTGTAGAGATAGGGTTTCACCATGTTGACCAGGTTGGTCTTGAACTCCTGACCTTAGGTGATCCGCCTGCCTCAGCCTCCCGAAGTGCTGGGAATATAGGTGTGAGCCACTGCACCCGGCCTCCACCTTTTATTTCTATGTGGGATTGAGCTCTTCATCTGTCACTCTACTGTCTACACAGGAGTCAATTTTTACCAAAATAAAAAAAATACAAACATCAATCAAATAAGGGAACCTTAGGCCCAGTTTCCTGCAGAGATTAACTCTTGATTTTCTCTTCTCATCCCATATCCCACATAATTCAATTCTAATTAGTTTAAATTTAAATTTAAAAACTGATACTTGATTCAGTTATTGGAAACTTTTAAGTATATTTGGAATTACTTGGGTATGTAACTATAAATTTTATGAAGTGTTAAAGCAAACTAAATATGGCCTGAGAAGGACTCTGTACTTCCATATTTGAGTCTTGGTAGATGAACTGTAACCTAGCTTAATAGTCAGATAAAACTGAAAACCTAACTTAGTGGTGTGCACCTGTAACAATAGCGGAGTGCTGGCCAATCACAGGGGCCATACTTCAACCGCTGATAGACTACTGAATGTTCAAACTGCATTCAAATAAGGCAAATGCCAAGTGTAACCAATTTCACTCGTTCTGTACTTCACTTCTGATTCCTGTACGTCACTTTACCTTTTTGGTCTATAAATTTGTTCAGACCACGAGGCACCCCTGGAGTCTCTGTGAATCTGCTGTGATTCTGGCGCCTGCCCAATTCGCGAATCATTCATTCTCAATTAAACTCCTTTAAACTTAATTTGGCTGAAGTTTTTCTTTTATCAAAGTCTAAACATAGAGCCATCATTTCTAATGAACATTTAATATGCAAATTGAGATGTTCTATAAATATAAAATATATACCAGATTTCAGAGACCTAAAAGAATGTAAAATATCTAATTAATACCTAACAAATATGATTACATGTTAAAATGGCAATATTTTGGATATATTGAGTTAAACTAAATATCTTTTAAAAGTTAATTTCATTAAAAAAATTTTAAAATATGGCTACTAGAAAATTTTAAATTACATACATTATATTTATAGTGAATAGTACTGAACTAGGATCTTATTTGCCCCTGCTCACCTTGTTTATGATTATGGCACCAGGCAGTAGAAACACAGGTGTCTACTCATGAGTCATGGACCTGACCTGCTGAGACTCCACAGGCCTTCTCCAACGCTCTTAGCCGTTGAATATGACCAGTCTTTTTCTTGGATCCCATTCGTTCTTCTAACCTTGCAAAGATCCAAGTTTGCTTTTCTTGGTAGGTCCTCCAGGCTTCACCAGGTAGTACTCTAATCTGATTTCCTGAGGAAATTTCAAATCCCAACAAGTTCAAGAGTAGTTTCCATTTTTCCTTTGAGGATTCACTTTTCAACCTTTGAAAGTACAGTACAATCCGAACATTACATTTTTCTGTCTCCATAAATTTTCCCATTATAGATGGAGCTGTGTAAGTATATGGTTGCCTCAATATCTTTTACAAGTTTTAGTGTGGAAGTATACATGAGTAAATTTCTTTCTTTCTTTTCTTTTTCTTCTCTTTTCTTTTCTGTCTCTCTCTCCTTCCTCCCCTTGCTCACCTCCCTCCCTCTCTTCCTTCCTTCCTTCTCTTTCCTTTCTTAGTTCTCTAAATCATCTTTAGCCCACATCAATTAGATGGTTTCAGCTACTTACAGTACTCCTCCTCCTCCATTAGCTTCCCAACCAAATCAATCTCTGACAGATCTACTTGGTTGGAGACCTGACTCCAAGGCTAGTTCTTCCCTTCTGGTCTCTTTTGCCAGGTCCAGGCACTGCAGCAGTCTTCTGCATTCTTTATGGGCAGGAGTGCCTTGCTTACTGCTCTTTAGCCCATTCATCTGACTTAAATGCCAGTTGGTGACAAAAAGAGTATCTTAAACCCTAATCCTACCTGTGACAATCAATATTTCCTTCATCCAAATCCACACAATAATAAGGAGTCATGATTAATCTGCAGTTCCTATAGACAGGCAAGTTGAATAGCAGGCAGTACACTGGTTTTGCACTGTATACTATCTCTGGGGGACTCAATGGATTATTGTGATATGATCACACTTAACTGGATGGGGGTCTCAGTGCCAAAAAGTTGAGGTACCATTCTTAAGAACAAGTCTACTAATCTCAGGAATCATTCTCACCTTTGGATTAAGTGAGTAAGCTTTTAGACCTATTAAAACATTTTAACTCTTTCAAACTCTTCTCTACTGCCTTCCCTGGCTGGCTTAGTAAATGGATTGTTGTACATATGATCTGGTACTGAGCAGTTTTCTGTCCTGCTTCTAAAACCCACTGAATCCAAATAAGATGAGAAATATTCGGTAGGGTAATTTGTGTTGTGCAATGTTGCTAAACCATGTCAACTGCCCTAAAGTGGCATGGGGTGGAAGAGCAATGCTCTTCTTTACCCAGGGTAGACCCACTTCTTTCCCTTCCTTGGTTGAATTGATTAGCAACTATCTATTCTTTAGACACTAAACAAATGATAGTTATTTTTCAAACAAAATTCATAACTAAATACCATTTAACTAATGTAGTGACTAAATCTTATAAAAATCAAATTATTTCCCAGTTGTGGTAGATACTGGATGACTAAAAATGAATTCTTTTTCCTTGGGCTCAGCCCCAGATACAAAGGGGAATGTCTATGCTAAGATAAAAGTTGTTGCAGGGCTCTAGCTATATACAATAGTCTATAAGTCACCACCCATCTGGAATTACTGACCATGGAATCATGGCCAAGCCCCTCTTCAGTGGTTCATTCTATCTCTCAATCCAGGTAAGAGGTAAGGCACATCATCCTCCAATGATCTGCCCTGTCCTTTATCATATGGGTGGTAAAATATATTCCTGGATTAGAGGCTTTAGCTCAAGGTGGAGGGCTGCAGTCCTTTGATGGTGGCTTTTCAGTGATTTGCCTAAGAATGCAAACTCAAACCCAGGCAAGGCTTCCTTGCTGGCAGAGCCCACTGAATTCCTCAGATTACAGAAGGAAACTCAATAGAGTCTATTTAGTAATTCCAGACTTTTTTTTTTTTTTTTTTTTTTTTGCCTCTTGGAATGTCCCAGGGCATTTTTGCAGAAGGAGCCCAAACTCCTACATCCTGACAATTGGCTCCAGCAGTAATTACATACTTCACAATGTGAGCTTGGGTCAACCTAGTTCTTATCTCAGGTGTCTGGTGCTCTGATGCCCCCAGTATGCCTTGGCCAAAACAAACATCCATGACATATTGATGGATTTACTTGCTTTTAAATTGTTTTTTCTATCCCTAATCTTTTTGGTAGTGTCTACATATGTACTAGTTTTCTAGGTCTGCCATAACAAGTTACCACAAATTAAGTGGTTTAAAACAACAGAAGTGTATTCTGTCAAAGTCCAAGAGGGCAGAAGTACAAAATCAGTATGGTAGAGCCACTCACTCTTGGAAGGCTCTGAGGGAGAATCCACTCTATGCCTCTCTCTTAGCTTCTGATCCTTGGTATTCCTTGGCTTGTGGCTGCCCTCCAATCTCTTCCATCATTTTCACAGCACAGTCTTTTCTGTGTCTTTGTGGCTTCTCCTCTACTTATAAGTACACCAGGCATTTGATTTAGAATGATCTCATCTCAAGATCCTTAACTTAATTATATCTGCAAAGATGTAGTTATATCTGCAAAGGTCATATTCACAGGTACTAGGAGTTAGAGCTTGGATATATCTTTTGGGGGGACACTATTTGCTATTGCTTAAATGTGTCCACCAAATTACATGTGTTAGAAACTTAATCTCCAAATTCATATGTTGATTGCAAGTGGGGCCTTTGGGAGGTACTTAGGATTAGATAAGGTCAACAGGGTGGGGTCCCCAAAATAGGACGGGTGGCTTTATAAGAAGAAGAGGCCTGAGCTGACATGCACACTCCTGCCCTCTCGCCATATGATGCCTTCGCCATGTTATGATGCATCAAAAAGGCTCTCACCAGATGCCAGCACCAAGCTGTCAGACTTCCCAGCCTCCAGAACCATCAGCTAAATAAACTTCTGTCTTTATAAATTACCCAGCCCGTGGTATTCAGTTATAGCAACAGAAAATGGACTAAGACACTATTCAACATACTAAAATATGAGATACAAAAATAGTCATTTGAGTGAATAATGTGCGTGATTCTTGCTATAAAAGGCATCCCTAAGCCTACTGGTCATAATATACCATTCCGAGATCTTCCATCCATTTGGATATTTTGATTTCTGGAGTCAGTACAAATTCACTTCCTGATGCCTCAAACTTATAGCTATTGTAACTGCCAGGGGCACAGAGCTCCCTCATTGTGTGGAATGGTTTTACCTCTTCCGTAGACAGGATGTCTATGACAAAGGGTGGAAGGTAGTGCCTGTCTACTGAGGCACATTGCCTGTTAAATGAGTGGTCTGTCTGTGCCTCACATTGTTACTTTTGATTTAAAGGTTAGTGCCTGGAGGATGCATCAGTTTTTCTGGGCAGATGAAAGTGAGGGTCCTGGTCAGGGATATTTCTTTGGTAATGAGCTCACATAGATGTCTCTCATCCTTTCTTAGATTTTGATTTTTCTATTTAATAATCAAAGACTGTTAAGCTCTATTGCTATGTAAGACAAAGGGTTCCAATTCACAAAACCACTCAGCAACCTCTGTCGAGTCTCTCCTCTAGTACTATTATTCCCCTCCAGTAATCAGCCAGCAATTGTTTTTCAAAAGCAGTACAATTCTCAGCTGCTAAAAGCATTCCTTAGTCAAAAATCCTAAATACTTATGCTGTATTTTCCCCTGTAGGATCTGCCCTCCTCCCTCCCTGACAAATCATCTTGGTGGAAGAGGTAGAAATCACAGAGACTTCAGGGTCTCATTTTTCTTTCTGACTTGTAGGACCCAAAGGATAGAATTGACCATACTGTGGCTTGTAACTTGCCAGGGTTAGTCACTGAGGCTTCTCTCAATCCTACTGAAAGTATGTAGCCTTTTGGAGGACTCAAGATATAGAGTGTGTGAAAATTCCAAGGTGAAGCATTTGCTGACTCTAACACCTCCCTCTGTTCTTTGTTGCAGTAGGAGGTGTTACATGTTTCACTACCTGTCCTGAGTTTAAGCACTACTATTCTAGGTAATCCCTGTCTGCTGGATTTCTGGTGGATGGTCTCTGAACCCAGTGGGACAGACTCATCCTCTTGGGTATGATGTGAAGAATGGCAGTGCCTTTGTCACTTTTGTTTTAGGGGATCTTGGCAACTTCATATAGTGGGGCACCTGGCAACTGAAAGAAGAAGGAAAACAAAGATGCAGAATGATACCATCTAAGGCACTATGATCTGATCTGTCTTTTTCAGAGATTTCCTTAAAGCGAAAGGAGCATCCAGCTGTTCTTGAATAGGTAGAGACAGAGGGCCACCCTTAAGCAGATCTTTGTTAGGCAGATATATTTCAGACAGCCCCAGGCCTGATGAAAGGTGTAGTGGATTTGTTTCTCCTTAGTACAGCCAACTCTTCCTCATAGTAGGCTGTGCTCTGGGGAGGGGATGGGCCAGTATATAAATGGAACCCTTGACAAACAGGATGGGTAATACCTTTTAGTTTTTTAAAGCAGTTGTTAGCTCAACTACCATAGTATTCCACTCATTTTTGCAAGACTCATTACATCTGGGCAACTATTGGTTTGTCTGTGTTCTACTGTGAGTCTTCAGGTTTTATTAACTTTTCCTACAGAGACTCTAATACTTTCACATAATTGGGGAAGCCATTTGCAGGAGCATCCTGGGTAATGGGATACTGTAATACTGATATTGATTAATCAAAGTTGTTATTAGTTTTCCAGAGCTACCAAAACAAAAAAAGTCACAAACTAGGTGGCTTAAAACAACAGAACTTTGCTGGGTGCAGTGGCTTACACCTGTAATCCTAGCACTTTGGGAGGCCAAGGCAGGTGGATCACTGGAGGTCAGGAGTTTGAGACCAGCCTGGCCAACATGGTGAAACCCTGTCTTGTCTTTACTACAAATACAAAAATTAGCCAAGTGTGATGGCGGGCACCTGTAGTCCCAGCTCATCAGGAGGCTGAGGCAGGAGAATCACTCAAACCCGGGAGGCAGACGTTGCAGTGAGCTGAGATCATGCCATTGCACTGCAGCCTGGGCGACAAGAGCAAGACTCTGTCTCAAAAACACCAACACCAATGCCAGAAACCCCATAAATTTATTCTGTCATGGTTGTGGAGGGCAGAAGCCTGAAATCAAGGTGTTGGCAGGGGCATGTTCCTTCTGAAGCTCCTAGGGAAGGATCCTCCCTTGCCTGTTTCGGTTTCTGGGGCATTCCTTGGTTTGTGGCAGCTAACTCCAATCTCTGCCTCTGTTGTCACATGGTGTTCTCCCTGTGTATCTCTTCCCTCTCTTATAAGGACACCAGTCATATTGGATTAAGGGCCTACTCTACTTCATTATGGCCTCATCTTAATTATATTTGCAAGATTATATTTCCAAGTAAGGTCATATTCATAGGCACCAGGGGTTAGGACTTAAATATATCTTTTTGGGGACACAAGCAACCTGCGACAATAAGTTTCCACTTTTCATGTCCATACCATGGGGTATGAGAGAGTAGATGCCAGCCACACCCCTAGTTTAGAGAATTTTTTTTTTTTTTTGAGACGGAATTTCACCCCTGTTGCCCAGGCTGGAGGGCAACGGCACAATCTCAGCTCACCACAACCTCTGCCTCCTGGGTTCAAGTAATTCTCCCATCTCAGCCTCCCGAGTAGCTGGGATTGCAGGCATGTGCCACCATCTCTGGCTAATTTTGTATTTTTAGTAGAGACGGGGTTTCTCCATGTTGGTCAGGCTGGTCTCAAACTCCCGACCTCAGGTGATCCGCCCACCCTGGCCTCCCAAAGTGCTGGGATGACAGGTGTGAGCCACCGCATCTGGCTAAGAATAGAAATTTTTAAGACCACTGCCTTAGAGGTGTTATAAAGTTTTTTAATTGGGAAGCCATCAGGCTGAGATGGCTCCACCACATTTGATTCCTACATAAGCAAACCAAAGCCCAATGTAAAAAGTAAAAGAAAACTAGGGACCTTACCAATCAGAAACCACCAACTAACCTCTAACTAGGGGAATTTCCATATTAATGAATCAAATATATTTTCTTTGTCTTACTTCCATGTTCAGCCTATAAAAGCTCACTGCCCACACTGCTGCAGCTGAGCTCTCTGAACCTCTTTTGGCCTTGAGTGCAGCCTAATTTATGAATTGTTCTTAGCTCAAATAAACCCTTTAAAATTTTAAGGTTCGTAAGTTTATTTTTGAACAGAGGGCATCATTCTGCATCTTTCTTTGTTTTCTTCTTTTCTTACCCTTTTTGGAAACTGCAATACAGTTCTTCCTTGGATACTTTATAATCAAGGTCACTCTACTACAATTTCTGTCAATCTCTGCATTATTGACTCAGGCATTCTTCTAGCTGGCCCCAAGTTATTTTTACTTACCTCATGGCTTCCATTTTCCACTATCAGCCAGTTCATATGGCTTTTAAACTTGAGGCTTTGGGGAGACTGGTAGAACCATCATTGGCTTTATTGTTAAGTTTAAGGTCCTCCTTGTTCCAGATATCCAGAGAGGGAGTTAGTGCTACAGGAGATGGAAAAAAATTAGGCAGATAGTGAGGGCAAAAGAGTCCTCAGCAGAATTTCCCTTTTAACAAAAATCAGCCCCCAAATCATTTCTTTTCTAACAAAGAACAGCCTGAAAAATCAAGCTGCAAACATAGATAAGCAAGCTGGAAGCCTGCAGGGGTGAATGCCAGCAGCTGTGTCAATAGAAAAGGGCTACCTGGGGGCCAGGTATGTTCAACATGGAGGCTCCATCTTCCCTTTTCTTTGTCACCACAGTTACAGTAAAGAAACAGGCAACATGGCACTGGCCAGGTAGAGAACCCATCTGCAAAATAAAAGATTAGGGTGGGGGTGGCCATCTTTTTGTGCCTATACAAATGGCATACCTAGCCCTAACCAGTTTTTTGAGCTGTATGCAAATGACACACCTGGTCCAACCAATCTTTTGTGCCCTATGTAAATGACACACTGCCTCCTTAAGGTCATCTATAAAATCCCTTGCATTCCACGGTGGAACCAGCAACCCATTTCTCTGGGACCCCTCTCTGCTGCAGAGAGCTCTTCTTTTTCTTTTGCCTATTCAACTTCTGCTCTGAACCTCTTTGTGTGTCCATGTCCTAGTTTTCCATAGCTGTGACACAACCAATCTCGGGTATTTACTCCAGACAACAATGCCACTTCATTACCAGGTTTTAAAAAAATATCTGTCTATGCTGGGCGCGGTGGCTCACGCCTGTAATCCCAGCACTTTGGGAGGCCAAGGTGGGCGGATCATGGGGTCAGGAGTTCAAGACCAGCCTGACCAACATGGTGAAATCCTGCCTCTACTAAAATTACAAAAATTAGCTGGGCGTGGTCACGCGTGCCTGTAATCCCAGCTACTCAGGAGGCTGAGGCAGGGGAATTGCTTGAACCTGGGAGGCGGAGGTTGCAGTGAGCCAAGATCGCGCGTTTGCACTCCAGCCTGGGTGACAGAGCGAGACTTGGTCTCAGGAAAAAAAAAAAAAATCTATCCAAATCTATCCAAGTATCTATGCAAGTACTTCTTACTTCCAAATGCACTGAATTTCCTTAGCCCCACTCATCAAAGCTGGTGATTCTTTCATAGGCTTCCTGTAATATTAATATCCATTCCCAGTAGTACCCAGATTTTTGTACAGATATCCACTTTTCCTCCCATACCACCCTAATACTCCTGGGGAAGCTGAATCTACTCTACTTCAGAATTGATCTAACTTGTCAAAAGCCAATTATTAGATTTCTTGTCAGTGATTGTTTAGGGAACATAGGCCTAAACCCATCAATGCATGTCATTTTTGTAGCCATAGAATTTGGATTTGGAAAAGCCATGTAACCCAGTGGAAGGCAAGTGTAAAAATTCTGGGAGGCTTCTGGGAAATAAATGTCCTAAATTTTAAGATGGTCCCCTTTTTTTTTTAAGATCTTGTGCAGAGTTGTGAGGCCTGGAATGAAGCTGACACCTGTGCGTATGTGGGCACATACACATGGGTAGGGGGTGTGTGGGGGACATGGGGGAGTGTGAGAGGTGCGGGATGGGGCTCATAGTTGAGCAGTGGAGAGAACTGTAGAAAACCAGATTTGGAGCTGTGAATGACTCACACTTAATCACCACTCTACCAATCCTCTTTTTCAATTATGTTTGAATTGAGTTTCCTGTTACTAAGTACTGTTTGAATTGAGTTTTTGTTCCCTCAGTCTGAAAGCATTTTAACTGGTACATCCCTGATGGATCTCTCTGGGTAAATGTAGTTTCACTGGAAGAGATGGTGATTCCCACCAGATTCCCAAGAGAGCTTATTTTCTCTTGTATTAAGCAGCAGGGGTCAGGCTTATGGCCTTGTATTTGTAGAAATCAGCCATCAGCTTAGCATCACCAGATTTCTGGCATTAGCTGCCCACGTCTGTGGCACTTCAGGCCCATGTAACTATTTCCAGAGTGACACAAGTTTCTTCCACAGTTGTCAACAAGTGGCCCTCACAGGTTCAGTGAGAAGAGGAAGAGGGAGAGAGATCATCAGGATTAATGGATTACTTGCATTTGTGAGACGGTTTGCCAAGTATTGCTACAAACAAGGCACGGGATTTTCTTTTTTCTTTTCTTTTTTTTTTGAGATGGAGTCTTGCTCTGTCCTCCAGGCTGTAGTGCAGTGGAGCAATCTTGGTTTACTGCATTCTCTGCCTCCCAGGTTCAAACGATTCTTCTGCCTCAGCCCTCCCGAGTAGCTGGGATTACAGGCGTGTGTCACAACGCCCTGCTAATTTTTGTATTTTTAGTAGAGACGGGGTTTTGCCATGTTGCCCAGGCTGGTCTGGAACTCCCTGCCTCACGTGATCCTCCCCCCTCGGCCTCCCAAAGTGGTGGGATTACAAGCATGAGCCACCGCGCCCGGCTAAGGCATGGGATGTTTCGAACTGCTGACATTAGAAATTCACAATCCACATCATTAACTGGATCCTCCATGCCCACTCTCTCCCTCTCTGCAGCAGCAATTTCAAATCTTTACTCTCCGCAGTTCCACAGAACACAAGAAACAAACAAACAAGCAAAAAAAGTCAGGCAGGAGCCCAAGTAACCTCTATCAAAGCAAAGACCAGTGCCTAGTCTAACGCTTTTAAGGATTTTAAAAGAGGTGAAGGTGTCCTGCTTATCCTCCAAGCTTGGGTGCTGGGGCCGGGGCGGCTGAGATTTACCAGTGAAACCCAAAGAAAGAGAGGGCAGAAAACTAGAGAAAAGAAACCAGATAATGCTACCCAAGAGGACGAAATAAAGAAGCAGGAAACGAAGCCTGAGGCTAAACCCTGGAGATGACTATTAGGAAAACACCAGAGGATGCCCCGCCCGCCAGCCCACAATGAGCAGCCTGTCCAAGTCACAAAGCGGGGCCTCGGGCCTTGACAGTTCGCGATCTGTAAGCAGAATGTTCCAGGGCCTCCCTGTCGCCTGCATCCAGCCTGGGGGCAATCTTCACTGGTGTGGGAGGCCGAAAGTGGACGGCGACGGAGGCCCCTCTGGTTATCTCTTTGCCGTGCCAACACAGTCTCTGCGCCCACTAAGATGCATGAAATAAAAATTTCCGTGACTCGCCCTTTGCAGTGGAGAACTGAAACAGGCACACCAGGGAATTGGAGCGGAGGAGGGTAACTCAAACTCAGAGTGAGAGGGTTTGCAGGGGGCCGATTTGGGGCCAACAGGCTTCCCAGCAGGCCCCCGGCGCGGGACAGCGGAAGGCGAAACGCTTTCAAGAGACCCCGCTGCCAACATCCCCACGCCCTCGCGCCCTCCCGCCGCCCCAGAAGGCCAACTCCGCCTGCCTGAGTCACAGCTGGAGCTGGGGAGGAGCCAGGGAAAGGAGGCCCCTGACCGTAGTGCGGCCAGCAGTTGCAGGCAGACGGAGCAGAGCGGTCAGGGATCATGAGGGAGAGTGCGTTGGAGCGGGGGCCTGTGCCCGAGGCGCCGGCGGGGGGTCCCGTGCACGCCGTGACGGTGGTGACCCTGCTGGAGAAGCTGGCCTCCATGCTGGAGACTCTGCGGGAGCGGCAGGGAGGCCTGGCTCGAAGGCAGGGAGGCCTGGCAGGGTCCGTGCGCCGCATCCAGAGCGGCCTGGGCGCTCTGAGTCGCAGCCACGACACCACCAGCAACACCTTGGCGCAGCTGCTGGCCAAGGCGGAGCGCGTGAGCTCGCACGCCAACGCCGCCCAAGAGCGCGCGGTGCGCCGCGCAGCCCAGGTGCAGCGGCTGGAGGCCAACCACGGGCTGCTGGTGGCGCGCGGGAAGCTCCACGTTCTGCTCTTCAAGGTCAGTGACCTCAAACGGTCCCCAATCCGAGGCCTTTGCCGGCCTGTGGGCCACCAGCTGGGGGCTCCCCGCTTCCATCCACCTACCACACCCACATTCCTGACCCCTCCCGCCGTCTGTTGCTGTGGAACAGACTCACAGAGCCGCACCCACTTCCCAAGACCCAGCCCCATCCCTCCCTCTCACGCCTGAGCCCCGCCTGGCCAATCCAAGCCCGCCCAGCTCTAGCTCAGGCCACGTCCGCAGAATTTGGTCTGAGTCCCAGCCAATCCCTAAAATAACGGTGGTTGAAAGGGCATTCCGTGACTGCGGGCACTATCCTCTTCTCGCCCCTCACCAGGCCTCACCTACTTTACAGCGTTTTGCAGTTCGCACGCAGCTTTCCCTCCCCTTACCTTCCCACGCCTGCCTTTCCCCCCAGACTCTGGCTGCGGAGGTAAAAGGTTTCCCTTGTGTAATTAAGGAGTGAGTTTCGGGCTGCTGGGGGTAAGGAGCTGCCAGGATCAGTGCTGTGTCCGTCACATGCAGGAGGAGGGTGAAGTCCCAGCCAGCGCTTTCCAGAAGGCACCAGAGCCCTTGGGCCCGGCGGACCAGTCCGAGCTGGGCCCAGAGCAGCTGGAGGCCGAAGTTGGAGAGAGCTCGGACGAGGAGCCGGTGGAGTCCAGGGCCCAGCGGCTGCGGCGCACCGGATTGCAGAAGGTACAGAGCCTCCGAAGGGCCCTTTCGGGCCGGAAAGGCCCTGCAGCGCCACCGCCCACCCCGGTCAAGCCGCCTCGCCTTGGGCCTGGCCGGAGCGCTGAAGCCCAGCCGGAAGCCCAGCCTGCGCTGGAGCCCACGCTGGAGCCAGAGCCTCCGCAGGACACCGAGGAAGATCCCGGGAGACCTGGGGCTGCCGAAGAAGCTCTGCTCCAAATGGAGAGTGTAGCCTGAGGGCTGGTGTTGCCTGCCTCCCCTGTGCTTGTGCCTTGTCCCAAAATAAATCCTTTCAGAATGTAGCACTCACGCCCTAATAAGGAGCGAATCCTACATCCACCAAGGCGGGCGCTCTGGCCCTCCCTTCCTTAAGCCCAGTCCTGTGTCCTCTGAAAGAGGTGCAGTCACTCACACCTGCTTGCGCTCACCATCAATAAAAGTAATTTCACCCGAACCAGACTCCGTGAGAAGGGATGGGGAAGCGGTTGGATGTGGGAAGGCAGTTACAAGGAATAAGACAAATGTTGGAACCTGGAATCGTACAATTTCTCCAGTTTCCACGGAGTCCTGGGTTCTAGCCTCCAGTGACACATAGAAATATCCTTCTGACCACTTGCTCTTTAAACACTTTCCTCATGGGAACACACAGTTGCAGTTTTTGTTGTTGTTGTTTTTGTGTGAGTGTGTGTGTGTGTTTTTTTTTTTAGCATCCAGTATAGTCCTTGCTGTAGGTGCTTACTCAGTGTCAACTAATGGTTTTCCTCTTAGTCTTTTCTTTCCTTGGCACCTCCTAAAAGTTGAGTTTTCCAGGATTCCTTTCTTGGCCCTCTTTTTACTCAGGGTACTTTTCGGTTGACATTCATGCCTAGGCCTCCCCTACCAGCTGCGTACACCCCATACCACTGTCTTGAGCCACAGTTGAAAAGTGCTTCAAAAGTAGCAAGTATCTTCTACCTTTTAAATTCCATTTCGTTCAACAGCTATTTATTGAACACCTACTATGTGGCAGGCCCTACTAGGTATGGTTCAGAATATTTCCCCCTCTTGTGTTTTCTTTACCAATGATGACAAAAAAAATCAATATACCATCATCCACAGAGAAACTTGGGAGTCCTTGTCGGCTCAAGGACTTTCTCTCATCCCCCTCCCACATGGAAACAGCTATTCTAATGATTTTACCTCTGCAATCTGTCCACTTTTCTAATACAGCCGCTGCCTTATTTCAGGCCTTTCACTTGACCGGTATTTGAACTGCCAATCTCATCACATCATTCTTGATTCAAATATTTCAGTGTCTCCCCATTATCTTCAGAATAAAGACCAAGCTCTTTATAATTATTTTCAAGGCCCTTTGTGATCTGGTCCCTGCCTATTTTTGTAGCCTCATCTCTCACCACTTCCCCTTGTGCTACCATTGAGTCACACTGAGCTCTGTGCTCTCACTGTCATCCCTGCTATCCTGCCAAACTCAGTAAAGCACACCTGTTTCAGGGCCAGGTATTTCTCTTCCTTCTCTCAAAGCACCACTTGCACACCTCTAGTGCTAACTGCACTGATTGTGAGGATTTGTGGTTACGCCCCCTCCGATCTACTAGATTGTGACTCTCTTGCAGTAGGGACAGTTTTATTAATTTCTGTATTTCCCACACCAAATACTGTGTCTGGCACACGGTAGACCTTCTTGAGGGGCTGAGGAGAGTTCCCTGCTGCAGTAAAGCAAGAATATTACAGAAGGGGCTGGGCACGGTGGCTCATGCCTGTAATCTTAGCACTTTGGGAGGCCAAGGTGGGTGGAGGACTTGACCTTGGGAGCTCAAATCCAGCCTTGGCAAAATGATGAAACCCCATTTCTACAAAAATTACAAAAATTAGCTGGATGTGGTGGCTTGTGCCTGTAGTCCCAGCTACTTGGGGGGCTGAGGTGGGAGGATCACTTGAGCTCAGGAGGCAGGGGTTGCAGTAAGCCAAGATCATGCCACCGCCCTCCAGCCTGGGTGACAGAATGAGACCATGTTTCAAAAAAAAAAAAAAAGGAAAAACAAAAAACTGGAAGTGGGAGTGGTGGTTAAGGATGAGGAGCACAGTCACCTACTCCTTCATTCAGTCACTATCATATAACAACGTTTTTAATACCTACTTTGTTCCAGGCCCTATGCTAGGTCTCATGAACACCTTGGGGAGCTCGGGATTTAGAGGGAGATACCATCACCAATTGTAATGAATGATGGTTACATGTAAGTTATTTTGAGAGCAAATGGGGAAGGGGCATGACCCAACCTGAAGGAGGAAAAGTGGGAGATATATAAGGAATTGTTCTTGGAAATGGTAAATAGTGAGATGGAAAACAGGAATGGCAAGGGGCAGTAGAGCTCAGCGGTGGGTAGTTTGGGTTCTCTGTTCCCTTATCTATAAAATGAGATAATTATAGCCCCTTACTTAGATTGTTGGAAAGATTAAGTGACATAAATCAAGTGCCCAGCACATTGCCGGAGTATAGTTTTTGCTCCATAAGCTTCAGGTATATAATTTATTTGTCCACTCATTCAACAAATAACTTACTGAACTCTTAGGGTCTTCCAGGTGCTATTTTAAAATCTGAGAATACTGCCAGGCGTGGTGGCTCACATCTGTAATCCCAGCCCTTTGGGAGGCTGAGGCGGGCAGATCGCTTGACTCCAGGAGTTTGAGACCAGCCTGGCCAACGTGGCGAAACCCCGTCTGTACTAAAAATACCCAAAAAGTTAGCCAGATGTGGTGGTGCACACTTGTAGTCCCAGCTACTTGGGAGGCTGAGGCACCAGAATTGCTTAAGTCTAGGGGGCAGAGGCTGCAGATTGCACCACTGCACTCCACCCTGGGCAACAGGGCGACAGTCTGTCTCAAAAAATAAAATAATAACAAATAAAGTAAATAAAATAAAATCTGAGGATACAGTGGCACATAAGAAAGAGAAGATCCATACCTCTATAGAGTTAAATTCCAGTAGGAAGAGACAGGTAATAAATAAGTAAACATGTAAGCCAGATAAAACAAGTAAGCACATGAACCACAAGGGCATTCTGGTTATGAGCTCTGAAGAAAAAGAAAACAGACTAAGGATACAGATAAGGTTTGTGGGGGTGTTCTTTAGATAAGGACACTGGGGAGTAATATTGGGACCAGAGTTACACGTATGAATTACTCCTTGACACTTGAGTTTGAGTGGTGTCACATTTTTATTTTCATGGATTCAATAAGAAGAGTTTAAGCCCCCACATGCCTGCCATGCTGTTGGGAAGTTGATGATTAGCAATTTTAGTTATCTTCCCGTTTTCGAGACTGTGCAGTACCAGGGGGCTCATACCATCTCTCAGCCTTTGCATGTCTCTGCTGCCCTTGCTCCTTATGACCACACGATGTCAGTGTCGGGGAGCCAGTGTCCTCGTTGGTGCCTCCTCTAATTACCCGGAGGTCAGCCTGACCGGCAATATATTGGGGACAGTTAGGGTAGAGGAGGTGTAGCGGGCAGGGGTCCTTCCATGGAAGGCGGCTCTGCAGTAGCTCCATTTGGTCTGGGGAAATTCAACCCTTCTCCTGCAGGCTCCCAACCCTGGTGCTCAGACTGTGCCCCTTTCAAGGTTTGGCCGTCTCAATGGGACTGGTATGAGCAGACTCAGTTCTCTGTCCCCAAGGAAAAATAAATTCTTGTTTTTTCAAATTCCTGGAAATCTACTTGATTTTCCCCTTTCAACCCACAATTAGAATTAAGAACTAAGTGTGCATTTTCCGTATAAAACATCTTGACCCCTAGAAACCCAAAGGCTTGACTAATTTTGCAAGGGAAGGGTATATTAATGTTTATTTCTTCCTGAGTTGTCTATAGCAGCAAATAATAAGATCAAGTTAAAACAAAATTAGTTAAATTTCTTCATAGCTCATTTTGTTATATTATGTTCTCCATTATCACTGCTGGTTGTTATTATTAATATTGTTAAACATTAATGGCCAGGTGCAGTGGTTCATGCCTGTAATCCTAGCCTTTTGGGAGGCTGATGTGAGTGGATAGCTTGAGGCCAGGAGTTCAAGACCATCCTGGGTAACATGGTGAAACCCTGTCTCTACAAAAAAGTTTAAAAAAAAATTAGTTGGGCATGGGGGCACACCTGTAGTCCTAGCTACTTGGGAGGCTGAGGTGGGAAGATTGCTTGAGCCCAGGATTTTAAGGTTGCAGTGAGTTATGATCATGGCACTATACTCCAGCCTGGGTGACAGAATGAGACCTTGCCTTTAAAAAAGTAAAATAAAGGAAGTGGAGACAATGACAGAATACCAACTTGTCATCCAGCACATGTGGCATTTAGCAGCTATTTAAGCAGACGGAAGGTACATTAGTGGATCATTAACATTCACTTTGGCTTTCAACTTTTCAGGCCAGAAACACAAATTTATCTTGCATTCCAGCAAGATTAGGCTGATCTGCAATAACTGCACTCAGAAAACACTGATTAATTTGATTGCTGGATTCATTAATTTCCCGAAGAAATCTAATGGCCAAGTGACTGGAATAGTCTAGCTAGCTATTCAAAACATTTTTCATCCTTCAACAAAGTCTACATGGGAAGCCAAAGTAAGATCTTAAACTAGGTATAATGCAATAGAATAGTAGAAACTGGATAAAGATAATGGGCAGGATAATCTAACATAATATGCCCACTTTCTGCTTTGACATGCCTCTTACATGGGCAAAAATATATACATTCCTGGCAGGAAACTTCTTCCCTAGTTAAGAACTAGACGTCCTTTTGATTTTCCTTTATTGTGAGCAGAGGAATCATATAACCTCAGCATTGAAGAGAACGCGAATGCTGTCTATTCCACAAGCATTTCCAACACTAAAGTGTTCTGTACTGTCTTGACATCTATCCTTGTGGTTTCAGATATTTCTTAGTTTCATCAAAGGCAGACAGAGTTTGCATTCATGGTCTCTTTTCTATTTTAGAATTATTTTTAACATGATGGTGGAAAGCACAGTCTTTATTCAGTCATTTTAAAACAAGAGTCCAACAATCATCCCCTACCCCCGGTCCTGTGAGATTGAGCTTAATTATTCTGATAGTTATTTTCTTTAATCCATAACCTGTGTCTTAAGCATGGACATTTTGTTAGGAAGTCTGGTTTATTAGAGAAGATAGGTTTGAGATGATCCCCTATTATGAGTCATATTGTTTCTGGACTTCTATAGATCTTCCTCTCTCCAACACAGAATGAAGACAGAGCAGTCCAACCCAATTTAAACAACTCCTTTTATTTCACAGAGACTCATGGACTAGACCATTCTAAAGTAATGTGGATTATTAAATGTAGCATTAATTTTATGATATCATTATTACTTCCTGTATTCTTTATGTATTTACATGCCTGGTTTATTCTGATTTCTTTACCCACTTTCCCCAACAGTCTACCTGTTTTGCCCTAACCTTTAGATATCTCTAAATCTGGCTAGTCAAAATGTATTTTAATACTCTTAAACTTAAAAAAAATTACAAATGTACCCTTCTTATGTTTGCATACCATTTGAAATTGTTAACATCTGTGTTGACCAACTCTCCGAATGTTTGATTCAGTTAACTTGATCATTATTCCATAATTTTGTAAAGCTAATTTGAAAGATACATATCTTACTTTTTAGTATGATTTCCCTTCTCCTACCTTTCATTTTTAGAATAGTTATGAATTCATGGCTCTTTTTAAAGACTGAATTGGTATCAATTGCTGGCTGGTAGGTTTTCTCCTGATGCTTACCTGTCACTTCTTGGTATATGGGAGCTCTTTTCAACGTGTTTTTTTTTTTTTTTTGCTATGATTTGAGTGTGTCTCCAAAAATTCATGTGTTGGAAATGTAGTCCCCATTGCAACAGTTTTGGGAGGGAAATGAGGCCTAATGGGAGTTGTTTAGGTCATGAGAACTCTGACCTGTCAACCTAAATAACAAATGGAGAGGAAGACTCTCTAGAAGAAAATGATGTTTATTTGGGAATAGGCGTTACAATGGGAATGTGTATGTCTTCCACAGTAAATTATGTATATATTCAGGAGGTAAAGGAAGACAAAGGTTTTTAAAGGAAAAATGAGGAGGATTATATAATTGTTCTGAGATAATTATTGTTGACTACAAGGATTAATAACAAAGGTGGTGCCAGTCCAAGATTGGACAGAGAGTTGCTAGGCAGATGTCCTCTCAGAAGCATTATTATTATTATTATTTTTGAGATGGAGTTTCGCTCTTTTGCCCAGACTGGAGTGCAATGGTGTGATCTCAGCTCATCGCAACCTCTGCCTCCTGGGTTCAAGCAATTCTTCTGCCTCAGCCTCCTGAGTAGCTGAGATTACAGGCACGCATCACCATGCCCGGCTAATTTTGTATTTTTAGTAGAGATGGGGTTTCTCCATGTTGGTCAGGCTGGTCTCGAACTCCCGACCTCAGATGATCTGCCTGCCTCGGCCTCCCAAAGTGCTGGGATTACAGGCATGAGCCACCGCGCCCGGCCAGAAGCATTTTTTTTTATGTGTAAAGTTGTGATGGCTTTTGTGCAGGCTGTGGTTTTGCAAAGTCTTTTGTGATATCAAGAATTCGTGCACAAGAATCCCTCCTTCATACCCTTCCTCAGCTCTATTTGTCAGGGTTTTTAACACAAGTGACTCCATTTTGATTTTGACAATTTTCATAGCCCTCATGAATGGATTAATGCTGCTATAAAAAGTGCTTGTGGGAGTGGGTTTACCCCTTTCTGCCTTCCACCATGTGAGGACATAACAAGAAAGTCCTCACTAGATGACAGAACTTTGATCTTGGACTTTATAGACTCCAGAACTGTGAGAAACAAATTTCTGTTCTTTATAAAGTACTGAATCTCAGGTATTCTGTTATAGCAGCACAAAACAGACTAAGCTTTTTTGTCTTTTTTTTTTCTTAAATACTTGAATCATCTATGGAGGTATTCTTGTTTTCTTGTTACAACAGTCTATTCCATACTTATCTTGATTTTCTAGTATGTGGCCCAAGTTATCTGGTGATACCTTCTGTGGCAAACCAGCATAAGACCCAAGTCTGATTATTGAGTAGATTATTTCCCATGCTTCCACTGCGGGCAGGGTGACATCAACAGCTGCTTCAAATGTTCTTATGACAATCAGAGTCTTTTAGAATCATGAGTTTATTCTGATTTTTTTTTTTCTTCTTAATCGAGACAGAGTCTCACTCTGTTGTCCAGGCTGGAGTGCAGTGGCACAATTTTGGCTCACTGCAACCTCCGCCTCCCAGGTTCAAGAGATTCTCCTGCCTCAGCCTCCCAGGTAGCTGGGATTACAGGTGCATACCAGGACGCCCAGCTAATTTTTGTATTTTTAGTAGAGACTAAGTTTTGCCATATTGGCTGGTCTTGAACTCCTGACCTCAAGTGATCTGCCTGCTTGGGTCTCCCAAAATGTTGGGATTACAGCTGTGAACCACCGCGACCAGCCTTATTCTGATGTTTTTAACTTCAAATTCTTCCTTACTTTAACTCTTTCAAGTTATTTTTCTTTTTTCAAAGCAACTATTGTTTACTCTAATACAACATCCTTTCACAATCTTTGATAAGCCAATATTATTCTCAGATCAAACCATTTGCTTATTATATTCTTGTTTAAAACATTAGAAACTTGTTATTTCTTTTTAAAAACATAATTTTACTTTATCCAAGCATATTACAAAAGAATACCCATTTTGGGCTTTAGGGAGAACTGATATATTCTATAACATGGTAAAAATGCATAAGAATGCATGGGTATAGCAAATATTGTGTGTAGTATAATAAATATGTATTATGTTCCCTCCTCCTATTGTTTAAGCAACTTAAAATTGATTTTATAGAATATAGATCCAAACAGGGTTTCAGCATCATCTGAACATAACAAAAATCTCTCTGAAAATTAAAGGAAAATATAACCTCATCCAGGGTAATACTCTTTGCATAGGTTAAAATATGCCTTTTCCATATTCCCAAATGCATTTTTTATAATAATTTGCATGATTATATAAGCCAGAGATAAAACATGTGGCCATCTTTAAAAATTAAGGTCTAGACACAGCTTATTTCACCAGTAAACATTTTTCTATTTTACTTAGCAGCATCTAATAAGGAAATGTCCAAATTGAGAGATATTATGTCTTTCAGTTTTCCTATATTATATATTACTTTATATACTTTTACTGCTATATTTTTGTATTTGAAACAAAACATTTAGTATAAAAGTTGCCAAACTTAAAATTATACAGATTAACTTAAGAAACCTCATGCAGAAACTTTACTAAAATGGGAATTGTGATAGATTCTTCCCCTTCTTGATTCTGAAGCACTGTCTCAAGGTGGAACTGGCTCAAAAGACTCCCTCCATGCTCATTTCTCCCACTAGAAACTATATGTGGTATGTTTCATTTTAGGTATCTTTTTTTCCCTCCTTGATATGTTGCTTAATTCAGCCTGTCAAGATCTTACTTATCCTTGAAAGTGAAGTTTCTTGGAAAATCCATTCTGGAAAAAAATAAAAAAAATAAAAAGCCATGGCTTTAGACATGTTTTAACTCATGGTGGCAGTTTACTTTCCTCAAATAGAGTCCATCTTACTTCAGTATACTTGAAAACCATAGATCATTCTGGAGTAGACAAAGTTCATGGTTGTTGTTGTTGTTTTTTTAAATGTCTTCACAGACAAATCACACATTTAACCAGAAGCTGATAAGATTTACAGTTTTTCAACTTCTTACATATATAATTCACATATTTATTCTGGTCAAAACACGCTCTTCAAAAAATAAGTTTCACAATGCGATCCCACCTTACTCCTGTGAGAATGGCCATAATCAAAAAATAAAAAAATAGTAGATGTTGCTGTGGATATGGTGAACAGGGAACAGTTCTATATTACTGGTGGGAAAGGCAACTAGTCCAACCACTATGGAAAACAGTGTGGCGATTCCTTAAAGAACTACCATTTGATCCATCAATCCCACTACTGGGTATCTACCCAGAGGAAAAGAAGTCATTATACAAAAAACATACTTGCATACGCATGTTTAATAGCAGCACAATTCGCAATTGCAAAAATGTGGCACCAACCCAAATGCCTATCAATCAACGAGTCGATAAAGAAACTGTGATATATATATATACACACATACATATATAGACATATATATATACATATATATGTCTATATATATATGATGGAATACTACTCAGCCATAAAAACAAATGAGTTAATGGCTTTTGTAGCGACCTGGATGAGATTGGAGACTATTATTCTAAGTGAGGTAACTCAGGAATGGAAAATCAAACATCGTATGTTCTCACTCATAAGTGGAAGCTAAGCTATGAGGATGCAAGGCCTAAGAATGACACAATGGACTTTGGGGACTCAGGGGGACAGGGAGGGAAGGGGGCGAGGGATAAAAGTCTACAAATACGGTGCAGTGTATACTACTTAGGTGATGGGTACCCCAAAATCTCACAAATCACCACTAAAGAACTTACTCATGTAACAAAACACCACCTGTTCCCCAATAACCTATGGAAATAAACAAAAATAAGTTTCAAAAATAAGTTTCTTATGTTTATGAATGGAAACTTCACGTCCCTAATTAAGTATTTTATAACATTTGCTTAGAAGACATCTGTTCAAGCAACTATATTTTGGAGACACTGTCACATAATTTTGAGGTCAGAATACATCTCCTCTCCCCTTACTCCTCACTTCTGGAAGACATTCCTTTCCACCATGGATGGAAAGATTAAACATTTACATTTCAAACAGAATATCAGAGTTAAAATTATCAATTTACAACCAGCAAAGGAATAAGTACTTACAATTTCAATGTTTTGACTTGTTTCCAGTCTTTTATTTGCCATTCCTTTAGAGATAGTTGGTGAATTTGGAGAATATACATATCTCTATTGTCACTCTCTTTCATGTCGAAAACCTTGACTTCTATCCAATTTCTTTTGCTAAATTAAGATTCTTCATTATTTCAGATCTTCTTCATTTTAAAGTTGACATTTTACATGCCAACTTTATGTAAAATGTGCAGGAATATTTTACATAAAGTAGAAACTATTACTTCTTTAATTTGATAGAATTTGTTTTTAAAATTTGCAGAACATGACGTATGCGGTAGCTCACACCTGTAATCCCAGCACTTTGGGAGGCCGAGGCGGGTGGATCACCTGAAGTCAGGAGTTTGAGACTAGCCTGGCCAATATGGTGAAACTCTGTCTCTACTAAAAATATATTTTAAAAAATTAGCTTGGCATGGTGGCACGTGCCTGTAGTCTCAGCTACTCTGGAGGCTGAGGCAGGAGAATCACATGAACCCGGGAGGTGGAGGTTGCAGTGAGCAGAGGTTGCACCATTACACTCCAGCCTGGGCAACAAGAGCGAAGCTCCATCTCAAAAAAAAAAAAAAAAAAAAAGTCATTTTTTTCTTTATATCATTTTGGTTTTTATTCTTTCGTTTTTCTTTTTTAGCTATGTATAGACACATGCATAGCCCAGGAAATTTTTACCATAAAGAGTTAGGCAATCAGCATAGGAGCTAATATCATTAAAAAAAGTACAACATCCACAATAATAAAATTTCATGCAGCTATAAAAAATGATTTAAACTGATTTTAATAATGTGAGAAAATTCTAATAATATAAAGGTTACAAAACCAGAAAACAAAATAATTTACATAGTATGATTCCAACTATGTTTTAAAATTAAAATGTGCATAAGAGGAAAAAGACTGGATCAAAATGTTAATAGTGATGAGGGTTTAGGTCACATACTTTCTTCTTTATATTTTTTTCTTAATTTCCAAATCAGGTTATGTTTACAATGAGTACATATTCCTTTTATAAACAGTAAAGAGTAAATATCAAAAAATGTTCAGAAACATTGAAAAATAGACCCAAGCAAATAAAAGCTGTCAGAAGTGAAAATGAAATTTATGAGCATAAAGTAGTAGAGAAAGGAAGATTGAGGCAATTCTATGCTGACATATGGAGAATTCAGAGAAGAGTTGAAGAGACTCAATTTAGTAAAAATGCTTCATTTGACTTATAGAGAATCGTGTCTTGAGACTGTAAATTTTATCCTTCCAGCATCCACATCAGGTTCTGTCAGACTGTGCTGAGAAGCAAGAAAAAAAAAGAAAAAAGAAAGAGAGAGAGAGAGAGATTGAGAGAGAGAGAGACAGCCCCTGAGTTGCTGCAGTCAGTCATTCCTCCCCTGACAGAGCTTCACAATGGCGTGCTCCTCCATTCCAGCTGAGCGGGCTCATCCCAATCACGTCAGCGCCAGCACATGCAGGAAAATAAAACTGTAGGCATTTGAGTTACTCATAGGGAGCTAAGGTTAAATAAAGAGGTGACAGGGTAGAGGCGGTGGTGATGGTATGAATCCTAAGCCCTGGCTTTCAAGGCATACGTACTTATGCTTCTCAGAGTATCTTTAAACCGGAGATGTGACTGTGAACAGACAGAATCAAAAGACAGGAGTCCTCACCAGGGGAAAACAAGGTGAGGTGACTACACTCTATGTTAATTACCAACTTCTTATGTATGCAGTGTCCCAGCCTATATAATCACCAGCCTCTCGTATACGCAGTGTCTTGTATTTACAGCAGCATCTCAAAAAGCAAGCTTGCCATCTTCCATCCAATTTCCCTTTTTCTTCCTTACTTCAGCTAACCCTATCTCCATTGTCCCAATTCCCAGTGCTTCCTTTCTCCCCATCTCAATTATCTCCCATGTGCAATTAGTCAACAAATCTTGAAGATGCTAGGTATACATTTCACAAATCCATTCTTTCATTTCTGTTTCATTGCCACTATCCTAGCATAGAATCTCATTGATTCTCATATGGGCTCCTGAAATTCTCTCTTAAATGTTTGTACTTCAATCTATTTTATATGCTCAGTTGGTCAGAATGCTATTCCTGATTTTTAAAACCATATGATCTTCTCTTCCTTTTAGTCAAAGTAGCATTCTTGTATGACATTTGTTATTATATATTCTGTTTGTGCAATTGTTCCATTCTTCACTGTATTGTAAGCTCCCTGAGGGTAAGGACATACTGAGTTTATCTTTCAGAAATTCACAATGCTACATGTATATTCAGAAATCACAAAATGCTTGTTCCATTTCATAGTGGGCCCTTGGTATATAACTTAGCATCCCCTCTCCTCTCCCCTGAGTAAGAAGAAGCTCCTTCCAAAAGCATGCCTTAGGTAAAAGAAATGGAATTGGTGTGTCCTCTTTGAACCATAAAATCTACCTCTGTAGCCTCTGTTTCTCCCCAAATCACCAATTAGTGACAGAAATTCATTAATTCCCAGTCCATCCAAAATAGGCTGAGCTCATCATCCTTCTTTCATAATTGCCTGTTTGCTGGTAGGTTGTTAGTACCTCCATCTTTGTTGGGGATTGATGCCTATGAAGTGTTTTCTACTAGGCACAAGTAGATGTCCCTCTTGTACTTTGACAGACACAAGTTCCTGACTGCACCCAAATCTGAGATGACTGCTGTCAGACTGTCGCCACCACCCAGATTGCTCTGCTTACTTTCCTGGAAGCAATTTGCTCTGTCACTAGGAATCTGTGTTCCTCAAGCTTTCTGCCACTCTACCATTGCCAGTGCTTTGATATTCTGCTATAGAGAGGGGCCTTCTGCCCTTGCTCCAACTAGGTTTGGGGATGAATGCAAGATTTCAAAGGGGAAATCTTGCTGATCTCACAATGTCTCTGAAAGCTCTCAGCTCTTTCAAACATTCTATTTCAAAAGAAAGTTCTCATGTTTTAGGATTTCTCTTCTGAGTTTCTCAAACTCAGCTTGCAACATTTCTATCAAGGGAAGGGCTGAAATCTTGATCTTTTCTCTAAATCAGTGGGTTGGGGGATCTAAGAGAATACTTCAAGCAGACTCATTTTGACGTTTAAGCATTAATTACCCAGCCAGACTGTTAAATACATTGGACTTTATGATAGTGAGAGGTTTGTTCTTCTAATCCTTTTCAACTAGCTGCTAACTTGGCTCTCGACTTCCAAGGTTTATAAACAAGTGAGCCTCAAATATATGGACATGACCATCCACCCTTTATTTCTTCCTGAAATACAGACACAATAAAACCCACACATTTTGCCTAGCAGATTTCAGGTTATACTAATGAGAGGAAAGTAAATAGAAAAAAACAACATTCTAACTCACATTGAACAAAAATCAACTTAAAGCTTACTTGAAGATGGCAGAATACTAAAACTGTAAGGATAATAGAAATACCTAAAACAGGGGAAAAACTTCAAAAACAAGAAGTAACTACAGGCAAAAATTAAAAATAAATATAATAAATTAAAAAGCTTAATAGCATGTTTTAGTCTGTTGTGGTTACTATAAGAAAATACAATAAACTGAGTAGCTTATAAACAACGGAAATTTATTTCTCATACTTCTGGAGACTGGGAAGTCCAAAATCAAGATGCTGGCAGATCCAGCATCTGGTAAGGGTCTGCTCTCTAGTTCACAGATGGTGCTTTTTCTCTATGTCTTCACATGGTAGAAGGGCTGTGGACTCTCTCTTAGGCCTTTCTTATAAGGACATTAATCCCTTTAATTCTCATGATCTAATCTCTAATCACCTCCCAAAGGTGCCACCTTGTAATATCATCACCTTGTCTGTTAAGATTTCAACATATGAGTTTTTGGGGGACACAAACATTCAGATCATAGCACAACTTCAACAAAGAGCAAAGCTACAAAAGCCAAACCCTAGAGGGAATCTCCGCAGTGTGGTAAACACTCACTTAGCAGATTGACTTTTCAGCACTGATTAAAGGAGCAGCCACATATATTCAAATAGAATTATGCTGTACTTTACTGATCCTTGCTCGCTGATTCACAGCGAACTGACCCAGCACTATGCACTCCATCTAAACTAGGTCAATTACCCTCTTTTCTCTAGACCAGTTGTTCTCAACTGCAGGCATACCCTCCACCACCGACCCCAGGGGGGACATTTACCAATGTCTGGAGACACTTTTTAGTGTCACAACTGGCACCTAGTAGACAGACATCGGGGATGTTGTTAAACGTCTTACAATGCACATGATAGTACCTTACAACAAATAATTAGCCTATCCAAAATGTCAATATTGCCAAGATTGGTAAACCTCAACATTTGATTGATGCCTGATGTGACCATTAAACAGACTATTTCTTACATGGGTATCTATAGTTAAGAATTGGTGAAAGATATTCTGCTAGTATGTGATGAAGGGTGAGATGGGGGAGCTTTAAGTTTTACCACTTCTTTTTCTTTTTTTTTTTTTTTAGTTTTACTTATTTTTTAAGTTAGAAGATATTGCCTAGAATTCATAAAAACATTGCAATGATACAGGTTGTAATTCCGGATAAATTGTTTGGTAAAGAGAAAGTTGAGTTTATTATTTTTTTCTTAGTTAGTAATAAACTTATTCTATGCCTCTTTCTCTACAGTACTCAATATAAGAGACTGTGCTGAAGCATTAATGTAACAATATTTATTGTTAGTCAGGATGAATCCCTCACTCACTCTGGAGTCCTGTAATACAGAACAAGCTATTTCTGTTGTGAAGACTCTACAATTCATGCTTCTGCATATGATCCATAATGGAAAAAGATCCAAGTTAATTTAGGATGACCTTCTACCTTGCCAATGATAGCACATCAGACAAACTCCAGGAATGTGTAGAAATATTCTCACAAGGATGTGGTGAAATTTTGTTTTTTGTTTTATTTTCCAAAATACTAGTACTCATTATCAGAACACCTTTCTGTGTCTGTGGTATAATAGAACAGGGTTCTGGAATGTTCCCCCAAAAAGGCACCAGTGAACATATACCATCAGAGCCACCAGCAAAGCAAAATAAAAGGGAGTGAAAGCTTATAAGATTATTTGCAAAGAGTAATTTTTAGGGTAAGACACAAAAGGGTAGGAGTACGTATATATCTGTGTATTTTTCAGAGATATCTTAAAAATTAGTTTTTTAGAGGGTTTAATTTTGTATTTTTAAAAAAATTATAAAAATTTTGTCATTCGTAAGTTATTTACATATATATGCTGCTATCAAATGCACTTGTCACCTGTAGAGAACAACTGATGCCAACACGAAGTTAATAGCAATAGTAAGTGAAAATAGAAAACTGTCACATGGTAGTGTTATTAAGGGGTCTCACCATATCACCATGTCATTAATTTTAATATGGATTTTAATATTTAATATGATACAAATTAGCTTTAACTGTGATTTTCTGCTTTTGATTTAGGTGTGATTAAACAGAAAGGGGGAAGAAACATAGTGTGGATCCGGTGCAGACACACATCATCCCCACAGCGGGAAGTTAAAAAGGGGTTTAATGATGTAGAAAAGGGCATTCAGGTCAGTGCATGCTGACCAGGCTTGTCAGCAGTTTGTCTGAAAGGAACAAGGAGGATTTAAAGTCACAGAGACTCATGTCGGCTTAAGAGTCATGCCTCTCACGAACATCATTGTTATGCAAAGGGCACCTGTACAGCCAAGTCACTGTCCATAGTGCCTGGTTTGGTGATTTGTTCAGTGTAGGCAGGACAAAGCGGAGGGGGCAGAGAAGGCTTCTGCGACAGGGAAAAGTACTAAAATGCTTAGGAGAAGCTGGGTGGTACCTGGGGCCCCTTAAGAGTGATTTGAGGAGGTAGATATACCTCTGGAACAGATTAAGCACTGGCAAAGGCTTATAGATCATTAGGGCTGTTGAATGTTTCCATAAATTTTGTTTCTGTTTAATTTAATACCCCAGAAGGTGGTCAAGAGGGGATATTCAGAGACTCCTGAAAAAAACAGAAGTGAGTCTTGAATATTTTGTTCAACTCTAATGGGTTAAAGAAAAGCCAAACAAATCACTATTCTCATGGTATGGATGGCAGCTGAGTTGTATATAGGAACTCTCCCAGTGTACATTTCAAACATTACAGTAATTCAAAGCTTATTGCAGACATGTTATCAAAGTTAACAAGAACTATTAGAAAGAATAGAGGTAGGCCGGACATGGTGGCTCACGCCTGTAAACCCAGTATTTTGGGAGGCTGAGGTGGGCGGATCACCTGAGGTCAGGGGTTCGAGACCAGTCTGGCCTACATGGTGAAACCACATCTCTACTAAAAATACAAAAATTAGCTGGGCAAGTTGGTGGGCACCTGTAATCCCAGCTACTTGGGAGGCTGAGGCAGAAGAGCCACTTGAACCTGGGAGGCAGATGTTACAGTGAGCCGAGATTGTGCCACTGCACTCCAGCCTGGGTGACAGAGCAAGACTCCATCTCAAAAAAGAAAAAGAAAAAAAAATAGAGTTAAACACAGGACAAAGAAAGCATTTTTCTGGTCAGGTAATGGGCATCAACATGTCCTGTGGACTTCGATTATCTGAGGTTGGGGGTTGGGGATTGAGGTGGCTAACACGATCTACAGTGGGAAGCTCTTGGGCATATGGGCAAAACCTTAGACAGCTACCTCATGGACTCTTTAATCTTCCCTGAAGTTTACAGAAGCTAAGGCTTTTCTGGAAAATAAGGGGAGACTCCTCATATCTTTTAATATGGCTCTGAGCCAGCATTATGTGGGTCCTGGGCCAGCTCTCAAAACAACAGCCCTGAGCAGATAAGGAAAATAAAACACAAGACACTGACCACTTTCAGTATGTTATGCTTCCATTCATCCTTATGGCCCTATATAAGCTTTAATTTTTACCAGAAAGAGAGCTGCCTCTATCACCCCTCTAATGGAGCCTCCTCTCCATCCAAATACTGTGCTATTTGGCCTGCAGTTGAGGGGTTATCTAGCAGGCCGCGCCTTCCAGGGAGGGAAGGGTCTGTCAGGAGCTACTTCCTAGATGGCTTCGCAGTGATCAAAGGAACCAGGGCTGCCTTTGAGTTCAGTGATTGTTGCCCTCCATCCCCCTATGGCTGTAAGAGACTACAACCCTGGAAAACAATCACCTTTGAACAACATTGGAATGGAACTCGGATCAGATCTTGCCATGTGGACAGCCTCGGGTTTTTGGTATATTGCTCATTGCTCATTTGGGTGGCACAGTTACAAAAAAGGACAAAAATGATCAGGAAGCGACAACCCCGAATTTGGGTCTTTTCCGTGTGTACAACTTAACTATTGCCTCTGGAACGACAAGAGGCAGCATATGGATTTTTGCTTTTGTGGGGATGGTTTTACAAGTAATTCCAGTAGGTTACTCTGCTACGGTGCTTGACAGCAGCACCCTGGAGGGCCATACCCCTTCCTCCTTGCTTCCCTGAATATTTGAGATGTGCACAGCCTGCCGAGCAGGTGTGTAAGACTCATTCTCAGGCGGTACTTGTCAGCAGAGGGCTTTTTAGACCCATCAGGAGGATATCTTGCAGGGGCTCTTAGTGGTATTGTGTTTCCAAAAAGAAGGGTGATGGAGTGGGGGTACATCTGTTGAGCCAACAGTTATAATTAGTCATGGTAGATTTTAAAAAGAGCTGTGTATTTAGAATTCACATTTATGATGTGGTCTCTCTTGTTCTGGCAAGATACATTCTGAATTATGTAAAGGATTCTGAGATTCTGGATGTGCTGAATGTGGAAAAGCATTGTTCAATTACATTCTTATCATGGGCCCTGTTCATTACACATCCACAATCACCATGTCCACAGTGTCCGTGGAAATTGGGTTTTCACATAATTTTCCACAGCTGTTTTCTAATTTGATACCCTTAAATGACACTGTAACTCCCTGTATGATGACTGCCAGAACCTAAAGCCCCCAGGCAATTTTCTAAAGAAACATTGATAATAAATATTGGGGTGGTAGCCCGATAAATAGCATCTCTGTTCCCTAATAAAGTTGGAATAGAAGTATGTGGCAACAGTAGACTTCCCAATCCTGAACTCCTCTGGTATCAGAGAGATTTGCCAAGTTATAGTCTGACCTGAAAAACCAGAGTCAAGCAGCCATCAGCACTACCGCTCTGTAGATAGGAAGATTCCCAGAGGGAGAGAAAGAGGGCAGGAGGACAGGGCTGGGCCACACACACCCAGTTCCCCTTTCAAGTCAGGCAATTCACTTGAGAGGCATAAGACCTAGGGTCAGAGGGTTTAGGGAAAAATCCTTCTCATGAAAGCAATAGGTACTGCAAAGGAGCCTTCCTCTACTAACACTATTTTCTCAATTTTCCAGAAATTTCTTTTCCCCAGCTCAAAATAGCTTTGTCCTAAATTAGATGATCCAGAAACAAAGGACTGAGTCATGATAGGCTGTATATCAAACTGTTAACAATGACACACTTGTGTAAAACTTTTTAATTTGTTTTGTTCTTTTTTTTTTTTTTTTTTCAGAGACGGATTCTCACTCTGTCGCCTAGGCTGGAGTGCAGTGGCCGATCTCGGCTCACTGAAACCTCCGCCTCCCGGGTTCAAGCGATTCTGGTGCCTCAGCCTCCTGAGTAGCTGGGATTACAGGCCAGTGCCACCATGCCTGGCTAACTTTTTTGTATTTTTAGTAGAGATGGGGTTTTGCCATGTTGGCCAGGATGTTCTCGAACTCCTGACCTCAGGTGATCCGCCTGTCTCAGCCTCCCAAAGTGCTGGGATTACAGGCATGAGCCAACTCGCCTGGCTTGTTTTGTTCTTTTTACTTACTTTGGCTCATCTGTCACAGAAGTCCTCTGCTAAACAAAGATGTTTGTGGATGTTTCTTCCCTGAGCAATAATTAAACAAAGTTTTTCAAATTGTCAAAATCATTCTAGCATTCTGGGGGATGCCCTTAACCTTGATGATGGACTTTCCAGCTACTAACTTGGGGCTTTATGACTCAGAAACTTGACATGTTCCCAAGGTAACATTAACTTCTGGGTTTGTTTATTAACCGTCCTAAGAAAAGGTCTCACTCTCTGCTGTTAGGAATACATGTTTTGATAATGACGGTGGTCCTACACACACTCAAGCAAGCCATAAATACCCAGGAGGGCATATACTGTGGTGAAAGATGAAGGCCTTTTTTCTGAACTGGACAAGTATCCTCAGCATTTTTCCAGCAAGCCATTATCATTACCGTCATCTATGCATTGACAATAGGATATATTAGCCATCGCTAAAGTGGGGTGCACAATCTCAGGGGCTACTCAGGACAGCCTTTTGAAATTTCCATTTTGATGATGAGATACCTGGTACAACTTCTCAGCACATTACAATGTCTGCCAAAATAGTGTCAGGACACCTCAGTCAATAGAACAGAAAAAACACCAAGTGCTTCTGAACAGGGATGTCATCATAAAGCTTCTAGAAAGTTTCTGCGCTAGGTTGCTGGGAAAGTCGCCAGACTGGGCTGCCTCAAAAGTCTCTGATACTTTGCCTTAAAGTCTCTAGGCCCTCTGTGGCTAAAACAAAGACGGGGACAAGCCATTAAAGGATAATTTAGTTCTAAGTAGCCATTAAAAGATAATTTTCATAAACAGGTAAGATCAGTACTCTTATACAGATATAAGAATAAACATGAGTTAAAGTTTTTATTTAACTAATTCATGAGGAAAGCAGTGAAGTATTACAACCAGGTGAAAGGAGAATCCCAAGGACAGACACATTTATAGATCCGGAATATTAAAATGACTGTGCAAATACAGCCAGATGGGGTTTTTTTTGTTGTTGTTGTTGTTTTACCGGACAGCATTCATTTGCATATCTATAGACAAGAATGATTTAGCATTGCTGCCAGTTATCTACACTTTATAGAGCTGCAAAACAGCTCCCACAGAATTGGAATCAGACAAGTCAGGTGTGCTCTGGAATGACAACACGTAATTTTCAAATTAAGCACAATTTTTTCCTTATAGTCCCCCCACTTTTTATTACAAAGAACCTCAAAGATTCTTGATGACAAAATGAGTATGGTCTTATTAGATTCGGCCTGGTTCTTTAAACAGGTGCAGCAAGACTGTTAACCATATGGGCCTTCTTTAAGTTTTTTCCGCTAGAGGTTCTCTAAGAAATCTCAGCTTGATCTTTTACAAGCTTCTATTCATTTGCTGTCTTGAAGCTAAGATGGTAAGTCCAAGGAAATTTCTCCATAAGATTTCATCTGTAGTATCTATACATTTTGGCCTAATTCCTTTCTTCTTGAATCTTCCTTCCTTCCTTCCTTTGCCATGTTGGCCAGGCTCGTCTCGAACTCCTGACCTCAGGTGATCCACTCGTTTCAGCCACCCAAAGTACTGGAATTATAGGCATGAGCCACCGTGACCAGCCTCTTCTTGAATTTTTCAAAACCTCTCAAGGCTCTTGGCCTGCCACGAAAGTGACCTCCCTTACCACCTCCAAGGCTGGATCCTGGATAAATCCAGGTACCAGGACGGTTTTCCTTGGACAGATTTGCCAGCACTGGCTCCATCAAATCAACCTTAGTTTCCTAAAAGGGGCTGATCATGCACAGGCTATGGCTTCCCTGGGCTGGCAGGAAGCTCCTCTGCAGCTGCTGTTCACAGAGCTGCAGCCTGGTGGCCACTGATGCCAAAGACTGGGTACTTGGAGCCACTGGTGCGCTGGTCAGCAGAGGGCGTGCTCCCTGCCACCTGGGCGGAGAGGACTGGGGAGGATGAAGTAGGGTGAGGTTGGTGGGCTTACTACCTTAATGCTAACTCTCACAGCTGTTTGGAGATGAGCCCACCACCACCTGCCCCTGCTTGTCTCAAATCTTTTCTAAAAAGGACAAAAGAGGCTCACCAGTTGTTCCTCGTGTTCCTGGTTACAAATTATTTGGCAAAGTTTATCCCAGAGATTATCTTTAGAAAACTTTCAAAAATAATTTAGCAAAAGTATGAAGCACAAACAGAAGGACCTGTCAACCACCATGTCAGGCTTCAAGACATAAGAATTTCGAATCTGAACCATTTTTACCTGTACTCTGATTTCCAGGTATGAGCCATCATATGATTGATTACTGCTTTTATGTTCTGCTTAAGAAATCTTTGCCCACTCCAAGGAAATCTTGTCAAATCATTAGAAGAAGCTTTAGGTCACCAACAAGAATGTGGGACTGTGAATCAGTCTCAAAATCAAGAAATTAAAGCAGTCAAAAAAAAGAAAGAGAGAGAAGGAAAGAAAGAAAAAAAGAAAGAAGGAAAGACAGAAAAAAGAAAGAAGGAAAGAAAGAAAACAGTAATTTAAACAGGAAGAAAATATTGCCAGTTGCAGTGGTTATTTGGACCAGTGAAAAATAAGGCATAGTAGGAGAAAAGGTAAATTATGTTCAGGGGTTGCCCCCTAGTGTTCCTGGGCAAATTTGTAGTCTCACTGTAGGAAATGAATGGATTATCATTCCTGACCTTTATGAACTAGTCCTCTCAAGAGGAAAGGAGTGGTGAAAAAACTTTGGTGAAACAAGTTCTCTCTGAACACATCATTCTCTCTGATAGAGAAGGTGTACCTGTTGGCGATCCTGGTGCTGGTCTGGAATTAAGCTGGACAGATCCTATGCATTGCCATCTCTCTACCTACATCTTTTAGAAGAGTGGCCATTTCATGATGTTTTACATAGTATGGTAGCAGCATATTTATGTTACAGTCCTGATGTTAGTTATGTCCAAGGATGCATGTCATTGTGGTAATGCTCATTCTCAATTTGGAAGAGACCAATGCCTTCACTGCATTTGCAAAGATCTCATAAATAAGTCACGCCAGTTGGTCTTCTGTGTGGATCACAGCAAGGTGTTAAGATATTTTGCAACGTTTGAAGTATTCTCTGAAGACAATTTCTTCAGATTGTTTCTTCAAGTCTTATGGCCTTACACCAGGCACATGCTTAATAGATAGGATCTTCACACTGTATCATAAATCACTACTCTACTTGATCTGTTCTATCCAGTCTGAGATGTTTTACAGAGACAGGAAGAAATTTTTATTTAGAACTGGACTAGGAACCCTTCATCTGTATGAAGATAGTTTCCTACAGATGGACTTGATTCATATTGCACCTTGTCTAACTAAACGGGCAGAGGCTATCATATCAGAAAAGCTGTTTAGCTGTATTGCAGTCACCTGGACACAGAAGAGTACCAAGAAATGGCCCTAGGTCTTTGTGTCTGTAATGAAGCATATTAAAGAAGGAGATAAGGATATTTTTAAAATGTAGCATATTTAAAGTATTAGAAGTTCAAATCCATTATTTTCTGGGAATTTTAAGAATATTCTTTTTATATAAGTGCTTATTTATCTCTATCAGCCAATCAGAAAAGAGCCTCTTTAAAAAGAGATTGATAATCTAATTTATTAGTATTATCTAGAGGTAGGAAAATTTTACATACTTACACTGTGAAAGGTAAAGATCTTTCTAAATTATGGACACATAGACAAACAGAGACAAAGAAATCTTATACTTCAATTAAAAATTCCATCATGGGTTAAGGGTAATAAAGAAACCCCAAAACTCACCAGTCTCAGTATGAAAGATTTGTTCTCCTTCCCAGTGAGCCCAGGATTCTTAATTCATTTGGGCTTAAAGTAGACAAATAGACAAACAAAAAGAACTAATAATCCAGATTCTCCATTTTCTCTCACACAAAAGAGAATATGTCTCTATAAGTCATTCATCTATTTATAGAGATCACCAAATGGTCAGACTATGAAACCCAATTCTCAATCATTGCTGCTGCTAATGATTATTGCCTACAAATGAACCAAAACCAAAACACAAAATTAGTAAAGAGAAAAATTAAAATTACAAAAATAGCAAAGATGCATGTGTAAATTGAGCCCAAACTCGTTTTTATTTGGGGGTGGGGTGGGGTAGGGAGGTAAGAGGGAATGGTGTTTTGCATTGCCGTTATTTACAGCTTAGAGTTGTAAAAGAGCTCCCATAGAAACAGAAACAGATAATAGGAAGTGTGGGCTATTGACAATGCATGGTTTTATTGAAGCTCAAAATCTACTCTACATAAGGTAATCCTTAAGGTTGGGATGCTGATGCCATTTTCAGTGTTACAAAGCTACGGTCCTAACTGGGCCTGCCTGTAATCCACTCACTTCTGAGCCCCAGCACACGACTCTAGGATTCTGTTTACAACTCTTCTCCAACCCCAACTAGCCCACGACTTTCATCCAATCAGGACAGGCACCCTCTCGTAGCACTCACAGTATCACCAGTCAGGCCACACACAACGGGGAGAAAAAAATCAACCCTCTTTCCATGTTTTTGAAATCCAGATGTGAAGAGCTAAAAATAATTTTTTAAAACTTGAATTTGTTTAAAATCTCCCTAACTGTAGTTTCCAATGTAAAAAGCAAAGCAAAGCGAAGCGAAGTAAAACAAACCAAAAACCCACTCACAAATCCAAAGGGATTTTCTTGAACTGTTTCAACAAGAAAAACAGCAGGCTCTTCCTACTTTTCTGAAGCTCCTAAATAAAATTTTTTTCTGACTCAGAGTTATAGTGAATTGCTCAACTTTATTTCCCAATGTAAAAAAAGGAAAAGAGAAATCCTCACAAAAATACTGCAGTAAGGCCGGGCCCGGTGGCTCACGCCTGTAATCCCAGCACTTTGGGAGGCCGAGGCGGGCGGATCACGAGGTCAGGAGATCGAGACCATCCTGGGTAACACGGTGAAACCCCGTCTCTACTAAAAATACAAAATATTAGCCAGGCGTGGTGTGGGGCGCCTGTAGTCCCAGCTACTGGGGAGGCTGAGGCAGGAGAATGGCGTGAACCCGGGAGGCGGAGCTTGCAGTGAGCCGAGATCGCGCCACTGCACTCCAGCCTGGGTGACAGAGCAAGACTCCGTCTCAAAAAAAAAAAAAAAATACTGTAATAAACTGTTAATGAGGAGGACAGAAAGAAAAAAGAAGGCAGTCTATCATTCACATGTCTAAAATAGTGCTCGGAAAAGGTGGAGATGCTCCCTTCTCCGAGAGCTTTAAAATGAAACTTTAAGGGCACAATGTGGTGCTCTAGAAGGTATGACATGATATTAAAATGAGTTCCCTCTGTCTTAGATGCAGCTGCAGCCCAGAAGCAAAATAAATAACAGAAGGTGGCAAGCCCCCTACTTCAAGGTGGAGTGTTGGACTACCAAGGCAGGACCAGCAAAGGTTTTGTGAGCTACAGGTCAGTATCCATTCCTCAATCCCTCATGGTTTGAGGTTGAAGAACTGAGGGAGTGGCTGGGTGCGGCGGCTCATGCTTGTAATCCCAGCACTTTGGGAGGCCTAGGCGGGCAAATTACTAGAGGTCAAGAGTTTGAGATGAGCCTGGCCAACATGGTGAAACCTTGGCTCTACTAAATAAAATACAAAAATTAGCTGGGTGTGAGGGCAGGCGCCTGTAATCCCAGCTACTCAGGAGGCTGAGGCAGGAGAACTGCTTGAACCTGGGAGATGGAGGTTGCAATGAGCTGAGATCGTGCCACTGCACTCCAGCCTGGGCAACAGAGCGAGATTCTGTCTTTAAAAAAAAAAAAAAAAAAAAAAAAGAACTCCAGAAGAGAGACTCTGGAAAAAAAAGGTTGAGGCACTGTGGCACTTTTTTCTTCCACCTTCTTACCTTGTGGAAGGTTGGAAGTGGTGAGCTCCTCCTCACCCTAAGTCTCGTGAGATGGGGCTTTAAAAGATCAGCTGGAAAAGCTGGAAAACGATGTCTGTAGAATTGACAGGCCCAAAGTGACTGGTCTTTGCCCCATGCTGGAGAATATTAAAGGCAAAGGCAAAGATTAAAAGTAGGGCTGGAGCGTGTATTTCTTGTGAACCAGATAGGGGAAGGGAAAATATAAACATGAAGATTGTTTTCCAGGAGATCCCACTTCAGTAAGTCGGCTTCCTCCTAAAGGGTGCTAGGCAGCAGGGGGTTAGAATCAAACGCAGAAACGTATGGAGTAAGTGGCCAGCAGGAGGGTCTGTTACAGACCAATGTGTTCAGTGGAGCCATCTGTAAGGGCCCCACATAAGTGTCCTGTGTGAGGAGTCCATAGTAAGCATCTGCAAAGATCATGGAACACTACCAGCAAGTACTACTGTTCCCCTGAACTGAGGCCTTTTCTCCTTTCTCGCTCTTTCCTTCTCCCACCTCTACCCCAAACCCTGTCAGATCCATACCCCAGAGAAAGTAGGGGAGGAGAAGTAGAAGGATTAGGCTGGAAAACAAAGAAGCTAGCTGTGCCAATGCCTACCCACACCCCCACCCCTGCCCCTTCCCCTGCCCCTGCCTCCTTCTCTTGAGTTCAGGCTTCCTGAATGAACCTCTGAGTATATTCAGCTTCCAGCCTGAATCGGCTTGGGCTGGGGAAGGAGAGAAAGAAGAAAAATTTGCCTTAAAGTTCAGAGTTTTGACTATTATGAGACTGTTTTATGACTAAAAATGACTGGAGTACTTTTTAATTTTTCTGAGTGTCTGGAGAAGCTACAGGAACCCACCTACCTGAGGTTTTACTAAGGGGCAAGGAAGAAACTAGCCCCTGAGCAGAGGGAGCAGGTTAAAAAATAAAGTTGCCTTATGATTGCATCCTATTAAATGCCATCTGTTTTAGTCTTTTTTGTGCTGCTGTAACAGAATACCACAGACTGGGTAAATTACAGTGAAGAGAAATTTATCGGCTCAGAGTTTGGGAGGCTGGAAAGTCCAAGATCAAGGGGCCAGCTTCTGGTGAGGGCCTTCTTGCTGTGTTAACCCGTGTTGGAAGGGCAAAGACAGGGTGAGAGAGAGAGCAAATGAGGGCCAACTAAGGAACCCACTCCTGCAACAAAAACATTAATCTACTTATAAGAGAAGAACTTTTATGGCCTAATCATCTCTTGAAGATTCCACCCCTTAATCTATTACAATGGTGATTAAGTTTCCATCATGTGCTTTTGGGAGCCACACTCAAACCATAGCACTACCCTTTTAACATAATGACTATACAAGTTTGCTCCAAAGAAGACAGTCTCTTTCCTAACCTCTAGTGAACAAACTAATATCCTTCTCCGGTAACTAAACAGGACTTGAGAAACTTTTATCCTGAGGATATTTGAATCAGAAAAATACCCTGCAGTCTCTGAGAAATTTGTCAACTACAAAGGACAAAACAATCAAGCCGGAAAATAACTTTCTGACTTGAGCTTTCTAACATTGGCTTCTTTTTTTTTTTTTTTTTTTTTTTTTTGAGACAGAGTCTCACTCTGTCTCCCAGGCTGGAATGCAATGGTGCAATCTTAGCTCACTGCAACAGCGGCCTCCTGGGTTCAAGCAATTCTCTCATCTCAGCCTCCTGAGTAGCTGGGATTACAAGCGCGTGCTGCCACATCTGGCTAGCTTTTGTATTTTTAGTAGAGATAGGTTTCATCATATTGGCCAGGCTAATCTTGAACTCCTGACCTCAGGTGATCTGCCCACCTTGGCCTCTCAAAGTGCTGGGATTACAGGCGTTGGCTTCAAATTTTTAATATGTCACAGGGTTAATCAGACAGAAAGTTCTGGAGATAAGGGCTTTTTAGAGGAGAAAAATAATACCCCAATGTTGGCTCATTCAGCTGGTCAAAACCATCGAGAAAGCAAACTAGACAGAGGAAACAATGAATTCTAAAACCTTACAAGGCAGGTCTTTGTATTTTCTGAGACTTATGTCCTAGGAAGCATGCCAAAGAACCTCTCAGTGAATTCTAGAGGCTTTGCACCTTAGAGTGGCAGGTAGACACCAGCTAGAGCCCTTTTCTGCCTCTCTGCTGAGAGTGGTACTGTCCTTACCAATCTTTGATATAAGTTATGAGCTGATGAAAGAATTATCTTTAAGGACCATGTGCATGTATGATTTCAGTGTAAACTGTGCTCTTTATTTCTAAGTACAGTGAATGTTTGTGTGCATTTGCTAACGAGTAGGTGCATTATAATCAATTCCTTCTTTATAATATATTGAAGTCTCTTTTTTTTTTTTTTCTGACATGGAGTCTTGTTCTGTCATCAGGCTGGAGTGCAGTGGTGCAATCTTGGCTCACTGCAACCTCCGCCTCCTGGGTTCAAGCGATTCCCCTGCCTCAGCCTCCCGAGTAGCTGGGACTATAGGTGCCCGCCACCACACCTGGCTAATTTTTTGTATTTTAGCAGAGACTGGGTTTTATCATGTTGGCCAGGATGGTCTTGATTTCCTGACCTTGTGATTTGCCCACCTTGGTCTCCCAAAAGTTCTGGGATTACAGGGATGAGCCACTGCGCCCAGCTGAAATATCTTAAAACACACCTGAAGAAGAGGGTATTATGGAGTTACTGGTGCAGATGATACCAACATTGCTTCAAAATGAACAGAAGTAAAGCTGCCTAAATGGAATCCCTGCAGCACTACTGCGGTAGACCCTGTAGGCTGACTAGCTAATTAGGCAAGGAGTCCTTGCTGGCAGTGAAGACCACAGGCCAAAGGCAGGGAATGGAGCTGTGGGGCCAAAAATGAACTTAAGTGTGAATAACTGGGGTGGGAGAATCCAAAAATTCTGTCCTATGTATCAGTACTTTTCAAACTGTAATTTGTATGGGAATGATCTAGGGGTGTTGTTAAAGTACAGGTTCTGATTTAGAAGGTCTGGGATGGGCTTGAGAGCCTTGATTTCTAACAATTCCCAGGGGATCACCCTGCTAAATCATCTTTTTAAGAAGGAAATAAATTGAGGGAAAGATTAAAAAACAAAAGAGGGGAATGAAGGTGGAAGTGAGCAATGTAAGCCCCAGTGCTTTCCCCAGGGCCATGCTCTCGGACCACTTCCAGGGGAAGACCTTTAGATTCTTCAGCCACCAAATCTCCTTGGAGGATTCTATTGCGGAATTCTCTTACAATAACTATACCACCTTGCTTATTTAGAATCTCTGTTGTATAGAGTTGGGGGGGAGGAGGGGTGTTCCCTCTGCATTTGGAGGAAAACTTCACAGTTCTAGAGTAGTGAAACCCTGGTGGTGGTGACAGCAGTGTCCCAGGGTGGTTGAAGTACTCCAAGGAATGGAGCTGAGATCTCACTGAGACTGCATACGAGGGAGCGCATACAAGGGATCTCATGGAAGGCATACAGAGGCATCACTGAGGATTCCTACAAATACATTTCTGGTGGGGGGTATTATAAGGGGGCATGAGAAGAATTAGACAAATATGTGACCTCCAGATAACTACATATATGCTCCAGAAGTGCCAGGATCTGGACACCTGCCTCACAGAGGCCATCACGCCAGTCTGTGTTAGCCAGAGAAGCAGTAACCACCCACAGAGACGGGAGCACAGCGTCACCTGGCTAAGGAAGGGGATGCTGTCTTTCTGCTTTTCCTTCTTCCCCAACACCAGTGGGAGGAACTATAGCAGGAAAGTTATGGGAGTACCTGAGAGTCAGACTATACTCCATCTCTCCTTTTTACTCTGATAATAACATTACAATTTTTAAACATATTTCTATGAATTTGCATGTTTATAATGTTTGCTCATTTTCCTATTGTGCTTGTATTTTCTTATTGATTTATAAGAACTCTTTATATATGTAAGTATATATACATACGTATATTACGTGTGTGTGTGTATATATATATATATATATATATATATATATATAAAGATACACAGATTTATATATATAATGAGAACTTTCTTGTGGGAAAAAAACCCAATAGCTTGAATCTTAGAGATTGCTAGTTATTAATGACAATAACAATGGCAGCTAATTTTTATCAATAATTTTCCAGGTACTCTGTTAGATGTTTCACATGGATTTTCTCATAATCCTCCTGACAACCCTATGAGGTAACTGCTATCACCTCAGAAAACCGAGATTTAAACAGTATAGACCACTTATCCAGTGTAACACAGCTAGTGAATATTAACACCAGGATTTGAACCCAGGCACACACTCTAGAGAAGAAGACAGGAAAGGCAAGAGGCTCTTGAGAATTCAGAGGGTCCTGAGAAGGGGGTATGCCAAGGCTGTGGGCTAAGAGTTATTAAGGTCGCAATCCTCTCCTTCCTCTCTCTTTAAAACAAATATTAATGGTGAGAGTGAGCTCTGGGCTAGGTACCGAGTAAAGGGTGGTGAAGGACACAGATAGGTCCCAGAGCTTACTGTGTGAAAGGAGAGAGCCACAACAAAAATAAGCATGTAATCTTAAATATTTGTACATGCTATGACGAAAAATTAGAAGGGCGTAACAGGTAACGAGTGGAGGACAGTTTAGACTAAAGGAGTAGGAAAGGCTTCTTTTGAGTAAGAAATTTTTAAATAGAGACCTGACAAAGAAGTATAATAAGTTAGTCAAATGAAGAGGAGGAGAAAAGAAGAAATTGCTAATGAAAAGAGAGAAATCATTCCTGATGTAGGAACGGTAAAAGGAAAGTAAATCTTGGGACCCCCAAATCACTAAGCCAAAGGGAAAAGTCAAGCTGGGAACTGCACTGGGAAAACCTGCCACCCGTTCTATTTTTTCCTTTCACAGAACAAACAGGACTTTTGAACAAGTGAAAGATGCTAGATGAGTAGGCAGGGGTTAGAGCAGGCAGAGAAGTGTTGAAAGTTTCAGGAGGGGACTTACAGGGTCCCTACCACTGGAATGAATTAGCAGAGGGTTTTGGCATTTTGAAGCTAAAGTCTCAGAATTTGTTGGTCAGTTATGGAGTCAGAAAGTGACCCTTGAAAGTGTGGGGATTGGGGCTCCTGAGGCAGGAACTGACCTTGGGCTTTGCCTATCTCAGGGGCTCCTGGTCTCAGTAGATTTTTCAGGGTCCGCGTTCTCTTCTCACCTACCCATTCTCTCCCACAATTTAGTCAGACCTCTGCAACAGATTTTCAAACTGTCCAGTCATTTCCACCTGGCCCTTTTCTACCTCTCCATCCACTTAGCATAGCATTTTCTCTTCGGGTATGGAAGAAATAGCTCAATTTTTTTGTTTTTACTCAAACCAGCTCTGGCATTTTGTACCTTTCTTCCTTTGCTCAAAACTACTTGTCATTCTTGGAATTTGACTCTCTTTTCATATTCACCTGGGAAGAATTTTAGAGCTGTAGAGAGCAGCCTAGCTCAGAAGGTACTTCCTCCACAAAGCTTTCTCAGACCCCCACAGTCAAAACCTCTATTTTGCCCATTATTGCCCATTCAAGGAGATCATAGTTGGCTTGCCTTAAAATTTTATTTCCTGCACATCTGTGCCTTCCAAACGTGAGTGAACCTATCTAGGGATGGACCATGTTACATCTTCTCAGATCTAGCCCCTTGCCTGCAGTTTCTCCTCTCCTTTCCTATAGTGGGGAATATTTCTTCACTCAAATTGATCAGTGGTGTGACCAACTTTGTAATCCTCACCTCCTAACCATATTCCCAATATTCCACAAAGGTAAGAGTCACTTGGATGTTTGTTAAAAAGTCAGATTCCTGGGCTTTGCCCTAAACCTAATGAATCAGATTCTTCAGACATGCCTCTCACATGTTATATACCTCTCTTTAAACATAATTTATATTTTTCCCTAGCAGCTTTGAAGCTTTTCTCTTTTTCGTTGGTTTTCTTTATCTTCACTATGATGGCTCTATGTGTGTATTTCTTTTGTACTTGCTGGAATTCGTAGTGCTAAAGGAAAGGGGTCCTGATTCAGACCCCAAGTGAGGGTTCTTAGATCTTGCGCAAGAAATAATTCAGGGCGAGTCCACAGAGTAAAGTGAAAGCAAGTTTATTAAGAAAGTAGAAGAATAAAAGAATGGCTACTCCATAGACAAGAGTAGCCCTGAGGGCTGCTGGTTGCCCATTTTTATGGTTATTTCTTGATGATATCCTAAACAAGGGGTGGATTATTCATGCCTCCCATTTTTAGACCATATGGCGTAACTTCCTCACGTTGCCATGGCATTTGTAAACTGTCATTGGTGCTGGTGGGAGTGTAGCAGTGAGGATGACCAGAGATCACTCTCATCACTATCTTGCTTTTGGTGGGTTTTAGCCAGCTTCTTTACTGCAACCTGTTTTATCAGCAACATCTTTATGACTTGTATTTTGCGCTAACCTCCTAACTCATCCTGTGACTTAGAATGACTTAACTGTCTGGGAATGCAGCCTAGCAGGTCTCAGCCTTATTTTACCCAGCTCCTATTCAAGATGGAGTTGTTCTGGTTCATATGCCTCTGACATGTCCCTTCTGCCTTTTATAGGAGAACCCTTAATCCTAAGGTTGCAGAGGGATGACGATCCATCTTTTGTAACGGCTTCACCTGAATAGGGGTGATGATATTCCTGCCTAGCTATTAGAGCCTCTTGTGTTTAGGGTAGAGAGGAACTCAATCAGAAAGCATTGGTATGGCAAGGGCCAATCATAACTTTGAGTTCCGAGAAAAGGTGATATCTCGAAGATTAATACGTATTTAGTTTAAGAAAACGTTCAGTAAGCTTATCCTACATTCCTACACAAAGAGTACAACAGCAATATATTCCACAACAGTAAAGCAAAATAAGTAAAACTATCTCAAGTAAACTAAATTAGAAGGCTTTATATGAATTGGGCAACTATTGGAACCAAGCTGATATAGGGTTGCTAGATGATTCCAGTACATGCCCAGAATTAGAATACTGATTCAGATTTTCACATTACCTTTCCCTTTTGTTTCTTCTGAGCAGCAGTCAGAGATTTCTGGTTGGTTCACAGAAATAAGCAGCGTTAGCCTAAATTGCAGAAACAAACTTAAAAACAACTGATGAGACTAGAATTTAATAAACAGTGTACCACAGTTCTTGAAACATAATTTCTCTCTCCAGTGTCCCATTTTTACTAAAGATAAGTTATGGTAAGACCAATTTGCTTTGTTTTGCTTGGCCTGATTACTTGTATAAAGTGCAGCAAAAATAATTATTTTTTTCATAAGCTCTTTTTGCACAGGCTTTGATGGAACTCTGTTCCCTAGAAGGAATCTTACATAAGACTTTTTTAGAGCCGAGCCCTTTCATGGGTTTGTACCCTCGAATACCTATGAGTTGAATAAATTCCTCTCCTCTTGGGGTCGCAAGATAACCTGGGGCTTCTGGACCTGTTAGAAAGTGACATTCTTTACTTACCACAGGTCAGAAACCTTGTATGGGGACTGTTATCCATACCTTGTATGGGGACCTTGTAGACAAGGTCTGAGGCCAATTGCCCAAGGGGCTTTTATTGGCTTTACAAGTCAAGTTTGATTCCTTAAAGAAAAGCACACCATTCCAATCAAAGTGTTGGTAAAATAACCAATTTCTCCAATTGTGTCCTGTTGCAAAAGAAAACATTCTTATTGCACTTATGCAAATACCTATATTGCCATAACTTAAGAATATTCACAACTAGTTTCCAAATTCTGGAGAAATCAGGTAGAGAGAAACAAATAAGCTCCAAATTTTGTTCGGAGGAGTATACTTTACTCAATTGCTAAAAGCTGTAAATAGCTCAAAAAAAAGTTTTCTTGACTCTGAAAAACAAAACAAAGGATTTAAGCAAAAAACGTTTTAAGCAAAAAGTTTAGAAGATACTTCAGACTTCTTTAGTTACTCTATGCAGTTAACTTTTGTTTGATATTCATGAACATTTCAGCTCCCTGTGAGAGCTCTGAAAGTTTTTTTCCTCTATTCTGATGTCACAATCTCCGAAGTTACCAGAAAACCTGCATTTAAGAGCCCCTGTATAGCTCTATAGCTGATTGTAAACCACCTTCTAAAGAGGAACAAAACGAGACTACAATTTTTTTATGGATGACAAAAAGTTTTAGCACAGTCAAGCCAAAATTGACTAGGAAATTTTGAGTACCTTTGTGGCACACAAGGATTTTATGTAACAATCGTACACTAAGTCCTGTCAGAATTACAGGAGTTTTAAAATAATTTTGGAACACATACCAATAACACATTTATACAAATACAGCCCAAAGAAAGCTAAACACTATTTTATATTTAATAATGCTTCCTGTATGATTTTTATGCCAAAAAAGCCAAATGTCACTGTTGCATTAGGGCATTATTGATGTCAAACCCAGTTCTTAATAAAACCTTATAGACAAATCTACCAAATTTTAATGTTTGGCCATAAGGTAAGATTCTCATAAACCTTTTATAACCCTTAAAAATTTTTGTTAAAGAGCAGATTATAAGCAGGTTTTTGCTCTAAGAAAAACCTGTTGTGCTTTTGTTCCAATGTTCAGTTTACAGAAAAACTGAATAATGCCACTTTAACTTTAGCCAACATGTTTACACACAGAATTTCTTTTACAATTAGTTCTTTACAAGCCTTCGATAACTTGTTCAAACCTTTAGCTTTATTTTATTTAACTTAAAACAATCCTTTGACCCTTTAAACTTAGGCAAAAAATCCACATTCCTATGCCTTCTTATAATCTTTTACCAAAAACACGTTTTACTTTTTTTTACATGCCTTACATGTAGAACCGTTTCCTCAGTAGTCTCAATTACATGTTATAATGTTAACTCCTGGCAACTTTTATTTTTGGTGAAAACCTTGGTAAGTTTGGGATTTTAATGATGTACTAGGTGTGGAGCCTAGCCTAGGACATACCAGGCAGAAGTGCAGATAAGAGCTGACCCTCCAGCATAGCTAGGGGACATGGCTAACTCCACATGTGTCCAGGTCTTACCTACAATCTAATATCTCCAAGGGAGGTAAATTGAACAATTTTTAAACGTCAAAGAAGCAGTTTATGACCTTAAAGCCTTTAGCAAACTTAATATCTAACCTGTGTAATTTAGACCAAATGTTTACATTTTTGAAGATATTTTTATTTTACCAATAATCTTTAAAACTGTCTTTATTTTCTGAGGATTACTTAAGTCACATGAACTAAAAGGCATTATACTTTTTACTTTTCTGACAAAATATTTGATTTAAGCTTTTATTACTATTAAACCAATTAATCAAAGCTCTTTTAGATATAAACGTCACACACACAACACATACAAATACACAGACAGACAGAAGATAAAGGATTCATCCGTAAGCCAGAAATGCACCCTAAACTTGGGCCACCATTGTGAAAAGAGAAAGCACAGCCACATGGTTACAAGGTCAGGCTCCCAAGGACATGACTGACCAGAGGGAAACCTCATGCAGTTCACACACACACACACACACACACACACACACACAGAAACAGAGAGAGAGAGGCCAGGCATCTGACTGGTAACACATTCTTATCCTTTTGCTGGCATGCCAGGTCTCTGGGTTCCCTTTCCCTGAGCGTCCCTAGTGACCCGTCTGGCTGCACCACAGCCCTGTGGGCCAAGACGCAACACAAAGGAAAATTATCTTTTTCTGTTCTGGTCAGAGCAAAATATGTGTGACAAAACATAGACATTAACCACTCTACTTAGCACCCAGTATCAAACTGGCAAGGCTCAAACTTGCCCCTATCATCATAAATCCAACCTCCGACCAGGAGTTTCAACATGTGTTCTCTGGGCAAGATGGTCACCCTGAGTAATAGAAAAAAAAAGAAATGAGAGAAAGAAAAGCATTGCTTGTGGCAGGGTGGGGAAGGCGAGGCTCTCAGGGAGGCCAGAGAAAGACCCACCCATTGCAGCGACCCTGAAAAGTTCAGGCGGCCGCTTGTTGGTCGTGAAGGGATCTTTTCCAGCAGTCCCACCAGCTCTCAAGTTTCCCCTTTTAGGAAGCAAAAAGCTCCCCATGTCCCACGATCCTGTAAGTGCCTAATTCTGTCACTCATAGCCATCAGCAAAGAGTGCAAGGCAGATTAATCCAAAGAAAATAGCAGTTAACATCCCATAATGCCAAACCTGTTCTTAGATGAGAGGGACTTTACTGAGAGGGGCCTCTAACCCCCTAAATCTTAGGAGGGACTCTAACCCTCCTAAGTTGGGCCTCTAACCCAAGGTCAGTCAAGTATCCTTGCCTTTTATTAAGAGGGGCCTCTAACTCATTCTGTTTTGGAAGAGACTCTAACTAGCCTAAGTTGGGCCTCTAACCCAATCCCATTCTTTACCTGCGTACTCCACCACTTACCCAAAGTCGTCCAATCAGTGCTGCGGTCTATTTCCTTTGGGTTGGTGGGTCTCCTCAGTATTGTCCCTTCTGTGGCTCATGAGAAAGATGCCACAGGACCCCACCACTTATCCAAAGTTACCCTTTGGGTCGGGGGTTTCCACACTATATTCCCTTCTGTGGTTGCCAGAAAGATGTTACAGGAAAGGGTCCTGATTCAGACCCCAAGAGAGGGTTCTTGGATCTTGCGCAAGAAATAATTCAGGGCGAGTCCATAGAGTAAAGTGAAAGCAAGTTGATTAAGAAAGTAAGTAGAATAAAAAAAATGGTTACAAAGCAGCCTGAGGGCAGCTGGTTGCCATTTTTATGTTTATTTCTTGATGATATGCTTAAAAAAAGGGGTAGATTTTCCATGCCTCCCCTTTTTAGACCATATAGGGTAATTTATAAACTCATGGTGCTGGCGGGAGTGTAGCAGTGAGGATGACCAAAGGTCACTCTCATCACTCTCTTGCTTTTGGTGGGTTTTAGCCGGCTTCTCTACTGCAAACTGTTTCATCAGCAAGGTCTTTATGACTTGCATTTTGTGCCGACCTCCTAACTCATCCTGTGACTTAGAATATCTTAACCACCTGGGAATGCAGCCTAGCAGGTCCCAGCCTTATTTTACCCAGCTCCTATTCAAGATGGAGTTGCTCTGGTTCACATGCCTCTGACAATGGGGTGTCTTGAGTCTGTAGCTTTAATTTTTTGCTGGAAGCTGCCCTAAGTTCCTTGCCATGTGGGCTACTCCAATGTGGCCACTTACTTTACGACAGCTTCCTTCTTCACAGCTTGCAATGGAGAGAGAGTTTACTAACAAGACCTAGTCTTTTATAACATAACTACCCTGGGAGTGATATCCCATCAGTTTGCCATTTCTGTCAGTTACATGAAAGTCACAGGTCCCTTTCCCGACACTTAGGGTGGAGGGAGCTTAGAGCCTGTCCACCACAGTCTTCTATGAGACTCCCTACTTTGCCAGCCCCTGGCCTTGATTTCTGTACACTGAGACCCCCAGTGACGGTGTCAAATATTAGAAATGGGAGAATATGCAAGTGCCTTCAGGGCAAAAGTGGTTTCCACGGTTTCCAAACCCTCTAAGCTTTCCCTTCACTTTTTGAAATGATAATTCCTTACTGTTTTGTCATCTCTTTATTGATTTTAAGAAAATATTTCTTATATTTTGTCCAGTTTTTCTTTTTAAAATTATTTTCAGCAGAAGGGTTGAACTAAGTAACCTAGGCAACCACTTATTAGGAAAAAGAAGTCCTGATTTTAGGGCTTTAGAAGTTCTAAAAACTTGTTTAGTAGTTTTTAGAAGATTCACTGAGACTGCTGTTTGGGGAACACATGTAAGGATGCAAGCATGGGAGCAGAAAGATAAGTTAGTTATTAATATTACAATAACACAGTTGAGAGATGATGGCGGCTTCAGTATACAGAAACTCCAGATGCAAGAGGTAAATAATTTTCAAATAAGCCCTCTAAAAACAAATACCTAAGACTTTAACATCCTCATTTTTTCTCAAGTGACACAACTGAGATCTACAGGGTAGTGTTACCTTTCAGCATTTTATTTGTTTTGCCTTTCAGGACTTTAGCCTCCGTTTCAACCATACATACCATCAGACAACATGTTAAAACCCTATATATTCTAGCTACACATTTTTAGAGAACAAGTCCTGAGCTACTGTGTAATAATAAACTTTCATGTGCTGCCACCAATAAAATGTTTCCCATTTTTCTATTAAGAGAACAACAGGGCCGGTCGTGGTGGCTCACGCCTGTAATCCCAGCACTTTGGGATGCCGAGGTGGGTGGGTCACCTGAAGTCAGGAGTTCGAGACCAGCCTGGCCAACATGGTGAAACCCCATCTCTACTAAAAATACAAAAAAATAAGCTGTGCATGGTGGCAGGTGCCTGTAATCCCAGATACTCAGGAGGCTGAGGCAGGAGAATGGCTTGGACCCGGGAGGCAGAGGTTGCAGTGAGCCGAGATCATGCCACTGCACTCCAGCCTGGGCAACGAGCAAAACTTCGTCTCAGAAAAAAAAAAAAAAAAAAAAAAAAAAAAAAAAAAAACCCAAAACAAACAAGCAAACAAAACAATGGGAAGATACCGTACCGCTCCAGAGGCGCCCTCTAGAGGGAAATCACCTGGGACAATCTGCAGCTTTAAATCAGGATTATATCTCAAATATCCTCTCGAACCACCCTTGTTCTCTAAGTTGAAGAAGTTGGTGTGGTGCTTAACAAAGTTATTCAGGCCACTTGCTTTTTGTGTTGCAAACTGGTGGTCTTTGTGTTTCCTCCCAATCACCCACCTCATTTCTAACAGCCTCCTTTGTTTAGGGGCTCAGCATGGTTGGAATGGGTTTCCTCAGTCTCACTTTCTCTGCCATTCTGTAATGTTAAATTGGGGACTCCAAAGGGGACATTCCTATCTCTTCTGGCAGCCCATCCCTGTCCAGATTTCATACCCTACATTGCAAGGATCCCATAGTTGAACGCCGCCTTCCTCTCTGACTTCTTTTTTTGTTTTGTTTTGTTTTGTTTCAGAAACAGAGCACCCAGGCTGGAATACAGCGGCGCGATCTCAGCTCACTGCAACTTCCATCTCCCAGGTTCAAGCAATTCTTGTGCCTCAGCCTCCTGAGTAGCTGAGACTACAAGAGTGTGCCACTATGCCTGGCTAATTTTTGTAGTTTTAGGAGAGACAGAATTTCACCATGTTGGCCAGGCTGCTCTGAAACTTCTGGCCTCATGTGATCTGCCCACCTCAGCCTCCCAAAGTGCTGAGATTACAGTCATGAGCCACTGCATCCAGCCTTTTCATGCCATTTTCCGGCTGCTCCCTGCATTTCAGCCTCACCAAACTTTTGTTTCCTGAACTCACCAAGATCACTCTTGCCCTAGAGCCTTTTTGTCTCTGTTCCATCTGCCTGGAAAACTCTTCCCCCAGACTTTCAGGCAGCTGACTCCTTCTTAGCAATAAAAAGTTTTGGAATCCCTAGTGTTCAGCATCAGTAGATCAAATTGTTATACCTAAACGAGTTAGAGAAAACGCCACACTTTGAGACGAATTAAGAGTCCTTTATTTAAGCCGGCGGCCAAAGAGACGGCTAACGCTCAAAATTCTCTCAGCCCCGAGGAAGGGTCTTGATTAACTTTTATACCTTGGTTTAGGAAGGGGAGTGGGGGGGTCTAGTTAGAACAATTTTACAGAAGTCAAGTAGTCAAAAAGTTAAAAGGATAAATGGTTACAGGAAAGTAAACAGTTCCAGGTGCAGGGGCTTTAAGACTTACAAGGTGATAGACGCGGGGTTTTGGGCGTTATCTTGGGGACTGCGGATATAGCTTGCCACAGTATCTTATCAGTTAATTGCATTCTTGGATGTGCTGGGAGTCAGCTTGCACAAGTTAAGTCCTTGAGGAAGGGGCTGCCAGTGAAAGAGCCAAGATGGAGTTTGTCTGGTTCTCTTAGCTAAGGGAGAAACAAGGCTAGGTGAATAAAGGAAAAAACAAAGTTGGGCATTACAAAATGACCACCTAAGTTATATGGGTCTTGCACACCAACCAGAAAAAAAGCTAATCACCTTCTAAAACAATAGGGCAAGCAAAGCAGCCTAAGAGATAAGATAGAGGTATGTAATACCACCTCACCCCCGAAGAACAAGGAGCAGTAATTTCACTTGCACATATTTGACAATATCTAAGCCATGAATGAGTTCTTGATGGCTCCCAAATTACTAAACTGATTATTGTTTTCACTTAGGGAATGCTTGACATGGGGCTCCACACTGAGGACTCTCAGAGCTGCTACGAGGGACCTGAAGACCTGAGGTCTAGGGTGAGAAGCATCTGCCTTCATCGACTTTATGGACAAAGAAGGAATGGTTTTTGAGGGTGGGGATATTTTTTGGTGGGCTCAGCCCGTCCTCACCTGTATGTTACTTCTTGTCACTGAGTCACTTCCTGCTATAATAATAATAATAATTATTATTATTATTATTTTGAGATGGAGTCTCACTCTGTCGCCCAGGCTGGAGTACAGTGGCGCGACCCTGGCTCACTGCAAACTCCGCCCTCCAGGTTCAAGCAATTGTCCTGGCTCAGCCTCCTGAGCAGCCGAGATTACAGGAGCCTGCCACCATGCCTGGCTAATTTTTGTATTTTTAGTAGAGATGGGGTTTCACCAGGTTTGCCAGGCTGCTCTCGAACTCCTGACCTCAGGTGATCTGCCTGCCTTGGCCTTCCAAAGTGCTAGGGTTACCGGCTTGAGCCACTGCGGCCTATAATCTCAGACTGGTCAATAATGGTTTTGGTAAAATCACAACGAACCTGTTGTTTCTATTCAGTCACGTACTTGATCTATGACTCTGAGCAAGTTGTTTCACCTGAGTCTTAATTTCTTTCCCTGTAAAATGGGCATAATGGGACCATCTCATCATACTGGTTAAGTGTTGCAGGGACCAGATGAGAACAAGGGAAAGCACTTAGAAAAGGTTGTTATCTGGCTAGGTGCAGTGTAATCCGCCTGTAATCCCAGCACTTTGGGAGGCTGAGGCGGGTGGCTCACTTGAGGTCAGCAGTTCGAGACCAGCCTGGCCAACATGGCGAAACCCTGTCTCTACTGAAAATAAAAAAATTATCTGGGCATGGTGGCGGATACCTGTAATCCCAGCTACTCTGGAGGCCGAGTCAAGAGAATTGCTTGAGCCTGGGAGGTTGAGACTGTAGTGAGCTGAGATTGTGCCACTGCACTCCAGCCTGGGTGATAGAGGGAGACTCAGTCTCAGGAAAAAAAAAAAAAAAAGGTTATTATCTAACTAGGAGGTGGAATTAGTACAGTTACTTGCATTTGCCAGATCACGGGAAACCCAAAAGTTACAGTAATGTCGGCCAGGCTGCTGAGAGCCCTATCCCATCATCAACACATATTAGAATCAAGCCTTACCTAGGCAGCCTGCTACTTCTGGGTTCCACAGCAACACGATGTCTTTCCTGTCCCTGCTGGAGTAAGTGAGCACACTGGTTTTCCTCCAAAGTTCTTTCTTTTTCCCAAGACAAATGTCCATCTTCAATTTCATTTTCCTCTTTCTCCTTCTTGCCCATCTATTTCCCACTCCCGTTTGATCACTCACTCAAACTGCCCGTTCCCCTCACCCTGGCCCCCTTCCTCTCATTACCCTTCCTTGGTCCCATTGACCTGACAGGCTTTTCCCCAGCCCTTCCTCCTCCTAGCCTACCCACTCTTTTTGCACTTATTCCTCCCCTCTCTCCCACCTCCTTGTCCTGAATGCCCATTTCAGCCTGAGACACTACTCTGTGTCGGCCTCTTTCCCTCCTCTCTGCTGATGCTGGCCTTAGCCATTTCCGTGCATCATTCAGTTTCTCCCAGTCAGGCGTTGGAAGTGCAAAGCTCTCAGCAGCACCCAGCCTTCAGCATGTGGATGGGGGTTCTAGGGGTGTGGAGAGGCACCTGAGAAGGACAGTACACCCGGTGCTTGCTGAGGGATTGAAGTCTGCAGAGCTATAAATTTAAACCTCTTTTCTTCTACATTGGGCTCAGGAGTCTTGAGTGATTCCAAACTGCTCCCCACCAGTTCATTTCTTTCCAGCCCTGAATGATCACTCTAGGCAGAGTCAGAATATATAGTGAAAAGAGCATGGCCTTTGGGATCAGGCAGACCTGGGTTCAAATCCTTACTCCACCACTTAAAAAATTTTTATTTTTTAATTTTTGTGGGTACATAGTAGGTGTATATATTTTGATACAGGAATGTAATGTATAATAATCACTTAAGAATAAATGGGGTATCTATCACCTCAAGCATTTATCTTTTTTGTTACAAACAATTGAATAAGTTATTTTCTAATGTACAATTAAATTATTTTTGACTATAGTCACCCTGTTGTGCTAGCAAATACTGTCTTATTCATTCTAAATTTTTTTTTTGTACTTATTAACCATTCTCACTTCCCCTTCGCTCCCCCAATACCCTTCACAGCCTCTGGTAACCATCCTTCTACTCTCTATGTCAATGAGTTCAATTGTTTTAAATTTTAGCTCCCACAAATAAGTGAGACCATGCAAAGTTTGTCTTTCTGTACCTGGTTTATTTCACTTAACATAAGGACCATCCATCAGTGTTGTTGTAAATGACATGATCTCATTCCTTTTTATGGCTGAATAGTAGTACTCTATTGTGTATATGTACCGCGTTTTCTTTATCCATTCATCTGTTGATGGACACTTAGGTTGCTTCCAAATCTTAGCTATTGTGAATAGTGCTGCAATAAACATGGGAGTGCAGATCTCTCTGATTTCATTTCTTTTTCTTTTTTTTCTTTTTTTTTTTTTTTGAGACCGTGTCTTGCTCCGTCGCCCAGGCTGGAGTGCAGTGGCGCGATCTCGGCTCACTGCAACCTCCGCCTCCCAGGTTGAAGCGATTCTCCTGCCTCAGCCTCCCGAGTAGCTGGGATTACAGGCACATGCCACCACACCCAGTTAATTTTTGTATTTTTAGTAGATGGGGTTTCACCTTGTTGGTCAGGGTGGCCTCGAACTCCTGACCTCAGGTGATCCACCCGCCTTGGCCTCCCAAAGTGCTGGGATTACAGGCATGAGCCACTGAGCTCAGCCCCTCTGATTTCATTTCGTTTGGGTACATACCTAGGAGCAAGATTGTTGAATCCTATAGTAGCTCTATTTCGCTCTTTTGAGGAACCTCTAAAGTGTTATCCACAGTGATTTACTAATTTACATTCCCACCAACAGTGTATGAGGGTTCCCTTTTCTCGACATTGTCGCCAGCATTTGTTATTGCCTATCTTTTGGGTAAAAGCCATTTTAACTGGTGTGAGATGATATCTCATTGTAGTTTTGATTTGCGTTTCTCTGATGATCAGTGATATTGAGCACGTTTTTTGTGCCTGTTTGCCATTTGTACATTTTGAGAAATGTCTATTCAGATGTTTTGCCCATTTTTTGATCGGATTATTAGATTTTTTCCTATAAAGTTGTTTGAGCTCTTTATATATTCTGGTTATTAATCCCTTGTCAGACAGGTAGTTTGAAAATATTTTCTCCCTTCTGTGGATTGTCCCTTCACTTTGTTGATTCCTTCCTTTGCTGTGCAGAAGCTTTTTAACTTGATGTAATCCCACTTGCCAATTTTTGTTTTGGTTGCCTGTGATTGTGGGGTATTGTTTAAGAAATCTTTGCCCAGTCTAATGTCCTGGAGAGTTTTCCCAATGTTTTCTCGTAGTAGTTTCATGGGTTGATGTCTTAGATTTAAGTCTTTAATCATTTTAATTTGATTTTTGTATATAGCAAGAGATAGGGGTCTAGTTTCATTCTTTTGCATATGGATATCCAGTTTTCCCAGCACCATTTATTGAAGAGACTGTCCTTTCCCCATTGTATGCTTTTGGCGCCTTTGTCAAAAATAAGTTCACTGTGGAGGTATGGGATTATCTCTGAGTTCTCTGTTCTGCTGCCCTGATCTATGTGTCTGTTTTTATGCCAGTGCCATGCCATTTTGGTTATTATAGGTCTGTAGTGTAATTTAAAGTTAAGTAATATGATTCCTTCAGTTTTGTTCTTTTTGCTAAGATAGCTTTGGCTGTTCTAGGTCTTTTTTGGTTTAATATACATTTTAGGATTTTCTTCTCTCTCTGTGAAGAATGTCATTGGTATTTTGATACGCATTGCATTGAATCTGTAGATTGCTTTGGGTACTATGGATATTTTAACAATAGTGATTCTTCCAATCCATGAACATGAAATATCTTTCCATTTTTTTGTGTCTTCTTCAATTTTTTTTGTCAATGTTTTATAGGAATCTTTCACTTGTTATTGTTAATTCCTAAGTATTTTATTTCATTTGTAGCCATTATAAATGGGATTACTTTCTTTTAATATTGTTCTTTTCTTCTTTTTTAAAATAGGAATCCTATTAACTGGGGGATTCCTTTCTGTATTTCTTTTTCAGATTGTTCACTGTTGGCATATAGAAATACTACTGATTTTTGTATATTAATTTTGTATCCTGCAACATCACTGAATTTGATTATCAGTTCTAATAGTTTTCTTGTGGAGTATTTAGGTTTTTCCCAATATCAGATCATATCATCTGCAAATGAGGATAATTTGACTTCTTCCTTTCCAAGTTGGATGTTCTTTTTTTCTTTCTCTTGTCTGATTGCTGTAGGACTTCCAGGACTGTTGAATAATAGTGGTGCAAGTGGATATCCTTGTCATGTTCCAGAGCTTAGAGGAAAGACTTTCAGTTTTTCCCCATTCAGTATGATACTAGCTATGGATCTATTATATATGACTTTTATTATGTTGAGGTATGTTCTTTCTATCCCCAGTTTTTTGAAGGTTTTATCATGAAGGGAGGTTGAACTTTGTCAAATGTTTCTTCAGCATCAATTGAAATAATCATATGGTTTTTGTCCTTCATTTTGTTGATATGATGTATCACATTGATTGATTTGCCTCCCAGGGAAAAATTTTATTTGGTAATGATGAATGATCTTTTTAATGTATGGCTGAATTTGGTCTGCTAATATTTTGTGGAGGATTTTTGCGTCAATATTCATCATTGATATTGGCCTATAGTTTTCTTTTATGATGTATCTTTGTCTGGTTTTGGTATTGGGGTAATACTTGCCTCACAGAATGAGTTTGGAAGTATTCCCTCCTCCTCTATTTTTTGGAATAGTTTGAGTAGAATTGGTATTAGTTCTTTAAATGTTTGGTAGAATTCAGCTGTGAAGATACTGGGTCTCGTGCTTTTCTTTTCTGGGAGACTTTTTATTATGGCTTCAATATAATTACTTGTTTTTAGTCTGTTCGGGTTTTGGATTTCTTTCTTTCTTTCTTTCTTCTTCTTTTTTTTTGAGACAGAGTTTCGCTCTTGTTGCCCAGGCTGCAGTGGAATGGCATGATCTCGGCTCACCGCAACCTCTGCCTGCTGGGTTCAAGCAATTCTCCTGTCTCAGCCTCACAAGTAGCTAGGATTACAGGCATGTGCCACCACGCCTGGCTAACTTTTGTATTTTTAGTAGAGATGGGGTTTCTCCATGTTGGTCAGGCTGGTCTTGAACTCCTGAACTCAGGTGATCTGCCCGCCTCAGCCTCCCAAAGTGCTGGGATTACAGGTGTGAGCCACCGCGCCCAGCCAGGTTTTGGATTTCTTTATGGTTCAATCTTGGTAGATTTTATGTATCTAGGAATTTATTTCATCTAGATTTTCCAATTTATTGGCATATAGTTGCTCATAGTCATCACGAATGATCCTTTGAATTTCTGCAGTGTCAGTCGTAATGTTCCTTTTTCATGTCTGATTTTATATATTTGGGTCTTCTCTCTTTTTTCTTATTCTAGTTAAAGGTTTGTCAATTTTGTTTATTTTTTCACAAAGCCAACATTTTGTTTCATTGATCTTTTGATTTTTTTCTTCATTTCAAATTCATTTAGTTCTGCTCTCATATTTATTATTTCTTTTCTTCTGCTAATTTTGGGTTTGTTCTTGCTTTTCTAGTTCTTTAAGATGTATCATTAGGCTGTCTTTTTTGATATAGGCAAGCTATAAACTTCTCTGTTAGTACTGCTTTTGCTGTATGCCATAGGTTTTGGTATGTTGTGTTTCCATTATCATTATCATTATGTTTCAAGGAATTTTTCATTTTTTTTCTTAATTTCTTCATTGATCCACTGTCATTCAGGAACATATTGTTTAATTTCCATGTGTTTGTATAGTCTCCAAAATTTTTCTTGTTTTTGATTTCTAGTTTTATTCCAGTGTACACCACTTTCTTTTTTTTTCCTACCATTTATTTGCCTACACATATCACTTTCTAATATCATCTCGTAGCAAGCTCTGAGCCTCCCCTTGGACCCAGAGTTCTGTCCTGTTCAATTATTGGTGGCTACCTGTCTACAGAAGGCTTTGTTTCCTGGTGCTTTTGCTTCCTTCCAGTCTTGATGCATCTAACTCTTCTTATGCTATGTGCCTGATACAATGATAAGCACTTTATATGCATTATTTTACTTAAGTTTCAAAATGGCAGTGTAAGGTTAATATAATATTACCGTTTTACACCTGAGCCTGAAACTCACTTAGATAACGTGCACAAAATCACACAACTTTTAAAAGATAGAACTAGGACTGGAAAGACTTGAAAGAAGGCAACACACTATAATGGAAATAGAAAAAGCTTTGAAGTCAGATACCCGAGCTCAGTTCTTGGCTGTATTCTGGCTGTAGGACCTCGTATAACTGCCTTAAGCTTTCTTAGCTTCACTTTATTTGTCTTTTGAATGAGGAGAAATGTTCTGTGGAAGTATTCAGAGAATGAAATGAATCAGTGTATATAAAATGCCTATCACTTAGAATTAGATCTTACCACTACCCTCCTCTGTCCCCCGACCAGGCTCAGTCATCTTCCTACTACATCATGCTGCTCTCAGGCTGATAGGATAAATTAGGCAGGAACACAGATGACTATGACAAAAGAGAGAAAGCAGTAAGTACCATATGAGCATACAAGCTTTGTCAGAATGACAAAGTAGGACTTCATGGGGACAGTGATATTAAATCTAGACCTGAAATGTTTTATCAGATCTCAAGAAATGGAAAATAGATGGAAGGAGCTCAAGAGACCATATCTGACAGCTGGATAGGGCATGGAATGGGGTGATGGAGGTAAAAGTATTCTGTAGACCCAGCCCTCTACCCAGCTCCAGGCTGCCATTTCGTGGTCATCTGGAGCCCAGGCTCCAGCTAGAGGGGGCTAACAGTCCCAGGCAGTCTTTAGAAGGAACGGTGGAGTGCTAGGGAGCCTATGGGCCAGCCTACTCCCACCCCACAGAGAAGCTGGCATGAGAAAGAAAGGCCCAATATCTGCCTGCAGCTCCTCAGACCAGCTGGGATTCTATTTTTAACCATCCCTGTCATAGTTGACAGCTTGGAACGCCTTCTCCCTCCTTTTCTTCCTTCTTCCTGCCTCTTGCAGCCCAGAATCCTGTAGAAACGATGGATGGGAGCAACCCCAGCACTGGTAAACAGAACCACTCTCCTTTCTCACTGTCCTCTACTCCATGCAGCCTTCTCCAGGGTAGTTAGTGGGTGTATTTTAGAGGCATATTGGCTGGGAAGTGAATGAGGCCTAAAATTGAGGGCTCATCACTTGCACAGGCCCCTTTCAAGGCCCTGGTCAGGGTCCCAGTAATTTTGTATCTGTGATTTTGTATTCTTTTTCTTTCTTAAAAAAAGAGTACCCGATTTTATAAACTTTAGGTCCCACAAAACTTGTCTCTGCTCCTCATGGGTGGGTCTTCTTCCCCATCTCCAGCCCAGGGTCTACTTCAACACCATTATTCTATCTTGCTCTAACTTACTGTATGACCTTAGGCAGCTTACATTCCTGCTCTGGGCCTCAGTTTCCCCTGTCTGTTACAAGATGAAGCATCAAAAGACCCCTCCTCCAATATACTATGCCTCTGATTATCCACGTATGTCCTCTTAGTGAGGTCCTCAGTTCCTGTTCTTCCTCATTTGTCATTGTGTGTAAAGAGGTGATATTGTTGGTCTTTGCCTGTCTCTGGGGCTAGATCATTCTTATAGTAAAAGGGAGACTGGGTTCTCAGACTCCTATTCAGGTCTTTTTTTGTTGTAGCTACTAAAAGTGCTTCCATTTGGCAGAATCTTGGCCAGGTTTTGACACTGGGGAAGAGAGTACAGCAAAAAATCCCTACTCTTTAATTAACTGTATTCATTCTGTATACCTGTCATGGTCTGATCTCTGGTGTTTCAAACACACATTGAATAAACTTAGTCTTATTATACAGTGCTTCCTCTTTTATCTTTTCATCAAAATTTAATAAGCATCCATTAATATAGTACCTTAACAGTGGCACCACTTTGGGATAATGTGATCAGGAATCATGATATGTCATGGATATGCCATTTTCCATCCCCATTCACAGTTATTGCAACATTGGAATGTAGGTAGAGGATGAAAACTCAGAAAGAATATGCACAGCCACGCTGAACCTCAGAGGCTGGGCTTTCTGGCAAGGGGTTGTGCACAGCAGTGTGCAACAGTGGGAGAGACCCGACAGAAGGATACTGCAAAATCCTATGCCTCCTCACCTGCCCCAGAAGAATCCAGAAAGGAAGTTCAGGAGGAAGCCAAACAATTTATTATTTCTTGAACAGTTTGGGTAAGGAAGGAGAGGGCAGGGCCACGGTCCTTAACTGGAAAGGGATGAAGAACCTTTTCAGTGCAGAACAGCCTGTTGGTCAGAGGTATGAGATTAGGCCTGATGGTATTTTCAGTGCTGATTGGGAAGGGTCACTGTGAGGTCAAACTAGGAGCATCCCAGAATCAGTCCTGTGCCAGGCTCCATAGTCTCTAAAACAATCAGTGCCATTAATCTATGTGTGTGAGAGGCAGGTCAGCCCTTGTCAGAGTTCCCACTGTGTAGAAATAGTTCACTGCTAGGGACGCTGTGTCTCTCCAAGGTCAGTGTCATGTTTCTATGGGCCAGGCTCAGTCCCATATCAGAGGCATGCCTCCTTTCCCATGTACTGCTCCATTCTTATTCCTCTTGTGTCAGGTAAGCTACCTTTTCCTGTGCGTTGGGGTTAGTCCATGCTTTGGGTGTTGGTTTCCTGTGTCAGTTGTGGTTTGTGTTTCGTATGTCTGGAAGGGTCAGTGCATGTCATTTGCCCTGCCTCAACCCCCACGGCCCCTCTACTCCTCAGCCAGGGCCCAGTGTGCTGATGGTGGTGTAGCTAAGCCTGGACAGCGAAGCAATGGAGGGAGTGGGAGGGTCCTCATCGGGAAGAGCCCTGGGGCGAGCTCGTGGAGGCCGGGGGCAGCAGCGAGCGCAAGTTTCCAGGCAGGCCTGGCGAAAGCGACGGTGCATGAAGCAGTAGACCAGGGGGTTGACACAGGCCGAGGCGTAGCTCAGCAAGTGAATGAAGGAGATAGGAGCACCCGAGAGTGCTCGGTGTGCACCCGGGCCATCAAAGGCGCGCCACGTGTTGGCACTATAAACTGGCAACCAACACAGAAAAAAAAGCACAACGATCACCAGCAACATTCGCACCACGCGCTTCTTAGCCAGCAGCTTGGCCTGGGTGGGCCGGGAGCCGGATCCCGGCCCAGGAGCCGTCAGCGCCGTCAGCTCCAGGGCAGGCCGGGAACGTGGAAGTTGCACGTAGCAGCCATCGCTGTCTTCGCCAACCGCGCCAGTCTCAGGCCGGCAACGCCCGTTCTGGTGAACAGCCCCTGAGCACAAAGGGTGGGCGGTCAGAGAAAAAGGCGAGTCCCCCCAGTCTCCAGCCCAGTCCCCACCTGACCTCCGCTCCCAGCTCAACTCCATTTCCAGCTTCCTTCTCACCCTCACCTTCATTTCAGTCCCACCCACTCCAGCAGGCCCCGTCGCCCTCCAAAGCTCCGCCTCGCCCAGATTTTGCTCACGTGGTCCAGCCCCACCTGGCAGCCCGCCTTGGTTTCGGACCCTGCTTTGGCTGTCGCTGTCACTGTCGCCGTCAAAGCGAAGCCCTAAGTAGAGCTCGCGAGAGATAAGCCCGTAGGCCACGGCCATAACCACACCCGGGATGAAGAACAAGAGCAGAAGCAGCAGTACGGACCTGAAGGCAACACAGACAGATCACTCGGGTTTCTGTCCAGCTGTAATCACAGATGGAGAAAAAGCCAAGGACTAGTGTTTCTAGGGCTGTGGCCAGGTACCTGAAGTAGGAGTAGGATTTGGGGGTGCCGCTGGGAAGGGAGAGAGAACTGGGGAGGGGCCCCAAACTGGAACTCCAGGGTGGTGGATGCAGAATAGGAGTTGGCGTGGTAATTCTCCGGGAAGCTGGAGGAAGATTCTGGGCAATGGTCGTAAGCATCTAATAGGGGTGAGAAAGGAATTCCTAGGATAGTTTATGGGCAAGCTCACCAGGTCTGGCGGACCCGCGCACTGGGCCAGCGATGCACGCACTGCAGCACACGAGGCCCCACTGGTTGCACGACAGTGTACACGGGGTAGGGCACCATGAGTAGTCCGGACAGCAGCCACGTGGCTACAATCACGCGAGCCGCGTGGGAGCGCGTCTGCCACACTCGTGCCTGCAGTGGTCGGCAGATGGCGCTGTACCGCTCCAGTGCGATGGCCACGAGGCTTAGCGTGGACACACTCACAGACACCCCTAAACAAGGGAAGAGAAAGGAAGGAGTCACCTAGGAAACTTGCACTACACAAGCATCAGTGGGACTTCCTCACACCCCTCCCTGCCAACCGGGGAAGACCCCTACATCCACAAGAGCTTTAGGCGGGGAGAGTGGCAAGTGGGGGTGGGGTGGTTGTCTCACCCACCCATGAGGTAGGAAACCGCCTTGCAGATGACGGTGCCAAAGATGAATGTGCCCATGAGATTGGGCAGGAGGGTGAAGGGCATGCAAGCCACAGCCAGCAGGAGGTCGCTGACTGCCAGTGAGAGGAGGAAGGCATTGGTGACAGTCCTCAGGCGGCGGCTCAGTCCCAGGACCACGATGATGAGCATATTTCCTCCAACGCTCATCAGGAAGATCACTGCGTAAAGAGTGATTCTAATGGCCAGCTCCAATTCTGGGTAAGAAAAGGGAGAGGTGGCAGTAGGGGGTCAGCCTTCATTCAGTCAAATCCCCCTCCTTCCGTCTTATCCCCAACCCTCACTACCCAGCCAGATGCCTACATTCCCCACCGATGAACTGCTCAGTAAATGGTGAACTTGAATCCTTTAGCCTTCTAACCCCTTGAGGTTTGGTTAAATTGGCCCAACTCTGCCCTTCCTTAAGAAAGCCTGTCTCTTCTCAAGGTTCGTTCCAAATCTTTCCTTCTTTCTGCAGACAAACTTCTTAAGAGGATATTTGTGTCTTCTCATTTACTCTTCATTCCATTACAATACAATATTCTGTGCCCTATCAGTGCATACTTCTTCCCAAGTACACTAATCTTTAACTGCTAAATTCAAAGGTCCTTTCTTAGCCTACTCTATTTGACCCCGCTAGAGTATTCTACACTGTTGACAACCCACTACCTTTTGAATCACATCAGATCATGTCTTTATTCTCTAAAAACAAAAGCAAAAAAAAAAAAAAAAAAAATACTTCACTTACTCTCTACTGTCTGCAACCCCTCAGAATATCATCAAGATCCTCCCAGAAGGGACTTCTTTCTCTCCCACCCCCTCCCTGTACAGCAGGCATTTAAGCAAGCCACTGGATGACTCAATTTCTTGAATGCATCATTTGCACTTGTGACTCTCTCCCTGCTCAAGCTGGTTTCTCAGACCGGAATACTCTTTTACCAACCCTCCTCACAACTTCTACCCCTCATCACAAGCTTATTTTCTGTATCTGGTGAATTCCTATTCATCCCTTGTTGGTCAAGACTCAAATTGACTGCTACTTCTTCTGTAAGGCCCTTCTGTAAGGCCCTTCTACTCTCCTCTTTCTCTGACCCATGCCTGTTTCTTACACAACTATTACAGCCTATTTTACTTCTGCCTTGTATTTTAATTCTCTCCAAACATTCATTCTCACTCTATAAACATTTACAGAGGACTCCCTTTGTGCTAGGCACTGGGGACAAAGAGATGAACATGACAAGATCCCTGCCATTTGAGAGCTCACAGTGGGGAAGTAAACTCAGATACATAAACAGATGTGATAAGGAGTGAGGCTGAAGGATGTATAAGGTGCTGTTGGAGCTCATAGGAGGGACACCTGTGTGAGGCAGAGGGGCTGGGAGGCTGACCCCATTCTTTTGTGTCATTGTCTATTAAAAGATGGATTAATCTTTGGACCACCACATCACAGCCAAGCAGATTTAGATAAAATCGAATTGGATTGAACAGGACTGAATTACTCACACCTATGGCCTCAGCATGAGAGGGATTAGAGCTGGAAGGTAGAGAGGGCAGGGGACAGAGCCTCCTAGATTGCAGAGAAGGAAAGCCTCAAAGCTGCAGCCCCCTCTTCCAGAGCCCCATACTTTGACTGATTCTCATTTTAGCTCCCAAATTGAAAACTACAGCCATGCACTGAATAACGATGTTTTGGTAAATGACCAATTTCATATACGATGGTGGTCTCATAAGATTGTAATGAACAGCTGAGTGCAGTGGCTTATCTTTGTAATCCCAGCACTTTGAGAGGCCAAGGCGGGAGGATCACCTGAGGCCAGGAGCTTGAGATCAGCCTGAGCAACATAGCAAAGTCCCGTCTCTACAAAACATAAAAAATTAGCTGGGTGTGGTGATACGTGCCTATAGTCATAGCTACTCAGGAGTTTGAGGCAGAAAGATTGCTTGAACCCAGGAGTTCAAGGCTGCAATGAGCTATGATAGTGCCACTGCACTCCAGCCTGCACAACAGAGTGAGACTCTGTCTCAAACAAAACCCAAAATAACAACAACAAAAGATTATAATGGAGCTGAAAAGTTTCTATCACCTAGTAATGTTATTGTAACATTGCAGCATAATGCATTACGTATGTGTTTGTGGGGATACTGGTATAAACAAACCTACTGTGCTGTCAGTCATATAAAAGCCTAGCACATACAATGATGTACATAATACTTGATAGTGATAATAAATGACTGTGTGACTGGTTGATGTATTTACTACATTATACTTTCAATCATTATTTTAGAGTATACTCTTACTTATTTTTTTAAAAAAGTTAACTATAAAACAGACTCAGGCAGGTCCTTTAAGATGTATTCCAGAATAAAGCACCGTTATTATAGGAGATGACAGCTCCATGTGTGGTGTTGCCCTGATGACCTTCCAGTGGGACAAGATGTAGAGGTGGAAGATGGCAATATTTATCCTGACCCTGTGTAGCCCAATGTGTGTGTTTGTGTCTTGGTTTTAACAGAAAGGTTTTTTTTTTTTCTAAAGTTAAAAACAGAAAAATGCTTATAGGATAAGAGTATAAAAAAAGAAAATATTTTTGTATAGCCATACAATGTGTTTTTTGTTTTACACTGTGTTATTACAAAAGAGTCAAAAAGTTTATAAAGTAAAAAGTTACAGTATGCTAAGTTTAATTTATTATTAAATACATTTAGTGTAGCCTAAGTATCCAGTGTTTATAAAGTCTACAGTAGTGTACAGTAATGTCCTAGGCCTTTACTTTCACTCACCACTCATCACTGACTTAGCCAGAGCAACATCTACTCCTGCAAGTTCCATTAACGGTACGTGCCCTATACAGGTGTATGATGGTTTATCTTTTATGCTGTATTTTCACTGTACCTTTTCTATGTTTAGATACACAAATACATAACATTGTGTTACTCTTCCCTACAATATTCAGCACAGTAATATACTGTACAGGTTTGCAGCCTGGGAGCAGTAGGCTATACCGTATAGCCTAGGTATGTAGTAGGCTATACCTTCTAGGTTTGTGTGACAAACACTCTATGATGTTTACACAATGAAATCACCTAATGATGCATTTCTCAGAAGGTATCCCCATCATTAGTTAATGCATGACTGTATTTTCTCATAACAAAAACCAATTTATTTAGAAATTGTAGGCATCAAATAAATGCTATTTATAAAAACTTCCAAACCGAACTCAGCAGTAACATTCTTTGCTCAAGACCACACACCTGATAAGGGGCTGAATCAGAATAGAAGCCAAGTCCCTGATCCCTAATGTGCTTTGCCTCCTACTGTTTGTTCCTGCAGTACTCTGTTATTCATCATACTACCTCCATGTTTTTTGTTTGTTTGTTTGTTTTTGTTTTTGTTTTTGAGATGGAGTTTTGCTCTTGTTGCCCAGGCTGGAGTGCAATGGCATGATCTTGGCTCACCGCAACCTTTGCCTCCTGGGTTCAAGCGATTCTCCTGCCTCAGCCTCCTGAGTAGCTAGAATTACAGGCATGCACCACCACGCCCGGCTAATTTTGTATTTTTAGTAGAGATGGGTTTCTCCATATTGGTAAGGCTGGTCTCGAACTCCCGACCTCAGGTGATCACCTGCTTTGGCCTCCCAAAGTGCTGGGATTACAGGTTTGAGCCACTACGCCTGGCCCATACTGCCTCCTTCTTAATCAAATCTCAATCTAAATGCCTCTTTCTCCCTCTCTCTATACTCAACCATGGCATTTTTCACTGTATTAGTATGTATGTAATTCTCTGTCTTCCCCACTAGACTAGGAGCTTCTTGAGGACAGTGGCAAGGTCCATCTCGCTCTCCAGTATATCCCTAGCACTCATCATCCCTAGCACAGGGGAGGCAGTCAACACATGCTTGTTAATGAATCTTGGATGATTCTGTCTTTCAAGACAGAAGTGCACCTGCTTTCCCCCTCCTCATCCATCCGTCATCTCTGCAGAGGTGCTCCAGCATGCCCTTTCTTCTTCTTCTTTGCCTCTGTCTTTTTGGAGACACATGTTGGAAGGTCCTTGTGGGGGTCAGTGAGAGGTTATGATTTCAGATGCATAACTTTTGTTTTTTATATGCAAACCATCTATATTTCCTTTAGAAGCTGGGCCTCTCTCTGTAAGGAAGGATTACAGAAGGCTTATAGGTGACAAAATTTGAGGGGAGTAAGTGTGTATGGTGGAGAATAAAGGACTTTTAGGAGGGAGACCTCTGTCAGAGAGGTCCTTGGACTCAGAAAAGAGCTGGTGGTTTATCTTGGACTCACTGTTTCTTCTCCAAATCCATTGTCCTCCCACCCCCAGCCTCCACCTCTTTAATCTTTCTAGTTCCATTATCTTGCTTACATCTGCCCTGGATGTCTTTCTTCAACTAATTATTGATGCAATTCGCCACACCTCAAATTGGTACAGTACTGTGAAGCATGAAAAGCAATTTCTCATTCATTCATCCAGCTGATGTCCCATGTGTGTGCCCTTGAACTTGGCTAATTGTGATAGACCATAAAGATGGAGCTAAATATTACCCTTATAAAGTTTGCAATATGCTTGGGGACTCCTGAAATTTATAAGACAAAGTCCCAGTAAAAATGACCAGCAACTGTGCAGTGTTCTGCTGTTTTACTGGACATTCCTAGCTATTATCTTATTTCCAGCCACCACTGTCTCCACACGTCTTTGCTGTTGAACAGTTCAGAAATGTGAAAAATTCTAATTAAAAGCAATTTTAGAGCCAGGAGTTTGGAGAGGCAGAGCGAGGGATAAATAGATGAAGTACAGGGGATTTTTAGGGCAGTGAAACTATTCTGTGTGATACTGTAATGATGGATACATGCCATTATACATTTGTCAAAACCTATAGAACCATACAACACAAAAAGTGAACCCTAATGTAAACTCTAGAATTTAGAGAATAATGTATTGATATTGGCTCATAAATTGTGACACATGTACCACACTAATGTAAGCTGTTAATAATAGGGTAAATTCTGTGTATATGTGTGGTTGTGTGTGTATGGGCACTCTGTAATTTTTGTAAACTTAAAACTGCTCTAAAAATAATCCATTAGTTTAAAAAGTCATGCACAAAATAAATCAGACTTAGACTTGTATGCGTGTGTGTGTGTGTGTGTGTATTGATGTGTGTTTGCATGGTGGAATATGAGTGATGACAGTGGCTTCAGTGACTAGGAAACAGGCATGGGTAGAAGGATGGGAGATAGCACCTGCTGGGGTACATCCACAAGTGCCTTGATAAGTCTACCCGTGAGCATCATCTCATCATCTTCCTGGGGATGAGGAAAACTGGCATCAGACCAGGCGACTCAGAAGATTGGGACAGTTCAGTTCTTCTCCTGGTGTTTAGAAGATCTGTATTTGTTCTGTCTAGATAATGGCAGAGAAGTATGAGTGCAAAAATCCAGACAACGTGACATAAAATGAAAACCAAGACTTTCTAAGGAAAAACTCCACAGAACACTGAAGCTGCTGATGCCTTAAATTCTGCATTCTACTGGCAGGTTTGATCTGTTCACCCATGCACACAGACATCAAAGTAATACCCTTGTCTCTATGATAAGCAGGGATCACATCCAACTGACTGTGGGTAGTGGCTGGGTGAATGGGGGAATCCACATAGTGGGTACTGAGGGAGCAGAAGTAATATGCAAGGGTGTGTAGGTAATATCAGAGTGAGTGTTGGGCATACTTTAATCTTTGAAATAGTATATGGGTAGGTGAAAGTCACGCTTATTTCTGTGGGACATATCTGGAGAATGGTAACATCTACATGCTTATAGGTAATATCCGATTGAATATGGCTTACATTTAAGTTTAGATAATATCTGAGTCACTGTAGTAACATTTGAAAGAGCAAGGGTTAATATCCAACTCTCTGTAGATAACATTTTGTAGGTAACATCTTCAGGAAGCATAGATTACATTCAGAGGTCTACTTGTGAGTAGTGGAATATCCAAATAATGATAGAAATTGCTGACTGAGCAGAAGTAATATCCAAGTATGTATGGGTAGTATTTGAGTACAGATGTTAGATGTTAACATGTTAACTAAATTAAGATGTTAATCTGGGCCAGACATGGTGGCTTATATCTGTAATCCCAGCACTTTGGAAGGCTGAGGTGGGCAGATCTCTTAAGCCAAGGATTTAGAGACCAGCCTGGGCAACATGGAAAAACCCTATCTCTACAAAAAATACAAAAAATTAGCCACTTGTGGTGGCACATGCCTGTAGTCCCAGCTATTTAGGGGGTTGAGGTGGGAGGATCACTTGAGCCTGCGGAGGTCAAGACTGCAATGAGCCATGATCATGCTACTGCACCCCAGCCTGGGCAACAGAGGGAGACTGCCTCAAAAAAAAAAAAAAAAAAAAGATGTTAATCTGAGTAAATGAAATAACTGAGCACCTGAGTGAATGTAAGTAATATTTAAGCTTTTGTGGGTATTATCTGAGTATGTGAGAGTAATATTTGTAATTTTATGGGTAGTATCTGGGAAAAGCTTACTTAAGTGAGCATAGGTAATATCTGGTTGTGTGTGGATAATAATAAAATGAAAGTGAGTAGTGTTTGATGGATGGGTAACACCAAAATGACTTCGGACAATATTAAAGTGAGTGTGGTAACATTTGTCTTTCTGTGGGTACTATCTGAGTGAACATGGGTAATACTCAAGTCTGCATGGATTATATAAGGAGAATAAAGTGGTAACATCCAAATTCCTATTGGTAACATTGGAGTGAACCTGGGTAACCTATGCATCTGCAGGGATAATATCTGAATGAGTGTGGCTGACAGGGTCTCTGTGTGTAACATCTGACTGGCTGGGTAACATCCAAATGTGTGAGGAGCATTTAGATAAGTGAGGCAAATTTTTGCACCTGTGCTCTGAATTGCGTCACATCCCGCTTTCACAGGGAATCTTCTCTATTGACTATCCCCTTTCTTATCTGCACCTTCAATCTTCCTCTCTCGGCCCAATCACCAACAAACATTTTAAAAAGCTCTTGTTTTAAAATGCGTGCACACACACGCGCACACACGTAACAAACCTATGCACATACCCACTCCCCCCTTCCTCAATCTCATGCTATTTTTGGCAATATCCTGCTTTTCTTTCTCTCTCTCTCTCTCTCTCTCTCTCTCTCTCTCTCTCTTTCTTTGCCTACCAGACTTCTTGAAAGTTTTGGCTACATACCTTGGTTCACTTCTCATAACTCCTTCTCTCACCAGTCCAATCTTTAACCTACCATAGTCAAGCCTCAATACCTACAACTCCTAAATATTTTCTTGTTATTGAATGTGAAGGATGCTGTTCTGACTGTCCTGTTTTTTATTTATGTAACTTATGTCAATAGCATTTGATATCACTTACCCCAACCTGCTTGAAACTCTCTTTTTCTTGCTTTCTGGAAGGGCGTAGCTCCTGCCTTTCTGATGGTTTCATCTGAATCTCCTTCATAAATTCTCCTTTCTCTGCCTGGCTTTTAAATAATGGTCTTATGCAGAGTCTTGACCTAGGACCTATTTTCTTCTCATTCTATACAAAATTTTATGATTTTAACTATTCTCGGGGCTTCTACATCCTGTAGGCAAAGACCTTCTTCAAGTCTGTATTTCCACCTCAGACCTCTCCTGTAAGTTCCAGACCCCTGGATTCAACAGCTTACTAGGTAACCTCACCTGGATGCCCCACTAACATTTAAACTCAATGGGTTCCAAACTGAATTTATAATTCCCTCTTCCAAACCTGTTTCTGCTGTTTTGTTATCTTTCTCATTGTATACAATTGCTATAGCACCAATATCCATTCAGTTGTCCAAGTTAGAAATCTGAATGTCATCCCTTGACCTCTTCCATCCTCTCTGCTTCTAATCTGTTGATTCCATTTCCAGAAGAGGCTCTCAAATCTATCCACCTCTCTCCATCTCCCTTGCCATTACCTTAGTCTCAGCTAGCATCATCTTTCACCCAGAACAGTGTAATATAGTAACCTTGTAAAGTATCCCCCTGCCTTCCATCTTATGTCTTCCAATCCGTTCTCCACATTATAGAACTAATCCTGGTAGTACTACCGAATCTTTTAGTAGTTCCTATTGCCCTCGGGAGAAAGTCCATGTTCCATGGTCAGGCCTAGCAGGCTCTCTGCAAACCCTCTAGGCTGGTCTCCAGCCTGTTCATTATTCCCTTCTTAAGATATATGTTCTAGTCACTCAAAACTATGTCACAGTGGATAAAAGTGCCATGAATTCAAACTTTGAGCTTCTTATACATCTTGTCCTTTTATTTGGGATGCTTTCTGCCTCTTCTGCCCGTTCACTTGGCTGGCTCTCCCATATGTATATGTGTGTGTGTGTGTGTGTGTGTGTGTGTGTGTGTGTATATATATTTTTTTTTTTTTTTTTTTTTGCCAACAGGAAGCTTAGAGCCAGCCTCCCTAATTTTTTTGACTTTGTAGCTCATTTCCTCAAGAGGCCAACTTTAATTCTCAAGGAGGCTGGGCTGGGCTAGAGGTGTTCCACTTGTGTTCCCACTATCTTTTCCCTGTCAAGGCTCTTCCACTTTGTGCTGCAATCCCCTGCTTTTCTGTCTCGCCCATTAAACTTTGAGCTCTGTGAAGTAGGAATTGTGTCGGTTTTGTTCAACTTACATTCCCACTGCCTAGCACAATCTCTGGTTCAATAAATATTGGCTGAATGACAGAATCCAAGTGTGAGTGTGTAACAACTCGGCTGAGAAAGCATAGATTATTTCGTGGGGTAAATAAATACTTGGATTACAATTTATTCCAACTTTCCCTTTTTGAGTTTAGAAAAATTTCCTTCTGCTTAACATTGCTCCTTCACCTAGAATCCCACTCCTTCCTTTTCTGCCTACTCAACTTCAAGACCCAGCTCTAAGGTTCTAGCCTCTGTGAAGTTCTTTTGGTGCCCACAGTTTAGACCCTTTCATGGGACTTCCATTGTGTCTGTGATTTTTCCATTTGCTTGGTTTCTCTCTGCACTTGGCTATGGGCCATGAGGGTCCAGACTGGGTCTAGTTTGCCCTGTGCCCCCAGCACCTAGCCTAGGGCTGGAGAGAGAGCTTGGAAGATAGCTGGAGACATTACTTGCAGACAAAGAGAGAGGGCACAGAGCCTCGAAAGCTCCAACTAGGGAGGCAGAGGGGTTTGAGAAGGAGTGAAATGGAGGCAGGCAGCTCTAAGGAGCATCCCCTAGTGTCCAGCCTAATTCAGATTTGAGGATCTTTTTTGGGATGGCTGGGGGCTGGGGTGTCAGATGTGATCACAACTTCAGCTTCGCATTCAAGCTTTCCAGAGTGCTCCCTCCCTCAACCAGCCCCCTTCTTTTCCCAGTCCTGCCTTCCTTTCTTCCTTCCCTTCTCTGTTGTGGCTCTGTGAACTGGATGTAAGAGGGAAAAGGAGATCTGCAGGGTTGGCAAGAGGAGGTCCTCGCCTTCTGACTGGTGTCTAGGAGGGGCTGCGTGTTGGGGAAGGGGCTGTGCTTTGGGGTGAGCAGGGGCTCTAGGTGTATTCAGGGGACCAGGATGTGAAGGAGTTCCGACCAGGTGGTGTGAAGCTGTGATGAAGTTGTAGGCTGTGGGGGTGAAGGTGTGAGGGGAGCTGTTTGGGGGCTGAGGGAGTACTATGAGAGGCACGGTGTGGACGTTTGAGAAGGTAGTGTGGAGCTCGTTGGGGGGACTCTATTAGTGTTCTGGGGTACAGTGAGAAATAGCTTGTGGGGGGGGCTGAGGGAGGCACCCACCTCGTGTCCCGGCTCCGCGAATGCGAGGGGGCTCGCAGCTGAGGTTGCCCACACTGCTGCTGTTGAGGAGAGGCGCCCCCGGGCGGCACAGGGAAGCCCCCGGCCCGGGTCCGGTTCCCTGCACGCTCCGGTTCAGCTTTAGCAGCTCCATGGCCCCCGCCGAGCCCGCCGCCTTACTCAGCTCGACCCGGCGGGCTCCCAACGCGGCTCCACCTGCTCACGCTGCGATTCCGGCTCAGGCTCCCGCCGCCCTCCTCTCCCTGCCCCCTGCCCCGCCTGGTCCCCGCCCCCAGCCCAGGCGCCTGCCCTCCACTCTCCCGCGGCTCGCCCCGCCTGGGTTCCCGTCCCTCCGCCAGCCTCTGTCCCGCCAGGTGACTGTGCACCCCCTCCCTGGCTCGGGAGTTCTGCCCCTCCCTGTGCGACTGTCCTCCAGGCTCGCCCCCTCCCTAGATGTGTCCCGTCTCCTCTTAGAGATTTCTCTCCTGCCCACCTCTCTTTATCACCCGCCCCCACCCCCGATTCCCAGGAATGAGAGAGAGAGAGAGAGAGAGAGAGAGAGAGAGAGAGAGAGAGAGAGATTGAAGACAAGAGTATTGGCAGCGTAGGGGGAGGTTTCGGGGAAGGGAGGGTAGGAGGGGTTGGGTAGAGACGGCTGCCACGGATCCAGCATCTTTCTCTGGTGTATCAGGGAACGTGGAGGTGGCGTTGGAGACCAGGTCTGCGTGCGTCACCTGCTGAGGCGCGGATGCTTTAGTCTGAGCCTAGAGCCGCATTTACCGTACTGTGTTGCAGTGGCCGCAGTGACCGTGACACTATTGCTACCGTAGTTCCCTGCAGCTCCTCGCTGCGGGCCTGGGGTAGCTCCTGCATCTGTCTCCGCACCCTCCATCTCCTGTCTGAGGCTTAACACTCAGGCTTGCACTTAAGGGTCCCAAGGAGCCCTCCACAGCTGGGCGGGAGTGGGGGTGGGGCCGGGGCCGAGATTTGGCTCCAGGGAAGCCTTGCCAGGGAAAAGGGCTCCCGGGAGGAAGCTTCTGACTTGAGTGTTGAGGGCAGTTGGGGGTGGTGGCAAGCACTGACAAGGATAAACCAGAGTAAGGTGAGGATGGGATATAATTCTAACGCCGGCCCAGCGCAGGCAAAAGAGAAGGAGAAGGTTGGCTTTCTCCACCGTCTCCAGGCAGCGCCCACGCCCACCCGACACGCTAACGCTCCCTGTTTGCTCTCAGTGCAGGCAGAGCTGCCTGTGTAGGGTGTCAGGTTCCCACGAGAGGGGGCTAGAAGGGGACTGGGTCACTGCGGTGCAGCGGGAACAGGGCTGAAGGGTGCAGGACTGAACTGGGTTCAGCTTCTCGGGGCAGGATTTGCCTCTTCTACTATTTCAGCCCTGCTCCCTATGCATTCTCCTATCCATTCCTTTTCTTCCCCAGATTCCTATCTCCAGATTCCTATCTCCAGATTCCTATCCATTCTTCAGATTCCGGATGAACTCCAATACGATGTGAAATTCTTCTGACCCCCAGCAGTAGCTGTAAGAGGTTGGGGGCGGGCATCAGTGGAAGAGCAAATTAGAGAATGGAGTCTGGCTTTATGGGGGATTCAGCAGGCCCTTATCCAATTAATCTTTTGGAGAGGACCTGGTTCAGCCAGCCCTGAGTTTATAGGGGCTGAAGCATTGAAAGAGAGTTGAAAGACAGTTTATGCCTGAGATGTCATCAACTGCTCCCCCTTTCCTTCCTCCTGGTACTGCCTGTCTTGCCCATCAGAGAGCCTGGACCAGAGGAGCTTGATTTGCTATTTGTTCCGCTCCAGCACAGGTGGGGCCTCAGATAACCTGCTCAAGTTTTCCCACATTGGATGACAGTACGATGAGGAGGGAAGGGAGCAAAGGATGTAAGGGAGAGGGGAGTGAAAATAGAAATAGATGGACATTCACTTATTTAGCAAACTATGCCAGTTCTAGGGGTATGCACTAGTTGTCCAATATAGTTTGCCCCTCAGTAGCACCTACTCTAGTGGGATTTTCCCAAGCAAGCCAATGATTGTAATATATGGTCGTTAAGTGCACCCACCAGGATGTACAAATCAGAAATTTAGGAATTATTATTGATGCCTTACTCCCCTATGCTCCTTCACCCCTGCGCTGGATGCTGTGATGCAAAGCCCAGAACCCTCTTCAAAAATGGAGGATTTATTTTCCAGCTGTGGAGAGTGCTCCTAAAAGATGGCCCTCAGCTGTCATAACCCTTCAGGAGTTGCCTAAGCAGAAGAAAGCCAGCTCATCCAAGGTTATGCTCCCTTTCTTGGGCATTCTATATCCAATGACCGATCAGCACAGAGGTATAAAAGTTTAATCCCCTCAACCCAGTGGTGGACAACTCTGAAAGATGCTCACACCCCTAGAACCCTTCATATGGTTGACTGAGGTCTTTGCTGGGACTGAATTACTACTCAGCTTCTCCTTTTGCCCAATCCTATTTTCATCCTCTCTCTTGCACAGGTGTTAACTCCAAGAACGCTCCTTAGTAAACATCCTCCACAGTAATCTTTGTTTGAGAGTCTGCTTCCTGGGGAACATAACTACATCACTCCCATATTGAATCAATCACAAAGTCCTGTTCATTTTAGCTACTGAGTGTTCCTTGAATCTGCCTGCTTATATGTCCACTGATATTACCCTACTCTTGAACCACACTCCTAACCTCCTAAATGGGCCACCACATTTTACTGATGCCTCTCTACATCTATACTTCACCTTAAAGCCGAAGTACTATGCTCAGAATACAAATCTGACTATCCCACTCTTTTGACCTTTGCTTTTGGGAATGAGAAAACATATTAACAGAATTTAGAAAGCCTGTGAGGCCTGGCTCCCACTTACCTCTCTAGCCACATTATTTCAAATCACATTATTTCAAATAAGAGTCACAATGATTCTTATTCTCTCCACTGTAAACACATTAGCCTTTTTTTGGTCACTCCTTCTTTTTTCTCTTTTATTTTTCTTTTTTCTTTTCTTTTTTTTTTTTTTTTTTTTTGCTATATGTCCTTCAGTTGCATGACTTTTCCATATGCTCTCTGGAAGCTTCTTCTTTCCTTCCTTACCTAGTTAACACTTACTCATCCATCTGATCTCAGCTCAAGCTACGATTCTTCAGGGATATTTCCCCTGGCTTCCTCTCCTTGGGTAGGCAGAATTAGAAGATGACCACCAATGACTGTCACCCTTATATAATCTTCTTTTGTGTGTGGATGGACCTGTGCATATGATGAGATACTACTCCCACAATTATGTTATATGGCAAAAGGGATTTTGCAGATGGAGTTAATTCTACTAATCAGTTGATCTCAAGATAGACAGATTATCTGGCTAGTCCTAACCAAGTCACATGAGTTCTTTAAAAGCCAAGGGTTCTTTTTTTCTTGCTGGTAGCAGAAGAGGAAATCAAAGAGATTGGAAGAATGAGAAGAATTCAACACACTGTTGATAGCTTGAAGATGGAGGGGATAATGTGGCAAGGAACGAATGGTGGCTGTTTTCTGGCTCGAGGGTGAAGGAGGGCACAGGACAAGCCCTGAGAGTGGCCTCTAGTTGACAGCAGTCTCTAGCTGACAGCCAGCAAAAGAACAGAGACTTCAGTCCTCCCCCGAGTCTGTAGAAGAGAATTCAGTCTGGCTGAAACCTTGATTTCTGATACCCTGAGCAGAGAACCCAGCCACACTGTGTAGACCTCTGGCCAATAGATCTGTGAGCTAATAAATGGGTGTTGTTTTTAGCCACTACATTCATGGTAATTTATTACAACAGCAACAGACAAATCATACACCTTCTATCTCATGAGGCAGCAAATGCAGACTCTTGCAAGCCATGCAAGGAAGAATTGGGAGCATTGGAAATTTGTTAAGATTTAGAAAGATTTGGAAAGATTGCAGTGGAGTTAGTGTGGGGAGCAACTTAAAAGGTGGGACCAATTGGGAGTCTATGACAGTAATTTGGGTGAGAGATGGTAGTGGCTTGACCTAAAGTCATGGACGTAGTGGAAAAGATTGATCTAAGACCTATCTAGGAGGTAGAAACAGAATTTAAAGATAATTTGCATGTGGAGGGTGAGAAAGAAGGATGAGATAAAAAATGAATAAGGTTTCTGGTAACTCAATATAAACTATTTGATGATCACCTATGATGTTCAAGGCACATTACCTGTAAGTACATTTAATCTTCATGAAGAACCATGAATTTAGGTCCAATATTGTTGATCACTATTTTAGATGAAAAAACTATGGCTTAGAGAGAGTTTAAGTAACTTGCCCAAAGCCACAAAGCTACTAGGTGAAAGAGCCAGAAGTCAAAGTCAGGGATTTTGGAAATCAGAATTCAGTTGTTCATACTGTGCTGCTTAGAATGAGTAGATGTCTTACCAAATTTCCCTGATTACCTTCTTTCTCTCATTTTACACAATATTGTTTTTAAATTTTCTCGTCTCATAAAATCTCTAATTTCTTCTCCCACCCTGACACACACACACACACACACACACACACACACAGAGACACAGAGCATTCTTCACTCTCAACCTAGACTCCAACTTCATAGAGAAAATAGTAACTAGCACAGAGAAACTCCCACCATCAAATCTGTTCTGTTTTGGACATATTAAGTTTCAGATGTCTATTAGATACCTAAGTAGAATTCCATTAGGAAGCTAAATATACAGATCATATAGGAAGTAATGCAAACCACAGAATTAGAGTGTGTAGAATAAGAACAAATGAAGGATCAAGTCAGACTTTTAGAGGTCATTATTAAAGACTGGATAGAGAAAGATGAGCCTGCAAAAGACACCAAGAAAGAGTAGACAGAGGGACAGGAGGAAACCCAGAGAGTGAAGCATCATAAAAGCTAAAAGAGAAGAGGTGCAAGAAGAAACTGGTGAACTCATTCAAATGCTGCTCCTGGGTAAGCAAAATGAGGAATGAGAAATGTGGTCCAAAATTAGTAACCTGGAGATCTTTGGCAACCTTAGAAAGAGCCATTTTAGTGAGGTTGTTGAGGCAGAAGGCAGGGTAGATGTCCTGAAAACTGAATATGGTGGGAAGAAGTGGAGTAAATGACTTCAGACAAGTTTTTAAGAAATGTAGTTACTAAGGAAAGGGGATAGAGCTGCAAGAGGATGTCAAATGAAAGATTTTTTTTTTTAAGATGGGTGGACTTGAACTTTCTTTTCTTTCTTTCTCTCTTTCTTCCTTTCTTTCTTTCTCTTTTTTTCATTTTTTTGGCAGATGGAATTACTCCAATATATAAAAAGACTAAAGATACAGGAGAATGGCTAATTAATAATGCAAGGTTCCTGAGAAGTCAGGGATGTATGCAATCCAGAGCGGAAGTGGAGGATCCTAGCTTTTGATTGCAGTAGAGACTCAATTGTGAGAGGAAATTAGTAGAAAAAGATGATTATAGATGAAAATAAGTTATGGCCTACAAATTAACCGCTACATTTCCTAGACCTTTTTGCAGCTAAGTGCAAAAAATGCACACTATGACTAGGTAGTGTCTGTAGGTAGAAGTGATATGTGCAGCTTCCACATCAAGGTCTTAAAGGAGAGAAATGGACCTTCTCTTCCTCTTTGCCCCTATGGGAGGGCAATAGGAATGTAAATAGGAAAGCAAGCCACCTTCAATCATGCAGTGAGGGTAACATATTAGGGATGGCAGAGTGACAAAATGGAAGGAGTCTGGGTCTCCTATACTCTCAAACCATTTTATCATCCCTGATTCTTCTGCATGAAAAAGAAACTGCAGTCTTAACTCGTTACAGTTTTTTTCCTCTATTGTCAGGGCAACCTAACCTGCATCTTAACTGAGACAGTTGTTTGTAGATTTGGTAGGGAGCTGCTGTCTGATAGTTTTTATTTTTGCTATGGAGTTGGAGATCTGGTTATCAGAGAGTGGTGTGTGTGTGTTTGTGTGTGTGCGTGTGATGAAAATTTTTAGTAGTCAAGATGGTTTAAGAAAACAATATATAATGGGAGAAGGGAAAAGGAGACCTGAGGAATGTAGTGAAATAATAGGAAAATACTGAGGGCCCACTTAAGGGGTGATGACTACAAATTTCTAGTGGGATCAATTTCTCAGCAGAGCTCAGCTGGTTGGATGCAAGCAAGGAGAATGTTGATGGTTTGGTTCATCCAAAGTTGGAATTTTACCAGATGAATGGAATGGCAAAATAAAGGGACAAGTGTGAAAAAACGGGCCATAAAATCTCAGCTGGACATGGAGAAGAGAGAATTATATTCCAAGGGTCTGGCTCCTGCCCTTGTTATTGTATTTGGAGATAGGGCCTTTAAAGAAGTAATTAAAGTTAAATAAAGTTATAAGGGTGGGGCTAGAACTGTTGTCATTACAAGATGGGGAAGAGGCACCAGATATCTTGTGATCCACCATTTCCCTCATCCCCTGCCACCTCTTCCCCCTGCAAGCCACACACAGGGGAAAGACCATGTGAGGATGCTTTCTGCAGGCCAAGAAGAGAGCCCTCACCAGAAACTGAATGTGTTGGTACCTTGATCTGGGTCTTCTAGGCTCTAGAACTGTGAGAAAATAAATTTCTGTTGTTTAAGTCATCCAGTCTGTGGTGTCTTGCTGTGGCAGCCTGAGCTGACTAATACATGTCCCTCTCTCCAATAGTTTCTCAGACTTCTCGTCACACTACTGTCATTACTTACTTTCTATCTTTTGTTTACTCTCACACCCAAACACTGGCTCTAGCTGGATGGTCACACTTGGCTTCAGGAGCCTCAAATATCTTATATTTTCCTTGTGGATGCCAAGTTTTCATCATCTTTGTATCTTGCCCATATTCTCCCCTCTAACTAAATGCAGATGGGTTATGGAAGGTGAGGGCTAGGAGATGGCATGTGTAGATTGATTTCAAGATGTTTTGTAAAAGGGAAAATAAAAAACAAGTAATAGCTATAGTGAAGAAGGGAGGGGGAGCAGAGGATGGAGGGGAAAGGAATGAAAATGTAGTGCTAAAAGGGTATAACTCATTTCTCGAAATCATGAAATTCCATCTATACTTCCTTTGCTAGACATAAGCCAGCATTTTGGAGAGAATGGGATATCTCAGGGCAAGAAAATAGGGATGCTTTAGATCGGAGTAAGGAAGGAATTGCAAAGCCAATGTGGGCAAAGGCATATGAAAGAGACTTGGACCCTTGTCCAGGAACAAGTCAGAAAACTAAGAGGTCAAGGAAGCACATGCAAGAGGTCCTGAAGTAGGCCTGGGCTCAGTCCTGAGGGAATCTGTCTTTCTAACTCAAGCTTTGACCTGCCAAGGTTGTTTGTTATTTGGTTTTAGTTTTGGTTTTGGTTTTTTAGAGGGGGATTTTGGACCACCTAGCTTGACTCTTGTAGCTAGAACAATTTACTTTCCCTTTTGGGAAGTCTCAATCTCCCATGGTACTGCCCCATTGGCCCAAATGTGGGCACACGATCCTTCTTTCAATACTCTATATCACAACTGAGATAAGAGGGGAACATTGAAATAAAACTTCAGTAAATATTCATGGGAAACAACCGCAGAGAGCAGAACCTACTGCCTCATGCACAGTGCCAGATAAGCTGCTTTATAAGGGACTGCTTATTCTAGGTAGCTTGCAAGGTCCACAAAATATCAGTGCTTTAACCAGGAAACCCAGTGTTTACATTCCCAGTAGTGTGAGGGTCATGTAATACGCTCTGCCTCCAGCACTCCTGGTTCTGACGCACACACGTGCAGCTGAGGTCTGGCGCTAGGAGAGAAATCAGCTACAGTTTAGTCCTTGGGGTGCCCAGCTTGCCCTTTTCCCCATTGGCTCAGCCCCGCCCTCTGTGTCTGATTAGGCCACCTTCTCCTTATATCTTTCAAGGCCTTCTGTTCTCTGCATTTCTATGACATGCAGACTTGCTTCTGTGCTGAGCTCCTGCCCACACATTCCCTGCCCAAACAGGAGGCCCTTCTCTTGGGATGATTAAACAGAGGAAGCCAGCTGAGAAGGCAGATGGGCTAGAGCCAGAGCAGGCAGGGCTATTGAGCAGACGAAAGAAACCAGGACAAGGACTGGCCTTTCAGAAGCCTGGGGCTTGTGCTGGGGAAGAGCAGAGGCACCCATTCAGGGGCTGGCTCTGGCTGGATACTTGACTTCAGATGTAGACCCTCACGGGTAGGCCAAGAGAGGCCTAGATCTCCCAGGTCAGGGCCTCATTCAAAGGTTGAGAAAGCCAACAGGAGGTCATTCCGAGAGAAGGCTTCCATGAATGCATACAAGCTAATAGCCTCTGGGGCCCTGTCTGTTGGACATACTGGTGAAGAAAAGGCTGAGGACAACAGGCCAAGGTATGGGGACTGAAAAGGTGAAGACAGACACAGAGAGGGTTCATGTGAACTAGTGGTGAGAAGCACAAAGAATTTTCAAACTTTGGTGAGGGGCTGTCTGAATGTTCCCAGTCATTCAGTGGTGCTGACTGCGACAGGGCTGCTTTAGGCTCTGATTAGCACATCCTCTTCAGTAACGTCATTCAGCATTACCACTGATATATTTCAGTCATTGTGAAAAAAGCTTAAACAAGAGCAGTTGAGATCACAATTCCCCAACGTTGTTCCCTGTCCCTAAGATTCCATTTCTCCCTGAGAAATTCTCCAAGCTTTTCAAGGCAATGTAATCCAAAGGCCTGGGAGTGAGCTGGAAGGAAGGAAGGAAGAAGTGCCTTCTGCTCTCTGCTGGTCAGACCTGGTATTGCCTGCACAACCTGGAAGCCCCGCCAGAGGCCTGGGACAAGCAGAGCAGGACAACCTGTGCCCAGGGCCCTCAAAGACACAATAGCTGCTAGAGGGACACGAGTAATAGTCATAGCTACTGTTAATTACTAAGAAATTATCACCGTCTAGGCACTAGTAGGCAGTTTACATTCATTATCTTGTTTAGATTTTTAAATCTTCAGCATTTCTCTAAACAACCCTGAAAGATTTTGAGGAAGAGGCTGAGAGCCCCCCAGCTAGGAAGTGATGTTTCAGAACTAAAATACAAGTCTAGTTGGCACCTAATGCATGCTGTTTTCTATATGTTTTTTTTTTTTTTTTTTTTTTTTTTTTTTTTTGAGACGGAGTCTCGCTCTGTCGCCCAGGCTGGAGTGCAGTGGCGGGATCTCGGCTCACTGCAAGCTCCGCCTCCCGGGTTCACGCCATTCTCCTGCCTCAGCCTCCCAAGTAGCTGGGACTACAGGCGCCCGCCACTACGCCCGGCTAATTTTTTGTATTTTTAGTAGAGACGGGGTTTCACCATTTTAGCCGGGATGGTCTCGATCTCCTGACCTCGTGATCCGCCCGCCTCGGCCTCCCAAAGTGCTGGGATTACAGGCGTGAGCCACCGCGCCCGGCCTATATGTTGTTTTTTAAGGCCAGCCTAACATTTGCCCTGACGTGGGTCATGGCTCTGATCCCAGCTCTAACCCAGCTTGACCACCACCTCTGATCCTAGCCTCAAGCCAAACTCCAGCTTAACCCAAACTAGAATCCTCCCACCCTGCCTCCTGCTTCTGGCTCCTAGTGTTTGCACTAGGAGCAAACACTCCACTGGATTGAATGGCCCCTTTCCCTAGGAATCTGATTTCCTCCCAAGCTTGATACTTTATTTCCATCTGCCTTATGGGGCTAGCAGCCAAACCCCAAGAAAGAAAGGGTGGGGTGTGGTGGGTCCAAGAAGATTCTGTGGGGGAGTAGCTAACTGGGAACACCAAGGAGGAGTCTACATCCCAAATCTTAGTCAGGCTGAGGTTTCCTAAGGACCCAAGGAAATAAGTAAGTGAGGCCCCAGGTCCTGTAGGAGGGAACAGAGCTAAGCCCAAAGTAGTGGGGCTCTCAGAAGGAAGGCCCTAGAACAGTCTTGACACCTCTGTAGAAATCTAGCCGTGGCTCTCAAACTCCTGCCCTCCTCTCACAGCTGTATTTTGTGCAGATCCTGGAGCTCTTATCCAGAGTAGCTGGTAGTCCTTTATCTTTGCTGGCAGGCAGCCTCGCCAGTGACTCACAAGCTTTCGCTGGCACAGCTGGCTTCTTCCCCCTGGTTACTGCAATTACTGCCTCTGATAGTCATTCTCAAGAAGGGAAGAGCTTGCTTGGCCCTGGCCTCAAACCAGGTGATTCCTTTCCTTATCTCCCTAAAAGATAAGACCTGGGCTTCATTCCATGTGACTTAGGGACCTGTGATATTGGGCAAGTTATCTAATCCCAGAATCTTGGTTTCCTCATCTCAAAATGGGGTAATGATGACATCTTTCTCATATAGTTTTAGGATCGAGACTGTGCACTTAACCCAGGATCTGGCATAAAGTAACTTCTCAATAAATCCGATCTAATATCTTTAGTGGCTCTGTGGGCTTCAGATTCCTGATCTGGAAAGAGGAGCATCATCACCACATCATCAGCATCATCAGCATCATAGAATTAATAATAATTTAAATTTCCTCACATTGTTTTAAGAACCAAATCAGATAATACATGTAGAGCAGTTTGTGAATTATTCCACAACAGTGTGTAAAAAATTAGACATTTGATTGTCTAAATCAGATAATTCTCATTTAAACTTTTAAATACTTTATGAAAGATCTATCTATCTATCTATCATTTCAATAGCTTTGGGGGTACAAGTGGTTTTTGGTCACATGGTTAAGTTCCTCAGTGGTAATTTCTGAGATTTTAGTGCACCCATCATCTGAGCAGTGTACACTGTACCCAATATATAGTCTTTTATCCCTCACCCGCTCCCAACCTTCCCCTTGAGTCCCCAAAGTCGATTATATCACTCTTATGCATCCTCATAGCTTAGCTTCCACTTGTGAGAAATACAATATTTAGTTTTCTATTCCTGAGTTACTTCATTTAGAATAATAGTCTTCAGCTCCATCCAAGCTGCCAAAGACATTATTTTGTTCCTTTTTATGGCTGAGTAGTATTCCATGGCATATACATACCACATTTTCTTTCTTTTCTTTCTTTCTTTCTTTTTTTTTTGAGACAGAGTCTCCCTCTGTTGCCCAGGCCAGAGTGCAGTGGCATGATCTTGGCTCACTGCAACCTTCACCTCCCGGGTTCAAGCTATTCTCTTGCCTCAGCCTCCAGAGTATCTTGGATTACAGGTGTGTGCCACAATGCCCAGCTATTTTTTTTAATTTTTAGTAGACATGGGGTTTCACCATGTTGGCCAGGCTGGTCTCAAACTCCTGGTCTCAAGTGATCTGTCCACCTCCACCTCCCAAAGTGTTGGGATTACAGGCATAAGCCACCGCGCCCAGCCTTACATACCTTATTTTCTTTATCCATTTGTTGGTTGATGGGCGCTTAGGTTGGTTCCATATCTTTGCAATTGTGAAATGTGCTGCTATAAACATGTGTGTGCATGTGTCTTTTTCATATAATGACTTCTTTTCCTTTGGGTAGATACCCAGTAGTAAGATTGCTGGATCAAATGGTAGTTCTACTTTTAATTCTTTAAGGAATCTCCATACTGTTTTCACTATGTGGGAGATTTAATCTCAGTTGTGTTTTGGGCTTTCTTCCCACTCTCTTTCCCAATTTAGGGCCTTGCGAAAGTCTCTGGGGCTTTTATGTTGAACAGAACATCTGGGGCAGGGCCTCTGGTCTTTGGAGCATGCTGATAATGCTGGTATGTGCCTTGTTCAAGCCTGCACACTTCTAGGGGATGCTGCTCTGAGTCTCCAGTACCTGTTCCAGCATAGTGATCATTCTCCAGTTCTTTCCAAAGACTCAACTCTTAGTGTTCCCTATTTTGGCCCCTCATAGAAAGTGGAGTCTAGGCTGCTTTTTTCCCTTAGAAATCCTGTGGTAGAATTTTGACTTCTATTACTTTTGCCCTCTGATGTTATTCCCAGGGTTATGGCAAAAGGGACATTGAGAAGGTAATTAAGTTAGTTAATAATTAGTTGATCTTAAAATAGGGAGATTATTCTGGATTATTTAGATGAACCTACTCTAATCAGATGAACCCTAAAAAGGAGAGATCTTTCTTAGCCTGGTAGTAGAAGGGGGAAATTAGAGATTTGAAGAATGAGGAAGATTTCATATGCCTTTGTTGACTTGAAGATGAAGGGGCCATGTGTCAAGGAATCAGAGATCTTTGTCCTACAGTCAATGGAATTGAATTCTGCTAACAACTTGAATGAACTTGGAGGCAGATTCTTCCCTATAGTCTCCAGGTAACAGCCTAGTCCATCTGACACCTTGATTTCAGCATTTGGAGGCCCCGAACAGAGGTCTAGTTGACTGACACTGGCTTGGATTTTTCTAACTCACAGAACTGTGAGAATAAATGGGTACTGTTTTAAGCTGTTAAATTTGTGGTAATATGTTACAGCAGCAAAAAAACAAAACAAAACAAAACAAAACAAAAACCCCACAAAAAACTAATATAACTGTCAAGAATCTCATTCCTTTTCCTTGTCTTAGGGAATCTCCCCTTGTCAGAAGAAACTTCCGCTTCTTAAACTCTTCTTAAGCTCTCACAGACAACAGGGCACATTTTACCCCTAACTCCATCGTTAGTGAAATCCTAGGAGCCCTATTTTTCAAAAACAAAATCTTGGCTGAGCATAGTGGCCCACACCTGTAATCCCAGCACTTTGAGAAGCAAAATCAGGCAGATCTCTTGAGTCCAGGAGTTTAAGACCAGCCTGGGCAACATGGCAAAACCCCCATCTCTACAAAAAACGCAAAAATTAGTCAGGCATGGTGGTGCACACCTGTGGTCCCAGCCACTTGGGAGGCTGTGGTGGGAGGACTGCTTGAGCCAGGGAGGTAGAGGTTGCAATGAGCCAAGATAGCACCACTGCACTACAGCCTGAGCAACAGAGTGAAACCTGTCTCAAAAACAAAACAAAACAAAACAAACTCCAAGACTCCCACAAAATCTCTGGCAAAAAGTTTCTGTCAATTTCTGTTTCTGATCCTATAATTCAAAAAGCTGTAACTTTTTTTTTTTTTTTGAGACAGAGTCTTGCTCTGTCGCCCAGGCTAGAGTGCAGTGGCGCGATCTTGGCTCACTGCAAGCTCCGCCTCCCGGGTTCACGCCATTCTCCTGAGTCAGCCTCCCCAGTAGCTGGGACTACAGGTGCCCGCGACCATGCCCAGCTAATTTTTTTTTTTTGTATTCAGGGTTTCACCATGTTAGCCAGGATGGTCTCGATCTCCTGACCTCGTGATCCGCCCGTCTTGGCCTCCCAAAGTGCTGGGATTACAGGCGTGAGCCACCGGACCTGGCCAAAAGCTTTAACTTTTAAGTGATGCAAAGATTTAGGTCCTTTCTTATGATGGGAGGAGGGATAAAATTAACAAAACCCAAATGAAAATTTTAATAAAATTTTTGGCCACATTTGTAAGTGTATAGCCTAGTGCTTGATACACATTAGTTAATATTCTTTGGACTAAAAGAATTTATTATTATTTCTTGATTATTCCAGGAACTTAAAATTGTGTTCAGTTCTGAATATCCTGACCTAATTTTACCCAGCTTGATCCCAAATTGTCCAAATATTGTCTTCAACAGAGTGATAAAAACAATTCTACAACTAGAGGACCTCAGAAAGCAACTGATGCTATTCAAGGTATCTTATGATATGGTGGCTCCACCATGAAGATTCTGATCTCCTCATCCTGGAATAGCAGAGGCAGAGCAAAATGGATAGCTGGCCCTTTGAGAGTTTTGTTTCTGCAATCATAAAATGCCAGATAACCAGTTATCACCCTGCTAGTGCTATAGACCAGGATTAGATGGCGTGGCAGAGGCCAGCTTTTCCAAGACAGCCTTCGCTGGGGATAGGTGTGCACATTGTAATATGTCAGTGAAAAACTTGTTCTCAACTCCCTAAATCCATCAGATGCCACCCAAATGGCCTTTATGATGTACCCATCCATTCTAGTTCAAGATGATATGAGGGCAGAGATGATAGAAAAACCTCTCAAGAAATTGACACACATCTTCCTTCAACATTTGTCCTCTATCTGCTTCAACTCTCTCTTCTTTGGTTACCAAATATATATTTGGGTACTTACTAGATGCCAGGCACAACCCTGGGGACACAAAGATGAACAAGAAAAACCCAGTGTTGGTCTTGTGGATCTTATATTTTGTGAGAAGGACATATTACAAAAAAACTATGTATTTTAAGATGATTTAAAGTGTGATTACCCTCATAATCTCCCCTGAGAGTAGAGACACATCACTCAGTTATATCTATAAGTTAAATCCTGGATACCTTTTAAACTACTACTTGGCACAGCTCAGACTTCAAGACTGGCCAGGCCCTGGAGGAGCGCAGTGGTGACTCAGGGTGAATCTGGTTCAGACATGATACCAGACTCCTCCCCATAGAACCTATGATATCTTTCCTGCCCCAAGTGCAGACCTCCTTCCAAGTACACCAGATTTAACTCCAAAATTCCCAACACCCTCATCTCTAATTGCCTCTGACCGTAATATTCCATTGCACCTAGTTTCTACTCTCCCCTATATTTTGGAATACTGTGCAAAGAAGAAGGGCTGGATTTCCACCAGCACCAACACCAGTTCCAACAACTGTCATGGTAGGGCTGGGCCAGGTGAACGGTCCTGTTGGAACTATTCACCCTCTTTCTGTTGGGAGAATGGAATTATTCTCCTCTTGGAATCAGCCCTGAACACAGGGAAGCCCTGGATCCAGGCTCCAGGGCTGGCCAGAGGGAAGAAAAAGAAGAAGTATCTGCTCGGGCCCTTTTAACTAGATGAAACCCCTCAGAGCTTATAAATCGAGAACATATGCTCCGGTGTGGGATGCAAAGGCCAGTGTGCATGGGCACTCTTACAGCAGTGTGATGTGAGAGCCTGCTTTGCCTAGGCTGAGTATTGATTCTCTATTCTTCAGGTACCTCGTCTCTGACTCTAACCCACTAGCTACTACACAGTTCATGCTCATCACCTCTTTGACTCAGAATTCAGGCTTCAGACTTCAGAATTCAGACAGAATCCATCCTGGCCCACCATTGACTTTGCCTTTTCTTTCCAGCCCCATAAATGCTTAGGGAGGAGGCAAATACTTTATTGAAGTGCAACTTTCAGGGTATACTTGTGAATCGCCCATATGGGAAACATTCAAAAGACATCTTAGACCTAGAGGGCTCAGGGTGTGCTTTTGTGTTTTCACAAGTGTGTGCACACCTGTGAAGGGCATCTGTGTCTATCAGTGTATGACTGTCAGCATATGTGTGTTTAGGAGGTGCATGACTGAATGTGTATATATTATGTGGGTGTAAGATACATCGGTGCTTGTGAGAAAGCATGTGTGCTGTGTGCTCTGAGAATGGAAATTCCAGAGCATTTTAGATGGAATGCACAGTCTTGGGGCCAACAGGTCTATGAGCAAATGTGTGTGTGTGTGTGTGTGTGTGTGTGTGTGTGTGTGTGTGTGTACTGGTAAGTGGGGGCTGAATGTGCGTTAAACTCCTATATCTCTAGCTGGGCATCTACAGACCAATTCGCTCCTGTGTCTGTGATCTCGCAGACAGGATGACAGAGTTGCAGCAGTTAGGCTTTACTACAACTCTGGATTCACTAGGAGGTGGGAATCCTGGGGATGGGGATGGGGTCACTCTGGACCTGGGGGTCCCTCCTGGCTGGCCCTGCCCTCTTCATCTTTGGAAGTTCCCTCCTCAGGCTCACCCTCGTCATCAGCCTCAGCCAGGTCCTCGGGCATTGGCCACTCTCGAGTCTGCCACTCCAGCCGTTCAATGCGGTAAGCAATCTTAAGTGCGCTGGACTCCAGCTCAGCCAGGAGGCGAGCAAACTTGGTCTGTAGATCATCCAGCTGCTGGTCTAGGCCTCGTAGCCGGGACTCTGTGGCCTCCTGCAGGGCGATCTCAGCTGCCTCAGCATTCACGTCCAACTTGTTCATTTTCAGCAGGATCTCACGTCCTTTCTCCTCCATGATGGTCTGTGCTTGTGGATACTCGCTCAGCACCTCCCGCAGGTCCTCCTTGCTCAGGCAGAATAGGTCTGAATAACCTAGGCTCTTGATGTTGGCTGTGCGGCGGTTCCCAGACATGTTCCCTGTGGCTCATGGGCAGAGATGGGAGGACAGTTAGTAGGAGGGTGAGGAGGTGGCATTTCACTCCTGAACCAGGACCTTCACCTCCATATTTGTGCTTCTGAGCCTCTCCTTCTGCCTCATTAATTCTTTCATTTAGTAACATACTGGGGACCAGGCTCCATGCTGGGTAGGTATCAGTGACCTGCCTCAAATAATTCACAGTCTAGAGGAGATACACATATATTGGAATAGTTATATAACAGTATGGCTGGTGCAGTGAAGACATGTTCATCAGGTGCTGTGGAAAGGTAGGCAAAGAGCCCCTACCAAACCGTAAGGCAGGGAATTTAGGGAAGTCTGGAGGAAGGGATGTCCTAAGATATAATTTGAATATTTGTCTCTGCCCAAATCTCATGTGAAATGTAATCCCCAATGTTGGGGGTGGGACCTGGTGGGAGGTGATTGGATTATGGGGGCGAATCCTTCATGGCTTGATGCTGTCTTTGAGTTAGTGAGTCGAGAGCTGGTTGTTTTGGTTGTTTGAAAGTGTGGCACCTCCCCCAACCCTTGCTCCTGCTTTCACCGTGTGACATGCCTGCTCCCCCTTTGCCTTCTGCCACAATTATAAGCTTCTTGAAGCCTCCCTAGAAGCTGAGCAAATGCCAGCACCATGCTTCCCGTAAATCCTGAAGAACTGTGAGCCAATTAAACCTCTTTTCTTTATAAATTATCCAGTCTCACATATTTCTTTATAGAAATGCAAGAACAGTCTCATACACCTGAACTGAGTAGGAGGTAACTAGGGGGAGGAGGGGGACAAGTGGGGATAGGGCAATCTAGCCAGAGGAAGGAGCAGGAACAGAGGGAAGGGGGTAGAAAAGAGTCAGTTGGATGCAGAAAATAGTAAGCAGTTCAGAGTGCGAGAAGCGCAGAGTGTGGGGAGGGTGGAGAGAGGGGAGATCTAGGTCACACTGGGTCTCATAAGCCATGACATGAAGTTCAGGCCTTATGCTGAGGGCAGTAGGAAACTATTGAAGTATTTTAAGCAGGGAGCTGTATGATATCCTTTGCAGTTTAGAAAGATGTTGGTGGAGAATGGGTGGGGAGATAGGTGAGGCTGAATGCTGCAAAGTCTTAGAGCTAGAAGGACCTTGGACAAGGGAAAGGGAGCTACTATTTGTTGAACACTTGCTGTATGCCAAGCACTGCGCTGGATGCCTCACTCACATAGCTCATTTATTCTCACAAATAACTCATTGGGTTTTTATTATTGTCCTCATTGGATAGGTGATTAAACTGAGGCCTAAATAGGGAAATGACTTGTCCAAAGTCAAACAGACAGCATCCTACCACATACAGGATGTGGAGCTTGAGGGGATCATTGGAGGACAGATGTGAGGCTTTCAGAATCCCTGAGGGTAGAATCCTCATGCTGAGAGAGCCAGAGCACATCCAGCTTCTCGGTCCATGACAGTGTGCTTACCCCATTTGCAGGATTTCCTGCTTGCACGACCTCATGCCTAATACCTGTGATTAGGCATAACAATTCCTACTGCACAGGGCTGATGAGAGGAAAAAGCAAGCCAGTAGGTAGTACCTGGCTTGGCCTAGAGGTGATGGTCAGTAAATGGGAACTTCTTCTCTTCTACCTTTCTCTTTCCACTTGGCTGTAAAAAGGTTGTTTTTTCCACTCATCCCACATGTGTATACCTGTGCGACGTTGGGCAAATTACCCAACTTCTTTGAGTTTGATTTCCTTATCTTTAAAATTGGGATAAGAATAGTACTTATCTTATAGAACTGCTGCGGGAATGTAATGAGTTAATATCATGTGAAGCACTTAGAAAAGGGGATGCAGTAAGCAGGTAATAAATATTAGCTATTATTATTATTATTATCTCTATCACTGTCCACTAGTCTATTGGTGCTTCAGGTGAATATCCACAGAGCAAGTCTACTCTCTCTTCCACGAACCCACCCTGTTCACTGGCCTTGGCTCAGCTTCTTCTCAGGGAATGGATCCTCTATGTGTTGTTTTTCTCCTGAGCCATCTAGTGACTCAGAGAAGGGCCAGGTTTCCTCAATCAGAAGTTTAGGCCTGAAGTACTATCTGGTCCCAGCACTGGGCTCTGCTGTTCCCCCCTACCCCACCCATCCTTGTCCCTGGAACAAATACTGGGATACCCACCTTTGATGTTGATGATGCTGATCTCCCCAAAGTAGAGCCCTGCACCGAGCACAGCATACTGTGTGATACCATCATCTGCCACCACGGCCAGTTGACCCTCTCGGATGATGTACATCTCTTGGCCAATGTCTCCTTTGCGGCATACATATTCACCTGGTGAGTAGGTCTGGGGCTGCAGCTTCAGCACCAGCTCCTCCAGCAGGCTGGCCTCACAGTTCTGAAAGATCTGCACCCGGCTCAGAGTGGACAGGTGCACAGACACAGCCACTTCTGCCCGCAGCCGCTCAGGCAAGTGCTGTAAGATGGCTACCTCGTTGGTCATCTTCTTGTTGATCTGCAGGTGCTGATACCTGAGAGTAAGGACAGTGCCATTTCCTTACCAGCCCTTTATGTGCCTGCCTCCATCCCTTCCTTCAGGGCTCAGCTCAGCTCCAGCCAAGAATCCCACCATACTGAGATCTAACAGGGGTCATGGGAGTACCTGACAGTTGGATTACCTGTTTTCCAGGGCATAGACACCTCTACCACTTTACATAACCCTTCACCTCCTATCAGGCTCTACCCTACCCACCAATCAGTGATGTCTTGTTCCACCCCTACCCTTAGCTACCTCAGCCACCAAGGGCCCCTCCTCTCTGGGGACCCTCTGCTCTACTTCCCCAACTTTGTGACACTTCCTTTTGTTCAGTCCACAGTATGAATCACCATAGGTAGCCAATGATCTTGTTGCTGACCATTCTCAGGGGGGATTGCCCTTCTTCACCCACTCCTTCCAGAGCCTTCTGAGCCCTACCAGGCAGTGGCACTTCCCATTCCCTGGTCTCCATATTATCCTTTTTTGAGTATGAGCTCCTCTCCCTATCAGTCTCTTACCTACCCCTCCCCCAAGTCCTGATTCCCTCAGTTGAAAGAAGTTCCCTTTTTCCAAGCCCCAGCCAGCAAACCCACGGCTGAATGCTACATTTTGACAGCCTTGCCTGGCTCACCAGGCACTAAGGACCCAGTTACCTCCCTCAGGTTCCATCACCTACACTGGTCCCTGTCCTGGTCTGGAACCCCGCCTTCTCACCAGTCAATAACTCGCCGCTCCAGCTTGCGGTTGACGTGCTGCAGCTTCATGTACTTCTTCACCAGTGCATGATCTGGGTAGAAAGCCGCATCTGCAGTGTTCATGTTGTAGATGACAGAGCTCATGCTACCCATGATGGTGGCGAAACCCATGACGGCCAGCAGGAAGTCGCCCACCATGAAGAGGTACTCTTCTTCCCTGGCTGGCGGCGGTGTATCGCCCACTGTAGTCAGTATCAGCGTGGAGAAGTAAAAGCTATAGAGGTACTGGCGCCGCAGGCGCTCAAAGCCAGGCTGCGCGGGGTCCGGGTACACCCATGCGTCACGCCCGAAGCCCAGGTACCGGGATAGGGCAAAGTATAGGCAGCTGTTCCAATGGATGACGACAAAAATGTAAAGCATCAGCTTGGCAATGCGAAAGGCATTTGGGTAAGCTGTGCGGGTCTCTGTGCGGTCGAAGGCCTCGAAGAGGCGGGGCGCGCGGAGAAAGCGGTTCAGCCTCAGGGTGGGTGTGTGCGGGCCCAGCCGCACGTAGACCACATCTGTGGGCATCAGGGAAGCCAGGTCCAAGAAGAAACTCCAGGTGCGAACGTAGCGACTCGAGATCCTACCCTTGTCCACCACCAGGATGCCCTGTTCCAAGAATCCTGGGGAGAGGGAGCCGGTAGGAAGCGGACCTGCTGTAGTCAAGCTTGGGCTGAGCATGAGCTGCCCAGGGCAGGCCAGGGAGACTGTCTGAAGGACAGAGTGGAGCCAGGCATAACTCTGCTCCCGGCTTTCCGGGGTGAGCACTGGGATGCTGTCAGGCATAGAGGCACGCGAAGGTGCTACCACGGTGGGGGTGCCTTTCTTGTTACTTCTTAAGTGGCTATCTTTAGGAAGGGAATGTGGGACAAAGGGTCATTCCTAGAAGCCCACTGACCTGTGTGGAAGCGCACCACCATGTCTAGTAGGTATAGCAGGTCACTCGTGTAGTCCAGCACCAACCAGGCCACCAGATAACCGTGCTGCAAGTCGGGGAAGCAGGCTCTGCAGGGCAGGGTTAAGCATGATTGAATTAAGGGCACCCTCTGTGTGCGAGGCGTCTCCCCAGGGCCCTTAACCCTCTGCCTCAGGCCCTCCCATGGGAATTGCTCCTCCTGCCCCACCAAGGGTCTGCCCTTCTCCTTGACCTCTCTTTAGTCCTCTTTTTGGCTTCCAGCCCCTCCCTTAGCACCGCTGCCATACCTGCACACGAGGATGATGAGGTTATACATGACTGGGAAGACCATTGTGTTCAGCCACCAGTAGTAGTAATCCCCAGATGGGTCCAGGACAGGCAGCAACTTCCTGTAAGAAAGAAAGTCTTGCTTCATTTATTCACCAGGCATTCAAAGCTGTAGTTGTGACTGGGGCACCAAGAGGAATGAGGAGAGATCCCACACAAGGGACCAGGACTTCTCACCTGGCCTTGGATGGGGCTGGGGGACTGGACTCTGTTGTCTTCACTTTGGTGTCCTGGCTCATGGTTCTGTGGTCTGGTGCTGGGGTGTGAGATGTCCACACCCTCTCTGCCTGTAGGGGACTTCTGGAGTTGGGCACTAGTGCCTGACTGCCTGAAGGAGGCTGCTGTTGGGCTTCTGCTGTGACTTCTTTGTCTTTGGGGCTCTTAGCAACACAACCAGAGCTAGCGCTACTGAAGGGGTGGAGACAGTCTAGCTCTAGCACTCTGCCCTGTCTCCCAGGGCCTGGGCTTACACCTGCCCAGCTAAACACCTCTAATGAGATCCCTGGAGAAGGTGGGGGTGCATGCCTCAGAGGGAAGCCTGAGTCTTGTCTCTGTTTTCCTCCTCCCCTCTTTCCACAGCAACTGAGCTACATAGGTGTCCTCTGGGTCAGAAGACCTCAGTTTTAGTGTAGGATCAAACACTCTGTTTTATCTTTGCAAATTCTATTTGGGCCTCACTATTTATTTATTTAACAACTATTACTGAATGGCTTATCTATGTCAGGTGCTAAACTATTCTCCAGGGACAAAGAGATGCCTCTCACATGAGAAGTGAGCTCTATTTTTGTAACCTACTTCCTACCCTTATCTACCTCCACATACGCCTTCCCCCATCACACCATTCTCATAGGTAGTGTGATAGGGGCCATCCTATGGTGCTTTTGTCCTCATATCCTTCTTGTGACTTCTAGTGCCTGATCCTACCAACCATTCCATGTGTTTTATGGTCCCCAATCTTTCAACTTTTCTCTTTTTGTGAACCTGCTTCAATATCTCCTATATCAAAACAAACAAAAACCCTACAATTTCTCCCTCAACCTGATGTTCCTTTCACTGCTATCATCTTTCTCAGTCAACAAATCAAAATCAGAACACCCATAGGCAGGTGTTCTGTGTGCCAGGCCAATATTGTGCTAAATACTAGGAATTGGAGATGAATAAGACACGCTCCCCCTTCTCCAGAAGCTCACAGTCTGCTAGGTGAAATAGTCAGGCCAGCAGGTAATTACACATGAGGTAACTAAACAGCAGCAGTCATTGCCAGGCTGCTGATGAGTACTCTGTTAGCTGGATACACGGAAGGCTATTATAGTACACATGAAGTGGCCCTACAGAGCCTGGGTTCTGCAGGATGAATAGGAGTTGGGTACAGAGATGGGAGGGTGAAGAGCACTAGAGGCAGAATGCACAGAGTGGGCAAAGGCATAGAGATATCAAAAAGCGTGGGTGACTGGGCAAATATCAATTGGCTTATTTTAGAGGGCCTAGCGGGTAGTGGTGAGAGATGAGGTTGAATGATAGACAGAGGCCAGCTCAGGAGGAGTTCTGTCAGCCATGTTATAAAGCTTGGATTTTACCCAACGGCAATAGAGAACCTGTGAAGAGTTTTTCACAGTTCAGTGATAAAATCAGGTTTGTGTTTTTGGAGTGTGTTTTAGAAGAAAAACCTGTGGTCCCTAATTAAATTTTGAAAAACTCTCTTTTCCCATGGCTTCTTAATTTCTTTTTGCAAAGTATTACGCTTGTTAAAATAAAAAGACAACATTCAAAGTAATGCAACAAAATGAATAAAATCCTTTGTAATGCCATAATGTCTTGGTTTGCTGTTTCTTTTTAGTGTCTTTCATAAGCTCCTCTGTCTATTCCTTCTATGATGGTGTTTTTTTTTTTTCTTGGATTCTGTTCTAGGCTTTCTACTTTTGCCATCCTCCTAACTCTGTCTGATTGACGTCAGTCACCCACAGGACTTCCTTTCTCATATAGTGGCTCCCGAGAACTCTCCCTGAGTTTCAGTTATCTATATGACTAACTGCTCACTGGATGTTCCTACTTGGGTATCCCGCGGTCACCTTCAACCCATTGGGTCTATAACTAAGCTCATTATCTTCCTCCACTTTTTCTTCTAGAATTCCTATCTATGCCCTTTCAGCAAAAAAACCTATGACAAGCATTTATTACTATTTACTGTATAATGTTGTGGCAGTTAAAAAAAATGGTCACAAATTCTTCGACACCACTCCCTTGTGATAGTTTGTATAGCAGGAGTGATGTTGTGTGACTTCTAAGGCTAGATCATAAAAGGCCATGCAGCTTCCCTCTGGTTCTCTTGGAATGCGTGTTGTCTGGTAGCTCCCTCTCAGAATGTTCCCTCTTGGAACCTACCCATCACATTGTGAGAAGTTCTGTTTGACAGTTTGCCCAATGAGTTCAGCTTTTTCATTATCCCAGCCCAGGAATTAGATGTGTGACTGAAGAAGCCTCCAGATGCTTCCAGCCACCAGCCTCAAACCACCTCTAGATGTTCAAGCTTTACAAATAAGGCCCCAGACATCATGGAATAGAGACAAGCCATTCCTGTTGCATCTCGTCCAAATTCCCAGAATTTGTGCACATAATAAAATGGCTATTGTTTTTATGACACTAAGTTTGGGTTGGTTTGTCACATAGCATAGTAACCAGAACAAACAAACACAGAGAAAGGTGTACAATCCTTAAGTATATAGCTTAATACATTTTCACAAAGTGAACACACCCATATAACCAAGCACTCAGATCAAGAAACAGAACATCACCAGTGCCTCAGGAGCCCCACTCTGCCCCTTTCAGTCAATGTTTTTCCAAGAATAATCACTATCCTGAATTCTAATATCACAGTTTAGTTTTACCTGTTTTTGAATTTATATAAACTAAGCATTAGTTTTTAATTCTTCCTCTTATTTTCCTCTTATATCCACCCAATCATCAAACCATGGTGATCTACCTTCTAAAAATCCACATGTCCACTTCTCTGCATTTTTGCTACTCTAGTTTGGGCCTTATCAGCTTGTTTGGTCTTTTGCAAAGTTACTGTATAACTATCAATCTATGTATAAAATTCTTTATAGCTATCATCCCAAAAATAAAATCTAAATTCCTTAACATGGTTTATAAAGTTCTCCAGTCCATGTCTTCAGCCTCATCTCACAATGTTTCCTCACATGTTCCCTAGGCTCCCGACACACTGTACTGATTGCAGTTCTTACAGCACCTCCCACATGCTGTCCATTCTTCCTTTCCCTGGTATATGCTGATCCTTTGGTCTGAAACTTCTATTTCTTTTTAAATACTTTTTATTTGAACTAATTTTAGGCTTACAGAAAAGTTGCAAAAATAATACAGAGTTCTCATAAATTCCTTATCCATCTTCCCCTAACGTTATGATCTTACATAACTATAGCACAATGATAAAAACCAGGTATTTAACATTGGCAAAATACTTTTCTTTTTTTCTTTTCTTTTTTTTTTTTTGAGACGGAGTCTCGCCCTGTCGCCCAGGCTGGAATGCAGTGGTGCGATCTCGGCTAACTGCAACCTCCGCCTCCCGGGTTCAAGCGATTCTCCTGCCCCAGCCTCCCAAGCAGCTGGGATTACAGGCGCGCGCCACTACGCCCAGTTAATTTTTGTATTTGTAGTAGGGACGGGGTTTCACTATGTTGGTCAGGCTGGTCTCGAACTCTTGACCTCGTGATCCGCCCGCCTCGGCCTCTCAAAGTGCTGGGATTACAGGCGTGAGCCACCGCGCCCAGCCGGTAAAGTACTTTTAAAACTACATGCCTTATCTGAAACTTCTATTTTTCTATTTTAGTTTATCTTACTCTTGCTTGTTTCCCAAGACTCGGCTTAGACACCGTCACCTCCCGGAAGTCTTCCCTAAGCTCCTTCACCGTACCTTCCTCTCATCCTCTATACATGCAAATCATGCTAAGTGCTGCTCCTAGGTGGCCCCCGTAGTAATGTACTTATTACACTACGCTGCAATTCTCTGAGGTCCTGGAGAGCAGAGGCCGGTTCTAATTGATCCGGAATCCAGCTGGGCATGCAGGCACTTATTCCGTGTTCCTTGACTAAGTGCTCAAGGGGTGACGGAGCAGCACAGCACAGCGGTGTTGGGGGAGCCAGGGGCAGTCACCGCTGGGGTACTAAAGTAGAGACCAAGCTATGCACGACGATGGAGCAAAATGAACTAGAGTGCCCGCAGTCAGCCCTCTCTAGGGCTCCACTTTTCCGCAGGCCCGGCCCACCTACTGATTCCTCCTCTCTTTTCGTGATAGCCTCGCCCCTCCACACCCACTCTTCCACTCCAAGCGTCTCCTGGAATCCATGGCCCCACCCCTTTCTCGCTCGTCTTTCTTCCGGCTCCATCTCTCCCAAGCCCCGCCCTTCTGATCTTTCCCTGCCTGTAAAAATCGCCTCTCCTTAGGTCCCGCCTTCTGCCCTCTGGTTCCACCTTTCCTTCCCGGGCTCCGCCTCCGCCCTGCCGGCCTCCACCTTCCCAGAGGCCTTCGCCTATGACACGCCGGAGTCCTTCTGAGGGGCGGGGTTTACGTACGAAGGGACGGAACCAAGAGGAGAGGCGGTGCTCCTCCCTCGGATAGCCGTCGGCGACCCCGCCCTTGCGTTTAGCCGTTGCCAGGAAACAAGCGTCCTTGCTCGGGTTTGGTCCGGCTCAGCCAATGAGCTGGCACGCCATTGCCCAGTCGTGCGACGCCGGGCGGTTGCGTGTGGTGCGCGGGGGCGCGGGCTGCGTGTGGCGCGGGGCGGGGCGCGGCTGGTGCGCTTGAGAAGCGATGGCGGCGGCCTGAACTCACCTAACACCGCAGCAGCAACCGGGCCCGGCCAGGTTCGGCGTTCCGTGAGTGAACGGTACGCATGGGCCAGAGGGCCTGGAGAGTCGTTTGTGGGGATGAGAGACTGGGAAAAGACGGTGACGGGTTTGGTTACTGTACTGGTTGTGAGGGGTTGGCAGGTGGTGAGGGTCCGGGTGTGAGTGTCTAAGATAGGGAAGGAGGGTGAGAGCTTACAGGTGAGTGGACAAATGAGGGGCTGTGAGAGGCTGGGTGCTTTCGGAGGTGCCAAGTTGAAGGGACTCCTGAACGCGGTTTACTAGGGCTGGGGCTACTGAGGGCTGGTGTGAAGGATACCCTGGGACTAGAGTGAGGGGTAAGGCCTGCGCGAGGAGAGAGAGAGTAAAAGGCGCAGGTGGGAGCCTGCGGGGTGGCGGCAAATTGGTGAGGGAGTTGAAGGCGAGGCATGGGAGGAGGGAATTAGGGCTTGTGAGACTTGGATAAAGGTGAGAGGTTGGTTCTGAGGCCTCCTTCGATGGACTGCCCTGTCCAGTGAGAGCAATAGTTTTAGACAAAGTAGGGCAGCTTAGATGGAAGTGTTGTGCACCTGACTCCTCTGCTCCCATGGACTTTCCATATTCTGGAGGACGAGAAAATGAAGGTGTCATAGGCAATAGTACTATGGTAATGAAAGTCATATTTGAGGCTCAGACTTCAACAGAGTAATCACAGAAACTTCAGTTCCTTCGAGTTCCTTCTCTGGACTGCATAGTTGAAGATGGGCCCTCTCATGAAGGGTTTTGCGCTGTGACAGCTTGTGTTTTCTCTCTACTTGCTTCTGGACAACCTTATTCCACTGTTGCTCCTTACCTGTGCTTAACTGTGGGTCTTTGATTGGATTGACCATATTCAGTTGCTAATTCTACTTTTATGGAGGTCATATGGTTTGCCCTATACAGTACTATATTTAGGATCCCAAACAGGATGGCCTTACTCTCCTTTCTTACAGTTGAATTTTTTAAAAAGCTAGTTTATATTATATTTAAAATGTGTGTTTGATGAGTTTTGACATGTGTACACATCTGTGAAATCATCATCAGTCTCAAGATACTGAACATTTTAGCCACCTGAAAATTTATCTCTTCCTCTCCACACCCTGTAGTTGGGTTCATCTTACTAGCATTCTTTTAGGTCCTCTTCTCCCCACCAACCCAAATGCACGTGAAATTCTGGAAAGTTGGTTTGGCATTCAGTGATAATGGCCACTTTCACACTACTAAATTTTCCTCTCTACTGCTAGTCAGCCATGGGGTTGGGACATCCTATTCTTTCCAGACTCAGAAAGAGTTAAGTCTTTCCTTAACTCTACAGTGGACAGGGAGAGACCATTTCCTGAGAATTAGACAGCCTCAGTCCCCATTCTTTTCCAGAGTCTTAGCTTCAGAGCCAACTCCTATATCCTGTGGTATATTCTCATTGCTTCTTTCTGGAGTCCAGACAGGCCTCCATATTGGTAGAACACTTGGCAACTTGCCCAGTCAGTCAGAACTTACAGTTCAGAGTTTAGAGTAGTGGTTCCTAAACACTGGACCAAGGACCCTGTACATGATAAAATTATCATCTATCCAAGATGGAGGGAGAGAAAGACAGTATGGTTATTCATGAAGATAAATTTATTCTCAGAGATTATCATTCCTATTCTTTTGGTGTTGCAGTGCTCTTTCGTTGATGCAGTAATGGTAACAGTAGATGGTGGGTTAAAAAAAAAAAGATCTAATTTACCCAAATAAAAAGTGTCAACCCAATTTTTAATTTTAAAAATTATTTCTATAGCTTTATGAACTTCAGAAATTTAAAGTGATGATGGTGTGGCTGTTGTATTAGGTTGAGGAAGCATACATTTATACAATGATTCTGTATAACTTAACATCTGAACAGCATTCATGCTTTACATAGGGATTTCAAATTTTATTATACTGATTTATATAGATACCTTGTAGACAAAGACAGGAACTTTCATTTTATAGATGAGAAATTAAATTCAGTAGCCAGAGATCATACAGGGATACAGTGGCAAGGCTGAACCCAGAATTTTGTCTCAGAGTGAGAGAGACTTTGGGAAAGAAGATTTATAATAGACACTGAAGGTGATGTGGGAGGATTTTTTAATGATTTGTAATTGTTCTATTTCCAAAAGACAGAAAAGGGACTGTGAGAGTGACATAGGGATGAAGGTTATGTTTAATGCTGTCGCAGTGACATTGGAACAGGTATATATAATACCTGGATCACATCTTGATAGTGGATCATATCATGATAGTGATAGGATGAATCAAATCAAATATTAGATGGTTCTTAGGGACTGTCTAAATCCTTGTTATAATGGAGAAAGCACTGGATTTGGTAAGCTTATTGTTTGCTATCCCAAACTCTGTTGAAATAGTAGTGCATTAAGTATAATGGATTTTGATTTGTATCATATAGTGAGTGGTAGTTCTGAGAGGATGAAACATACATGAGGATGATGATGTAGAGATAGAAACATGTTTAGGGTACTGTGTTAATCATTTATTCCATATCTGCTCTGTGCCAGGCACTCTACTAAGTGCTAGGAGAATGAATTCGTTTATTCATTCAACAAATACTTCTTCAACATATAGTCTGTGCTTGTGATGCTCACATTTTATGGGATAACAACATGAATAAAACATGGTCATCCGAGCTCTCAAGGGATTTTCAGTCTAGTAGGGAGAGAGAGACACATGAAAACATAATTTCAATTTAGAGAGATAATGTGAAATGTGAAAATATATCATAATAGGCTGGGCGTAGTGGCTCACGCCTAGCATTTTGGGAGGCTGAGGCAGGCAGATCGCTTGACTTCAGGAGTTTGAGACCAACCTGGGCAACATTTTGAAACCCTGCCTCTACCAAAACAACAACAACAACGACAATAAAACCACCACCAAAAAAACCCACCAAAAATTAGCCAGGTGTGGTTGCACATACTTGTGGTCCTGGCTACTCCGGAGGCTGAGGTGGGAGGATTGCTTGAGCCTGGGAGGCAGAGGTTGCAGTGAGATGAGGTCACACCACTGCACTTCAGCCTGGGTGACAGAGGCCCCACCTCAAGAAAAAAAAAAAAAAAAAAAAGAAAATATATCATAATGAGTTGATTACTCCTTTGTATCTAGTGTCATCTTTCCCTGTATTCCAAGTATACATGTTTATTGATCTGTGTATCTCCACAAGTATCTCAAAATTAACATGTCCAAAACAGAATTCATAGTCTTTGCCCCAAAAGCCCGACTTTGCCCTCATATCCCCTATCTCACTCCAGGCAAGGACTACATTGTCATCTTTCATACTTTCTGCTCTTTTACTCCCTGCATTCAATCATTTGCTAGAATCTTAATACATTTCGCTCTGTGTTATCTCTCTTCTCTATATCTCCATTGCTACATCTTCACTGTCAAAGCTTTAGTTTAGCTCCCCCTCACCTCATATGATTTTTTTAAAACAATTTTTTGTCTTAAAACTTGCTATTTTCTGGTCCATCCCTAGAATGATTTTTCTGAAAATACACATCTGATCTCCGAACTCCTTGGCTTAAAAACTTTTGGCTCTTTGTGTCCTGTAGGACAACATCCAAATTTCTTAATATGGCATCATTTAGCTTCAGCTTACCTCTCCAGTCTCGTGTGCCACTCCCTAGTCTGTATTCTAGTTTGAATAAATTGTTCACAGTTCCCTAAAACCATGCTGCTTTTTTGAGCCTTGAAATCTTTGTAATAGCTGCTTCCTCTACTAGGAATGCCTTTTCTTCTCTGCCCAGTGAACTTTCCTTATCCTTTAGGATCTAGTTCAGTTTCACCTCCTTTTTGACATCTCTGTCAAGGTAGAGATAACTGTGTGTGACATGAGGATTCATTGCTGTAAAGAGGAGTCACTGTAGAATAGAGGTTCACTTTTGTGAATTGGATGGACCCCGCTGGAGTCAGATGAGGAGATCCCTGCAAGAAGCAGAAGTGATATTGCGGGGAGGGAAGGGAATGAGTTGGGACCATACCCTGACATCCCATTTGTCTGAGGGATGGAAAAGCAGGGAAGAAATGTGTAAGCTGAGCTCTAGTATAAATTCCTAGTAGGTGGTGTTTTTGGTTGGTTGGTTTTTCCCTTTGTATTTCTATGAGATTTTAATCAGGTCATTCAACTTCCAGTATTTAGGGTAACAGCCCATTCATCCTCCTTATGTCAGTAATTAGTCTTCTTGCCTAGGAAGAGCCACTGTAAGGAGAGAGACACCACAGAATTTTACTGACCTGTTCTTGGAAGATCATTTTGGTCTCTCTGTCCAATGTAGGTGTTGCAGGTATATCCCTTCCCCCAGCTCCCTCCTCTTTGCCTCTCCCAGGGCAAAGGTTCATAAGTGAGGCTGAGCCACTTCCTGCCCTGTATCTGCAGTTCCGAGGTTGGTTGTCACCCTTGCTGTGTGTGGCTGTAAGGCTGTATTTTGGGCTATAAGGTGAGTGCCTGATCTTGGCCATTTTGGGTCTGAGAGATCAGCTCGTTCCCCTTTTTACTCTGTGGCTGAGCCTGAAGGTAAATCTGGAGAGTGGCAGGTTCTGCTTTTTTTTTTTTTTTTTGGACTTTGCTATGGGAGGAAAGGACACCATGAGAGGGTGGTGATTTTAACCTTTTCTTTGTCTTGTTCTGAACATTGCAGAGAGTCTAATTAGGTGATAGGAATACCAAACTATAGCTTTCTTTTATGCTTTTGTTGTATGTGAACAGGGCCCAGTTTAAGTATTGGCTTTTGGAATCTGAGATGCTGATTCCAACATCTTCTCTTGAGGTCTTTGAAATGGGATTGTAGAACTGCGGTGGGCAGGTGGGTGAGGAAGGGTCCTGGAGGCTAATCTTCCTTGGTTCCATGAGCAGTACCCTTTGTTGGTCAAGTGGTGGAGCAATAATGGGCACCTCAGGTATACTGCAAGGTAGGAGCAGTTAATGTTTGAAATTAAATTCCAGAAGCTGGAGGCAGTTTAGTTTTGGACATGTTAAGACCTTACTGAGACTGAATGCTTGGCCTTTCTTCAGCTGACTGAGGTATGCATGGGAGGCGATAAGGATGGACACATCAGAGCAGGTTATATCTCTTTTCTCAGTCAGAGATATGGGCACTTGGGTCAAATAGGATCAGGAGAAGGAAGCAGGAAAGGGACATGTAATTTACAGAGTACCTTCTTTATGGTTGGAATGCTACATAGGTTGTTATGTGACTTAATTTTTAAAACTAGCAATACTTATTTCATCAGGAATTTATAGATGAGGAAGCTGAGGCTCAGATATGTGAAATGATTTATTTAAAGTCACACAGCTGGGGAATGGTGGACTGGGATTCAAACCATTGAGGGACTCCAGAGTTCAGACTTTACCTACTACTCTGTATTATTCTTGTTTGATTGTCTTTGTTTTCAGTCTTTAAAATGAGATACGATTGAGAAAAGTGTTCCATAAACATTAATACTCTTTTTTCAATGAGGCTCTTTGCAGGTGGCAGATAGCTCAAGCTGGGTTTGGGAAGAGTTTAATAAAGGGACCATATTTACAAAGATATGGATAGGGTTTAAGGAAACCAACAAGGGATGGTACAGTATCCCAGGGCTAATAACTGTAAGAGGGGCTAGCCATAGGGGAGAGTGCTTACCACTTTTCTCAACCGTTGACTTTATCTTTTCCAGTCCATGCCTAATTGGGACCATAAATAGCTGGGTGGATAAGTACTTGTCCAGTGCATCCCTGCTGATGGCTACTAGTCTTTGTTGCTGCGTTAATGATTTATTAAGAAACCATGTATGAAAGACTTAGCAGTGCTTCTGTGGCTTTGCCACCTTCTCACCCATTTTCTTCTCTCTCACCCCCATTCTTCTAGTGAGTGAGGGAGGGAAGGTGGGGTGGGGTTGGTGGTGGATTGGATGTTAGCTTCTGTCTTTCTTCATGTTCAGATTTGCCTGAAGTAGCATCCATCCTTTATTTATTACTCATTTTTTCCTTTTTCAGAGAAGGTGTCTTACCTATTTTTCTGAGTATACCCGATTTTAATGCCATTTATCTCTATCTTATTTATTTATAACTTGTCACTTTCTTCAGACTACTGCTCTCACTTGACAGACACCCTTGAGCCTCCCCATCCTACAGCAAAATCAAAAGGCTTTTTCTTGACTCCCCTTACCACAACTTCTTTAAGCTATTGCCCTATTTTTTTTTTTGAGACAGAGTTTCACTCTTGTTGCCCAGGCTAGAGTGCAATGGTGCGATCTTGGCTCACCGCAACCTCTGCCTCCTGGGTTCAAGCGATTCTCCTGCCTTAGCCTCTTGAGTAGCTGGGATTACAGGTGTGCACCACCACACCCAGCTAATTTTGTATTTTTTAAAATAGAGATGGGGTTTCACCGTGTTGGTCAGGCTGGTCTCAAACTCCTGACCTCAAGTGATCTACCTGCCTTGGCCTCCCAAAGTGCTGGGATTACAGGCATGAGCCACCACGCCTGGCCTACCCTATTTTTATCCTTTCTCATTTTACTGAATTTCCTGAAAGTACATCTTACATTTCGATTCCTATTCTTTAACTAACTAATTTGACTAAGTTTGTAAAAAACTTGATTGCACCATTTTTAGTCTTCATTCTACTTGATCTTTCTATAGAACTATACACTATGGGCAACCTCCAGTTTCTTGAAACTTCCTTTCTTTGATGTCTAGATCATCGTTATTTCTTGGGTTTCTCCTTTTATTTCTGGCTCCCTTCAAAGTCTTCTTTAAAGACTCCTCCTTTTTAACTTTCCTACGTCCTGGTTTTCCCCATGATTTTACCCTTACCTCCTTTCATGATCTGCTGTTCTCCTTGGATAATTCCATCTACTTCCATAGCTTCATAGTTGTCTATAAGCTGCTAACTCTTGAATTTGTATCTTTTGTCTTGATTTTATTCATTATCTCAAGTATGGTATTCCTACTTGCTTTCTGGACATCATGAATATCCTGTAGATGTCTCAAAACTTAACATGTTCAAAACTGTACTCAACCTCTTTTCTAAAACACAATTCCCCTTCTTATGTGTTTCTAGTCTGTTAATGGCTTTATCTTTTACTGAATCTCCTATACTTCCTATGAGAGTCTTCTCTCATCCCCCATTTGTTTGCCAGGTCTTGTTGCTTTTACTTTGCGGTTAATTTAAATCTGGAGGCAGATATTCTGCATTTGCATTTTAGTCCTGTCACTAGCTGGGTAATGTTGGGCAATTTATTTAACCTCTCTGGGCCTTGATTTCCTCCTATGTAAAATGTGGATAATAATACTTAAATGGGTTTTTATGAGGTTTAAGTTAGCTACTTCGTGTAGTGCTGGAATGGAGCCTGGCATGTAGTAAATATATGTTTGCTGTAATACTTATTAATTCAGCATTCAATTTCAAAAGCATATTTGAGTTCAGGCTGTATGTTTGCACTGGGATTTCAAAGAAAAATGAATGCTATTTTTATTTTGTCAAGGAACTTGCTATTGATTGGCAGAGGTATTACAGGTATAAATAATTTCAGTATTGCATGGAACATATTAAGATAGAGGCGAATCTCAGATTTATCTTTCCTAATATTTCTCTTAGTTCATGACATTACTTTCTTATTTTCAAATGGACTATTGAAACAGCTTCTTATAAATTGTCCACTGCAATCCATCTCTCTCTGCTCCATCTTATTCTGTTACCTGATGTATTTTTGAAGGACAATCTGATCTTACCATTTTCTTGTTTAAAAACCTCCTTTGTTTCTAGGGTGTCAGTAGACAAAAGCTAAACTCCTTAGCATAATATTTAGCAATACTTATAACCGTCACCCACATTTACCCTTCAACTAATGTTGTGCCTCTCTTCTCTGAATAGTCTGTGATTAAGGCACACTAAATTTGCAACTGTTCTTTGAATTTTTCGTGTTCTTTCACGGTACCATAGTTTTGTACGTACTGTTTTTAATATGAAGAAAACCTTTCCCTCTGCTCTCTGCTTAATTAGTATCTCATTATTAAAGATCTAAGTTCAATATTAACTCTGTGGAACCCTCTAATAGCCCAGGCAGAGTTAGTTGTTTTCCTTCATGCCCCCATGACACTTTTTATAAATACTTCTATTTACAATATTTGTTGGATTTATGTTTATGCTACCTCAACTGTTTTTATCCATCTTTGTTATTTCCAGTGCTTACTTAGAACAGTGCCCAGTATTTTATCCATATGGATATACATTGAGTTAATGAGTAAGCCCTACCTGCTCTTTAGGACTGGGCCCCTCCCTTTATAAGACTCACCTGTTCTATAGAAATTTTGCTTAAACATAGTGGCTACCTTCCTTTAGTTGTGAGCTGGAAATTGTGTGAGAGAGTATCTGGGTGAAGGGAGATATTGTTAATATAACCTTAGGGCAAAATGTGGGGCTGGTGCCAGGTCTCTGGATTCCTTCGGCCTTTGTTGAGTATAAAGAGGAAGGACAACTGAACCACCCCTTTCCTTTCAAGGTTTTATGCTTGTGAGAGACAGTACTGATGAGGGTGTGGTGGCTGTAAAGGAGAAGGAACTATGGTTCCTTCTCCAATAGCTACTTGGTACTTTTTTCCTTTTTCTTGTGAGGATGTCTTACCATTTTCTTGGGAGCGAGTTTGGGTTGTGTCTGGCAGGAGTGGAGATGGGAATGTGTCTGTCTTCCTTACTGGAAAGGAAACAGCTCTTCTTTATTGGTTGGCTCTGAATTCTTCCTCTTAAGAGTATTCAGTCAGTTAAGGGTCTTATTTGCTCATCTCCCATAGGTCACTGGGTAGGTTTCTAGGGAAGCACCTGTGATAGACAGAAATTTCTTCTTCAGTAGTCCCAGAGGGCTAGAGTCAGATCAAGGCTGGATTTCTTGATTGATTGTTCATTCATTCATTCATTCACTCACTTATTTGCTTCAGCATTAATACGTTCAACGAATATTTATTGAGTCCCTAGGCCCTGGGGATACAACAGACACAATAAGACAAACCCTGCCCTCAAAGAAGCTACCTAATGTGGGGAAGATAGACAAATAAATAAATAGTTTCAGGTAGTGAAAACTGCCAAGAAGAAAGGATTAGGAAGCTAGAGAGTGAAGGTGAGAAGATGTGCTATTTAGATAGAATTGTTAGGCAGGGCCTATCTGGGGAGATGATTTGAAACAAACAAACAAACAAAACGAGCAATGACAGCAATGTGAAAAGCAGGAGAAGGACATTCTAGTCTAGGCAGAGGGAACAAAAAGTATTCAAGAAGGCCTGTGTCACTAAAGTGTGAGTGAGAAGGAGAATGGTAGGAAGTTATACAGATTAGATTATGTAGGCTCCTGTAGGCCAAGATAAGGAATTTGAACTATTACAGTGTGTTAGGAAATTATTGGAGAGTATTCAGCAGAGGACAGGTCATATAATTTAGGTTTTAAAAATATCACTCTGGTTGTTTTGATAACTCTTAGGAGGATAGTAAAGGAATCATGGAGACCAGATTGGAAGCTACTGCAATAGTGAGACATATTTTGAAGGTAGAGATGATAGAGTTTGCTGATGAACTGGATATTGGAAGTAAGGAAAAGAAAAAACAAGGATAATGTACACATTTTCAGCTTGAGCATTTAGGTTAATTTTGGTATCATTTTCTTTTGAGATGGAGAAAGTTGAAGGAGTAACAGGTTTGGTGGTAGAAATCTGAGTTCTGTTTTAGACATGTCAGTTGCTGATTGTGTGTATGTGTGTATGTATATATAGGTGTGTGGAGTTTTCAGTGGAGTGGTGGTTCTGAGTTCTGGAAAGTGAGCTTCTATTTATCCCTTCCATTATCTCTTCTCTGAATTAGATTTAGAAATCTGGACTGGCCAGTGACCTCTGGGCTTGCCATTCCAGCCTGGTATAACCTCTGGCTCCATGGGCAGCTACTGGCTCCTACAGACCGGATGAAGCAGACTGGAGACACAAGTGGAGAAAACCTCCAGCTGGCAAATCCTCAGAGTGTAGGCCTCTGGCTGCCAGTCCTGCCCAGCCTGCCTCATGGAGAGGATGAATTGGCTGAGCAGACTGGCCTCCCGGGGCCCTGGGCACCGTATACCTCAAGGGGCCAATCTCCAAACCCCAGTCATGGCTGATCCCGAGACCTGCCTCATGGTCTTCAAGAATCACTGGTCCCAGGTAGGAGACTGTATGGCAAAGGGCCTTGTCTGCTGATCACCTGAGTTCTCCCAGCCTTCTATATTCTCCTCATCCCATTTAGTAACCTTATCAATTTAGATTCCTTCCATCTTCTGTCCTTTTTCCCTAGGTGGTGCGAATCCTGGAGCGGCAAGGCCCTCGGGCAGCTCCTGGGGGTGCAGACGATCTCAGTGCTGTGCGCAACCACACTTACCAGATGTTGACACTGCTGGCAGAGGACCGTGCAGTTCCCTCGGCCCCCACAGGCCCTGGGCCCCTGCTGGAGTTTGCTCTGCACGAGGATCTGCTGACCCGTGTGTTGACATGGCAGCTGCAATGGGATGAGCTTGGGGATGGGGTCGAGGAACGGCGGGCTGAGCAACTGAAACTATTTGAAATGCTAGTGAGCGAAGCTCGCCAGCCACTGTTGCGGCATGGTCCAGTTCGTGAGGCTCTGCTCACCCTGCTGGATGCCTGTGGCCGCCCTGTGCCCAGTAGCCCAGCACTGGATGAAGGCTTGGTGCTACTTCTCAGCCAGCTGTGTGTTTGTGTGGCCCAGGAGCCTTCATTGCTCGAGTTCTTCCTGCAGCCACCTCCTGAGCCTGGAGCCGCTCCCCGTCTTCTTCTCTTTTCTCGCCTTGTCCCTTTTGTGCATCGAGAGGGCACCCTGGGCCAGCAGGCCCGTGATGCCCTACTTCTTCTCATGGCTTTGTCAGCTGGGAGCCCCACTGTGGGCCGCTACATCGCGGATCACTCTTACTTCTGCCCGGTTAGCACCCCCTGGCTTGGAGGGTAGGGTGTGGTGTGTAGATACTGAACAGCACCTTCCTATCCAGGAGATGGGGAGAGGCTATGTTCCAGGGCCCGTTCCCCTAGGAAACAGTTCCTGGATTTGAAAGCAGCCCCCTGGAGTTGTAGTGGGGATGAATCATGGGCTTAGATGGATAGGGCAGATACTAAGTCTCTTTGTAGGCCTGTGAATTCTAGGTGAGTTTCAGGCACATTGGGTAGGCAAATGCTTGCTTTGGTAATAGCTTATACCCCTATTCCCATCAAAACTCTGGATTACTAGCTCCCCTGTTCCAGTTTTTATATTTTATAAATGTATTTTATATATGAGCTTTTGGTAACTTCTCATAGGTGCTGGCCACAGGGCTCAGTGCCCTGTACTCATCACTGCCTCGAAAGATTGAGGTTCCAGGGGATGATTGGCACTGTCTGCGACGGGAAGACTGGCTGGGAGTGCCAGCCCTTGCACTCTTCATGAGTTCCCTGGAGTTCTGCAATGCAGTAATTCAGGTAGGACTGAAAGTCTGGCCCTTGGTCATTTTTGGGAGATTAGGTAGGAGGGGGTATATTCCCTGGAGTTCTGTCATTTTTCCATCTTGGAAGTAGGATGCCTCTCTGTAGTGTACTATTCTACTCCCTTCCAGGCAGTGGTCTCCTCATAACCCTCCCCCTTCTCTCTGGCACTCCTACAGGTGGCTCACCCCCTGGTGCAGAAGCAGTTGGTTGATTATATCCATAATGGGTTCCTGGTGCCTGTCATGGGTCCTGCCTTGCACAAGGTGAGAGTCATGGGTGGCAAGGCATATAAGGGGCTAAGCTGCAGTGGTAACCTCAGTGACAGGACTAACGTAGGAGGCGGTGGGTAGAGTACTCCTCCCTTTTGCCCTGTCTGCTCCTGATTTCTCTTAGAATCCAGGGAAAATGGCCCTGTATGTGCAGGGAAGCTGTGCATTTCCAGACTTTCCCTTCTTTTTGTGCAGACCTCTGTGGAGGAGATGATCGCCAGTACCGCCTATCTGGAACTTTTCCTACGGAGTATCTCAGAGCCTGCTTTGCTCCGTACCTTCCTGCGATTCCTGTTGTTGCACCGGCATGACACCCACACCATCCTCGACACCCTCGTTGCTCGTATTGGCAGTAACTCCCGGGTATGGCCCTTACCCCTGTCCTAGCTTACCTGGATGACCCATCTTCTTTCTCTGACCTTTGTTCTGGGAGGGTATTCCTGCCCTTCTTTTGCCTGTATCTCCAGCAGTCACCTCAAAATTAAGTGGCATTAACTTTCCAGCATTAAACTTTTAACCATTTTGGGTACAGATTTTAATCTACTCCCCTGCTTTTATGATAGATGAATCTAGAACACAGTCACCTTTTCTGGATGACTTTGGCTGTTCATCATGACTATAGGTTTTGCTACTGTGCAGTGTTCGTAATGTAGTATTGGCCTGAGTTCTCTTAAACTGTTTATCACTCTGTGGCCTGCTTTGGGTGACTTGAGAGCACTTTAGGTTGTGTGTCTGCTTTGGTAGGTGATCCAGGTGCTACTGATATGCTTGCCTTCTTTCTCCTTTGGATTTGCTGCTTTTGAACTATAGCTTGGAGCACTCATCCACCCACCTATCTACTTTCGGTCCTTCCTCCTAAACATTTTTACTGAATGTTCACTGTGTGCCATACTGTTTGCTGGTGCTGGGGATACAGTGATAAATAAGGTAGACATTGTTGCTGACTTCATGGAGCTTACTTTGTAGAGAAGACAGACAAGCAAACACATTAATAAGTTGTGGTCAGGGTTATGAAAAAACTAGAGTGCTTAGAAATAATAGGGTGGCCAAGGAAGACCTCTCTGAAGAGATGACATTGAACTGAGACATAGAGATTATAAAGGAGTTAACTTATTGATCAAGTAGAAGAACAGGAAAGCAAGGGGAACAGCATGCAAAGGACATCAAATGGGGGAAGAGCTTAACATGTTTGAGGAAATGAAAGACTAGAGGTGTAGTGAGCAAGGGGAAGAAGGGAATGAGATAAAAATAGAGGGGTAAAATTCAGATCATGCATGACCTGGAAGACCATGGCAAGAAGTTTGGATATTAACAAATAGAAATATATATAACATGGGAGTGGGTGGTTTCCAAGTTATAAAGACTTAAGCCCCTCTAGGAGAATAAAGCATTAATTTTGCCATGGACTTCATGGCATTTATTTTGCCTCTGGGACCATTTTTGCTTCCTTTTTTTATTATAAGTTAAAGTTTCCTGGATCCATGTGTTTAAAATAGAAGTTCTTTCATCACTAAGAGCTCTGGAAAACTTCTAGATAATGAGATACTAGATAGTAGAGTTCCAGGTCAGTTTCCTGGATAGCTGTGTTTTGTATAGGTGCAGTTTCTGAAGCTAAGTTAGGGTGTATAAGAAATATTCCAGACTGACTGATTAAACCAGTGTTTCTAAACCAAGTGTATACTTTAGAAACGTCTGTGAATCTTTGAAGATGACAACTAACAACTACAACAGATTCTGAGCTCTACCTCAGATTTCGTGAATCTTTGGGAGTAGGCTCAGGACATGTGTATTTTTAAAATTTTCCAAAAAGTAATCATGATAGATGCCTTGGGTTAAGATTTATTGGAACCAATAGGGAATAGGTATTAAAGCTTTAATTTTACAAAGATACCAAAAGTATTTTTTTTCCCTCATTATGCTGAAATTAGGCCATGATTGGCCTCATATTGTCCTGTTCATGTTTAGAGACAGTTGATTTTCTTTTTGAGGTTTTATCTGTTGTTTCTTCCTTTTGTCTTATCCTAACTTTGATTCTTACTCACTATCTTTCATTTTTTTAGTAGTTGTTTCTATTAGTCTCCCATTTGGTCCCCTGGTCTTAGGAGCCTTACATGTTCTTGGGATGTTTCTTCTTGGTTCCTGGTTCTTGGAGGAACAGATCTCTTCTAATTTCAGGATGCCCGTGTTAAACATGTAGATGCTTTCCTTTCCACTGTGGTCCTTTCAAGCTTGATTCTTTGGCTTGACTTTGTAACGTATATAGCCTGCCTTGTGTGCCTTGAAGTGACTAATTTTGGCTAACCAGCCTGTGTTAATTCCGTATTGCTGTCATAACAGATTATCAAACCTAATGCTTAAAACAGATTTATTGTCTTACAGTTTTGTAGGTCATATGTATGACCTGGATCTCGCCAGGCTAAAATCAAAATTTTGGGGGGTGGGGTCTGTGTTCCTTTCAGGAGGCCGTAGGACAGGATCCATTTCCTTATTTCTATTGGCAGAATTAATTTTCTAGCAGTTGTGGCATTGAGATCTCTGTTTTCTTGCTGGTTGACAACTGAAGAACATTCTCAGCCTGTAGAGCAACCAGATTCCTTGGCTCATGGCCCCCCTTCATCCATAGATAATAGATATCTATGGATCTCTATTATCTGTGGATATCTAGGATAATCTCATCTAGGATACTCACATCTGCGAAGTCGTCTCTGCCACGTGAGGTGAAATATTTTTAGGGTCTGGAGATTAGGATGTGAGCATCTTTGAGGGACCACTTTTCTACCCACTTACTACTTTTCAGTGAGTCTGAATTTTTTCATTGCTAGCTAAAGTGGTCATTTAGGATAGCCTCCTGAACATCCATGCTATTCAAAATGTGAACTGCTGTCACGTGTTTTTCTTGCTGTGTGGTTGACTTTTAATTCTCCCGTGGTCATGTAGCAAATAATGAATGCCTAAACTGTTCAGGTAGTGCCCTAGACCAAGACCCATTCGTTGTCTTCAGGGAGCTCAAGGTGTCTGACACACTTGCTGTAAGGGAAGTATAGAGAAAGTGCTAGGAAGATTCAGAGAAGTGAGGGAAAGGTTACATATGTGTTTTCTTTACCTAGTCAGAGATGAACCAACCTTCTTCCTTTTCTAAAATAAAAGATTTCCTCTAATCTTGACCCACCTACTTTTTCCTTTTCCTGTCAGCTGCGCTTGAGTTGTTCTTTATCCTGCCTTCTGAGAGATACACTAGTGTTAGAGAGGTGACTCAGACTTCATGTTTGCAGCCCCACCTACTTCCCAGTTGGGAATCTTCCCGGTTCCCTCTAGTTTCTTATTGGTAGGCATTCAGTTACTGTATTGCTACAGTCCCTTCTGGCAGGCATTCACTTAATTACCATGTTTCTGTTGTCTCCTGTTAGTCATTCACTCAATCACAGTATTTCTTAGTCTCTTCTCATGGATTTTCGTTCAAGTGTTGCTGGAGTCTCTGCTGACCAGGTATATATAGCTAGAGAGTCTATAGAAGTCCATTGGGTCTGAGATGCTTCATTTGTATGAATAGCAAAGTCTTGCTCGCAAAGATCGTGTGATCATCTAGCTAATACTTGAATGACTTATGTGCCAGGCATGGTACATGGTCCTCTAGGAGTTCCTCTAGGAGTGGTTGGTTGGGCCAACTTGGGGCTGGTGGGGTTCCCGTTTGGTGAATGGCTTGGAGGGCAGAGAGCTCTTATGGTGACTCCCTCCCTCCCCTCCACCCCCCCAGCTCTGCATGGTCTCTCTGAGTCTCTTCAGGACCCTCCTGAACCTCAGCTGTGAGGATGTCCTGCTGCAGCTGGTTCTCAGGTATCTGTTGGGGCAGGGCTGAGGGATGGCTGACCCTGAAGCCTCAGAGTCTTATGCATTGCTGGGGCAATGGGCTATATAGGGGTTACTCATGAGTTTCCACTTGGAGCCTGGCTTAACCATGCAGTTTCATTGGCCTGATGTTCCTCTAGGCCCTGTCCTTCCTTCCTGATCTACCCTGTGTCCCCTTTCTGATGTCTTTCTCAGGTATCTTGTTCCATGTAACCACGTTATGCTGAGCCAGAAGCCGGCTGTTCGTGATGTGGACCTATATGGACGAGCAGCTGACAAGTTTCTCTCCCTAATCCCACGCTGTTGTCGGCACCACGCCCCCAGCCCACCTCGTCCAGAGCATGCCTCATGGGCACGAGGTGGGCCTAGCAGAGAGACAGGGAGAAGGGAGGACATCACGGGTATGGCCTAGGTTCTGGGGGAGCGTAGCAAGGAGGGGCTGGGGTGAAGGGGAGGAAGGTGTCCATGAATGATAGTCTGTCTTTGGGGAGGTTGATGAGGGTGTCTTGCAGGGAGGACCCTTAACACTCACCAAAGAAAATTAGAGTGGGACTTCTGGGCAAAGCTATTCTTGTTCTTCTCTCTAGTCGTGTACTCTTCCTGTTTCCATTGTGTCTTCAGTGGTGATGGTGGTGAGTGGGGGTGGTGGATGAGGATAAGGTTAATTAGGAGGTTGGAGAGTTAGCTGTCTGAATAGATTCCATGTTTCTGCCTCCCCATTGTCTTCTTTCTTAGTCTCCCGAGGTGTCTTATCTCTCCTTCTGAACCTCTGTCTCCTTGATTTCTCTTATATTTTTTCCCTTTGCAGGTCCTGGAAGCCCAAGTGTGGACTCCTCTTCTGTGACGACAGTACCCCGGCCCTCCACACCATCTCGTCTGGCTCTCTTCCTGCGGCAGCAGAGCCTGGGTGGCTCTGAGTCTCCAGGCCCAGCCCCTTGCTCACCAGGGCTTTCTGCATCCCCCGCCTCCAGCCCTGGCCGACGGCCTACCCCTGCAGAGGAGCCTGGAGAGCTGGAAGACAATTACCTGGAGTATCTGCGTGAGGCACGTCGTGGTGTGGACCGCTGTGTCCGAGCCTGCCGTACCTGGTCTGCCCCCTATGATGGCGAGCGGCCCTCTCCTGAGCCCAGTCCTTTTGGCTCCCGGACTAAGAAACGCAGCCTACTGCCTGAGGAGGACAGGAACAACGTGGGGGAAGGGGAGGAGGAAGAGCTGGGGAGGAGGGGGCGGGCTGGGGGTGCAGGGGAGGGCCCTGGTCACCTGCCCCCTCCCCAGCTCAATGGAGTGCCAGGATCATGGCCTGAGGGGGCCAAGAAGGTTCGTCTGGTGCCAAAGGAGGGAGCTGGGGAACTGCTAGAGGGCATCTCCGAGGGCATGGCAGGACTAGAGGGCTTTGGGCAGGAGCTCCGGGAGCTAGAGGTGGCATTGAGCAATGGGGGAACTGGCTCAGAGTCCCCCTTAGAACCTCCACTGCCCCTTGAGGAGGAGGAGGCCTACGAGAGCTTCACCTGTCCCCCTGAGCCCCCTGGCCCCTTCCTCAGCAGCCCTTTGCGGACTCTCAACCAGCTGCCAAGCCAGCCCTTCACTGGTAAGCTACTTAGCCTAGGCCTTCCCTTCTGTGTACTCTTTGCATGTTCTCGACATGTTTGTGCTGGTTTCTTGGACCTCTTGGCCATGTCATTTCTGTGTACTTGCCTAGCCCCTCATCCATCCTGCTTGCATCACTTCCAGATACGTGTCATGTCATACTTGTGTCCCTGTGTCTGTCTGTACGTCTTCCATGCTTGTGCTGGTTTGAGTATTGACTTACATCTGAGCCTTGTATGTATGTCCTATGTGCATGTTCCTCCTCTTTCCCTAGTCTGGCCATTTCCTGCGATTTGTAATTAGGATATTCTGTGTTTGATGTTTCCTGGTGAATCACAGCAATATTTCTGAACCATATTGAAGACGTATGTGCTGTCCTGTATGGAGAGGCACCTAAACACTCTCTATGCCATTCCGTCCAGTTTATCTGTCTGGGTCTTGGGTTTTCTGTCAGCTCTCCTGGGGCCTAAGGTTAACCTTCTGGTATTTTTCTCCCTACTCAGCTCCTTCCTCCCCACCTCTTCAAAGAAGGACTTGATTTCAAGTTTTTCCTGTTCGCTTTCCTTGTACCTTCTTGGTTGCTGTGACTGTCTGCTAGCACTAAGACTGTCTTAAGCAGATAGAGTGCAATTTCTTTGAAGGCAAATGACAAAGCGTGGCCCTGAGCTCCCTGACTGAGTTCATTTGGACTCTCAAGGATGCCCTGGAGCTAGACTCGATCTGAGTGGTTGGACTAACTCCTCTTTGTTTTTGTATGAGAGCCAGCTTACCCCGCCATTCTAAACCTCAGGCCAGGAAAACCAAAAAACAAAAAAACCAACCAAACAAAAAACAAACCCACCTCTGAGAAGTAGTAGCTAAGGCTAAGATCACAGGCCTTGGATTAGGCATACCTTACATTAGCCTCCCATCTCTGCCATAGATGCATATAAATCATTTACTACAATTATGGCACATTGTGAGAACTCAGCAAGTGGTAGCTTTTCACTAGGATCTCTGGGTACATAGCAGATTTAAGTTGACTAAGGCAAACACTCATCTTCCAGTTGTTCATAGTCAGATTGTCATGCCTTGATAAGTTCATGTCCTGACTGGGCCTGGGAGATGCTGGCCATCCTGCTCATACAGCACCAGGGCTTCTGCCATGGAGTTGTGCCAATTCCCTCTTCTTGCCTCCTACAGAAAATCTATCTTTCCATTTATTTAGCCTCTGCTCTGTTCCTTTCAGCTCAGTACCACTAGGTGATAGCGTGCAGGTTTTACCACAGTCTTGAAGTATTAATTGAAGCTTTTGTCTTTTTTTCCTTTGGTAAACTTATCTGAGCTTTTCAATTTTTTTTTTCCAAGAAACTTCCAGGAAATGAAAGGAACAGGACAAAATTATGGGGCGTCTTAGGACTCTGTTAAGCTAGAGTTGTTTTGAAGCTAATGCTAGACATGTGCACCTGGAGTGAAAAATGTTTTAGCATCTTTTTCAGGATTCACTCCCTCCTGCCCTCCATCATTCTCCTGTCTCAATGCATAGTACAGTTCTTAGATATATACTCCCTTTCCCCAAAAAAATCCCTAATCAGAAGGACTGTGATGGTTATAGAGGCCTACTGCTGGTGATCTGGCTTAGCTGAGGTCAGTTTTCCCAGTGGATAATGCTGATCCTTTCCCTTCCTTCTCTCCCACCAAAGAGTCTGTCCTCAGTCAGTTTCTCTGCCCCTGCACTAAGCTATCCTTTTACTACATATTCTGTTCCACCGTCTTGGTTCCCAGCTTCTGAAAGACAAAACTGATGTCTTCTCTGGTCCTCCAAATATTTTTTTCCCTAACTTTAAATTGGCTCACATAGTTACTTTGTCTTTGCAACACCATCTTCTAGCTTTCTTTCTGAGCAGGTTTAGTGTTATCCTCCGTTTTTTGTGGAACCTAATTCTTTTTGGACCTAATTACTTTCTCAACCTATTTGTTCTTCTGTTGTGCCTCTTGGGTGAATCTTTTATAAAAACAATATGTAATTGTAGCTTATGGTTATAACTGAACACTTAAAATTTGCCAGATCTGAGGCTAAATGCTTTATATTGATAACTCTTTGATCCTCTTCATCACCTTATGAGGTAGGTATATTTTCCTATTTTACGAACTAGGAAACTAAGGCTTGGACAATTTTGACCTGTCCAAACTAGTAAAGGGCAAAGCCAGTGAAACCAGATCTTTCAGAGTCCAGAGCCTAAGATCTGGCTTGTCAGCTTGAATGTGTGTAAAGCTGGCATCTGGAATCTTGTGGGTCCATATGGTGTCTGCCATCTTATTTCCTCCAGAATAGGTGGCCACGGGATATTTAAACATACCCAGAGGCTGACATACAAATACTTTTCATCTGGTGGGGGTCTCTTGTTTTGGGGAGGAATGCGTGCGATGTGCATTGTGTTCAGGCTTTGTATCCTTGTGCCCACCTCCCCCCCAACCCAGGCCCCTTCATGGCTGTGCTCTTTGCCAAACTCGAGAACATGCTGCAGAACTCCGTCTATGTCAACTTCCTGCTGACGGGGCTGGTGGCCCAGCTGGCCTGTCACCCCCAGCCCCTGCTCCGCTCTTTCCTGCTCAACACCAACATGGTCTTCCAGCCCAGTGTCAAGTCCCTGCTGCAGGTGTGCGATGCATGCATGCATGGGTGCGTCCAGGCTCCGTGGTGGGCCAGGCCCGCAGCTGGAGTGACCCTGGGTGGGCTGGGAACAGGCCCAGTGGGACTAGAAAGGACTGTATCAGTCTAGAGCTGCTCAGAAATGTCACGAAGGTGTGCTTCATAGGTGCTGGGCTCTGTGAAGAATAAGATTGAGAACTTTGCGGCTTCCCAGGAGGACTTCCCAGCACTGCTGTCCAAAGCCAAGAAGTACCTCATTGCCCGTGGCAAGTTGGACTGGGCTGAGGGCCCTGCAGCAGGACCTGCCCCACGCCGTTCTGATCCCCTAGGTGAGGCCTATCCCACCACACCCGTACCTGCCCTCCCTAGATAGCCTATTAACCCAGGTTAATTGAGCTCTTATTAAGAGTGAAATGTTGTGCCAGGACCTAGTGAGTTGTAGAAAATTGAGTCTTCATGTTTGTTCTCAGGCTTCTGGTCAGGGGACAGAACATAGTTCTATCTATTAAGAGCCAGATCAGCAGTTCTAGCAAAAACTACTCTAGAATTTGGGGACAAGAAAGAGGACAGAGTAGTCTCTAGGTTGCGATATTATTACAGCTTAGTAAAGGACATGACATTTGACATGGGCCTTGAGAGATGGGTAGGACTTAGGTAGGCAAAGGAGTGGGGAATCTTTTTTTTTTTTTTTTTTTTTTTTTTTTTCAGGAGAGGTCCTGGACTGTTTAGTTGGAGTAGGGGATTTAAAAGTTGGTGGAATAATTGGCAGTAAGGCTGGAGAGATTTGGCTGGAGCTGAATTTCTCAGAGTAGAAGTTGGGATGTTTTAGGCAGTGAAAAACCACTGGAAGTTCTAAATCTGGAAGTGGAGAGATTAGTATGTTAGCTCAGATGCAGTCAAGCTAGGAGAAAAGAGTCAGGAAGCATCAGGAGGCTTCTGCTATAATGTAGATGTTACCAGGGAGGCTTGAATTAGAATAGTGGACGTGGAAGGGAAGCATTTAATGAGGCAGAAATGAGAAGGAAGTGTTGGTGGAGTTTGGTGAGTGGTATAAGGAAGGAGGAAGAATTAAATATCGTTATGAAGTTTTAAATCTAGACTTTTCGCTTAACAGGTATCTTGAACATTTGCAATGTGTGCCGGGCATTGTCTTTAGTACAGGGAATTCAGGGAGGTACAAGATGTAATTTCTGCCTTCAAAGAATGTACAATCTGGAGAGTGACTAGAGGAACGTAATACCAGAAGGAGCAAGGTCCTAAAGGTGTTGGGAGTAATGGGATTGAGAGCAATAGAAAAAGATTAACTTTGGACAGGAAAAGGCTTTTTGTTTTTCTCCCTTTGAGGAAAATGAGGAGAGAGCAAGGAGGAATTGACATGTGCCAATGTAGTTGTGAAGTGTAGAGGAGTAAGGGATTTCACATCATTCATTATTTACTAATCGAAGTAGAAGGCAAAATGATATGCTGAAAGCAGAGATGGAGGCTTAATGAGAAAAGTGTATGGGTTGGGAAGAGAGTACCATAAAAGTTACTGCACAGCTGTGAAGTCTCAGGTAAAGTTCTTTTGCATGGTTTCTTCATGGTCTAGTATTGTGAATATTTCTTCCTTCTACAGTTCTGGTGCTGGGGTCACTTTAGAGGGGCCAGGTAGACAAGGTAGACAAGACACAGTCTAGGCCCTTAAGTTCACAGGTTAGTGTATGAGGTAGAAGACATAGAAATAAATTAAGTATGTTGAGTTAAGGGAAGTAAAATTGGGAGTCAGTGGAAGACAAATCAGAGGAGGCTTCCTAGAGAAGTGGGGATAGTAAAATTTCACGTAGAATGATGAAAAAAGTGGAGAAAAGAAAATTTAGGCAGAGGGAGCTACAGGCGCATGAAAAGTGCCTGAAGGGTTCCAAGATGATAGATGTGGATGCAAAAGCAAGGTGGGGTGTGGAGAGTTTGAAAAGAAATTGTAGGAGGAGTGTGAGCCTGATTGTGAAGGGCTCTGAATGCCAAATTTAATAGCTCGGTATGGTATTTCTGTAGCCAGTATTAGATGTAGGAAATGGGAATTGTTATTATGATCTAGGCCTTTATAGTAGATATGGATCCAGACCCAGAAATCTAGGCAGAATGTTAGAGGCAAGAGGACGTTGTTTTGAATGGCTCACTTGAGCCTAAGCTGACTTGAAATTGGCCGCAACCAGTGGGAGAGAGGCTTTGGTGCAGGACAGGGACTGGTGAATGGTGAAGTGGTGAATGGTGAAGAGCATATTTTGGAGGGACAGTAGAGCATGACAGAAGTGAAATTGTCACTGAACTATAATTGCATATATAGCCCCTGTGGATATTGTAGGAGCAGAGGATGTGGGTTGGGTGTTATAGATAGGCTGGGGAAGAGGGAAGTGGTTGACTAGTTCGGAAGGGTGATGGGAAGCATGAAATCAGGGCATGCTATAGACAGAGGAGAAATAGCTTGGTGGTGGTAGATTAGTGATTGGAAATAGGAGAATTCGTCAGGGTGAGAGGGCATGGAGAAGGAATGGATCTTAACTGGGAATGAAGTGGCTAAAGTGTTGATTGATTAAGACTGAGAAGGATGGTTGGCTGGGTGGGGAGGCTGGATAGAGGGAAAAAGGCTGGGCAGGCAGTATTTTTGGTGTTGGAGTGAGAAAGAACTCCTCACTCTACTCCTCAGAGTCAACTTCAGGGATGGGACAGGAAATGGTACCTGAGGTTCATTTCTGGTCCATTTTGTCCTTTTTTCCATTTCCTCAGAACCCTAAAGGAGAAGTCCAAGAACCTAGGGGGTGGGGGAATCTCCCCTCTCAGTCCAAGGGAGGTTCCCTGATCCCAGCACCTTCATGATACCCCTGTTTATTCCCAGTGAAGAGCCGGAGGCCATCCTTGGGGGAGTTACTCCTGCGGCATGCACACAGTCCAACCAGGGCCCGGCAGGCGGCACAATTGGTCCTTCAGCCTGGGCGAGACGGAGCAGGACTTGGCCTAAGTGGGGGCTCCCCTGGGGCTTCAACTCCAGTTCTACTCACCCGGGGCGGGGCCCCTGAACGCCAAGGTGAGGCTCTTCGAGTCAAGAATGCTGTCTACTGTGCAGTCATTTTCCCTGAATTTCTCAAGGAGTTGGCTGCCATCTCCCAGGCTCATGCCGTCACCTCGCCTTTCTTGTTGGAGACTTCAGAGGAAGGATCTGGCCCTCTCATCTCAGGCTGTGGGCCCCTCAATCCTTAACTTTCTTCCATGGACAATCAGGGCCATGGGTGGCCCGGGCTGGGGCTAGGGCACAGGCTCCTTTTTATGTTTGGAGGCAGTGGCAAAAGGACTTTTTAATTTATTTCAGATGAATGTTTTATGGAGAACTTGTTGCAATATGTATAAAAGGGAAATCTCTATTCTGTGCTCATTTTTCTTTCCCATTTTTTTCTGTGGGGCTGGGGCCCCAGAAAAGGTTGTACATAGTCGGGGAGGTGGTCAGAAGTATTTTCTCTTTGGTAAGGACATTGCTGCCAAGGTTTCAAGGTACCCCTTATGCCCTTAGAGGGTGAAGGGACTCTTCCCTCTTCTCTGGATCCCAGAAGGAATAAGCAGCATGGGCCCAGGATGGTTTGGGGGAGCAGCAGCTGATGTTTATTAGAGACCAGTACCCCTATGCCAGATCTTGGGGGCTTTGCCCCCGGAATCTTTTGCTTCAGCTTCAGTCGTCACTGTCGAACTCTGAGGATAGACCCTGCAGCAGGGGCAGGGACATGGAGTGCCCGTCGGGGTCCCTGGGGCCCCCACCCTGGGCTCCTGGTGGAGGGCTGCGGGGGCTGAAGAGCCAGTTCTCTGCCAGGGTTGGGGATAGTCACAGCTTGACTCATGGCTGGTCTTTTCCCCCCCTAGCTTTTCCCTCTGGTCCTCTGTGCCATCCCAATCCCCTTCCTAGGGCCTCCTCATTCCATCTCACCCTCCCCAGTCTCCCTCATTCCATCTCTTTCACCAGAGCCCTGTGCTGAGTAATGGATTCCTCACATACTTAATTCTCATGCCTTCTCCCTCCTTCACTTTGTCCCTCCCATCCATCTCATCATCATTTCCCCTAGTAGTACCTGACAGTATCTGGGGCCCCCTCCAGAAGGGGTTTCGGCCCTTGTAGGAGAATCTGGTGGGTTTGTCCTCTGGCCCTTCCTGGGGAGGTGGCGTAGGTGGGGCTGGGACAGGTGGGGGCACATCAGCAGCTTCAGTTGTATCAGCAGGTGCTGATGTGGGGGCCAGAGGCGGCATGATGCTGAGGTTGGGTCTGACCCAGTTGGCCCCATGGGGCAATGGGTCTTTAGTGAGAGGCTTCTGTGGTCCCAGCACGCCCTTAGACTGCAGTGAAAACTTGAGGCAGGAGAAGGCAACAGGTAATGACCGAAGTAGCCGGAGGAGCTGGGGCTCACGGGCTGTAGACGTCAGCCCCAGCTGCAGCCAGGAACAAGAGAAGACCTGGTAGATGACATAGATGCTGTGGGTGCTTCGGAGCCAGGGAAGAGTCTGCTGTAGGCTCACCTGCCCTGGTGGCAGCAACAGGAAGGCAACCTTCTTGCGCAGGTCACCCATATGTAGGCGGATCTTGCAGGGCTGTCCATCCAACATTCGCGTCTCTTCATAGGCTCTCTCTGCTCGGCCATTTGGTGAGTATTCCCGAGTGCAGTGGGCGAAGGCACCCTCAGATCCTGCCTGCTCCAGGAGGCTTGGTAGTGGCCCCACTGGTTTCAGTGCCCTCCGGCCCTGCCGACCTGGCAAAGCCAGGCGGGTATGGGCTGGGCGGGACTGTTTTACCAGCACACCCAGTAGGTCATAGCAGGCTGCATCTGACAGGAAAGGTACTGCTACTGCATTGGGCCCAAAGTGCTCCTCGATGACCTGCAGGTGGCCAGTTTATAGGTCAGGGACTTAGGGTCAGAAGTTAACTGGTTGCCTACTTTAAATTGACCCCCAGGTTCACGTTCAGTTACATCTCTATAATGTGTTCAGATTTATGCTTTCTGCTTACCTCCCAGCTCTCCGGCAGCAAAACCTTGAATGTTTACGTGTCAAACTATCTAAGTACTGGGAAAACATAAAAGAATGAGACTTTGTCTTTGTCCTAATATAGTTTAGTCTACTGGAGAACACAAAAATGTAAACAGTCTGCTATGTAAAATATTAATAGAGAGCAAGGTGTGAAGGAGACAGGAAGTGATTGAACAGTCTTTACCTTTCATGGAAAGAGGATCAAGGAAGGTTTCTAGATGGTGATACTTGAGTTTTGAAGCAATTATCTAGGTAGGAGAATGGTCAATTCAGGCATAAGAGTCGGTGAAAAAACTTGAATTTACAAATCAAGGGGGGCACATTTAGGAACACATAATTTTATATTGCTGGTATGTATGGTATGAGGAGGGAAAGGCACACAGGAACTAGATTATGAAAGGCTTGTGTGTATGTCAAGTGAATTTTGTCCTGAAGGCAGTGGGAAGCCGCCTGAAGGCCTCTGGGTAGGAGGAACAGGATCAGATAGGTGTTTCTGAAAGCTAATTTTTTTTTTTTTTTTTTTTTTGAGTCGGTTCTCCTTCGTCGCCTAGGCTGGAGTACAGTGGTGCGATCTCGGCTCACTGAAACCTCTGCCTCCTGGGTTCAAGTGATTGTCCTGGCTCAGCCTCCCAAGTAGCTGGAACTACAGGCACCCACCACCACACCTGGTTAGTTTTTTGTATTTTTAGTAGAGATGGGGTTTCACTCTGTTGCCCAGGCTGGTTTTGAACTCCTGAGCTCAGGCAGTCCGCCTGCCTCAGCCTCCCAAAGTGTTGAGATTACAGATGTGAGCCACCGCGCCTGGCCAGAAAGCTAATTTTTAATAGGAAGTCATAAAATAAGAGTATTGCAATACTCCAGGCAAGGCATAATAAGGTCCTGAACTAAAATAGTGAGGGAAGATATTAGAGATATTTAGGTTATAGAATTAGTAGAACTTAGTCACTCAGGAGGTAGGGAAAAAAGAATCCTCGGCTGTGCACCCTGGCTCATGCCTATAATCCCAGCACTTTGGGAGGCCGAGACAGGTGGATCACCTGAGGTCAGGAGTTGGAGACCATCCTGACCAACATGGTGAAACCCTGTCTCTACTAAAAATAGAAAAATTAGCTGGGTGTGGTGGCACACGCCTGTAATCCCAGCTACTCATGATACTGAGGCAGGAGAATTGCTTGAACCTGGGAAGCGGAGGTTGCAGTGAGCCGAGATGGCACCACTGCACTCCACAGAGTCTCAAGAAAAAGAGAAAAGAATCTTTAAGGATTCTTCTTAGGTGACTGGTTACATGGGTGATGTCTTTAATCAATAGTAGGTTACGCAGAAATAGATTTGGAATGTCCATTCTTATACCATATCTCTTACCTCATAGTATATGCCTTCTACCCTAGCTGCAAGGGGTAGTTCTTGTAGGGAATTTGAGGCCTCATCTTTATAATGTTAGTTACGGTATACTTTCAGGGATTTTAGTTAATCGTGTGTGTGTGTGTGTGGTTTGTTTGTTTGTTTGTTTGTTTGTTTCATCATGGCCTTTTTGGGGTTGGTAACCCTGGAAAGTTTATTTCATGACTAATTGGGAAACCTATAAGAGCCTCTCTAGTAATTGTACTTAAGTATGGTTTCAACCCATTCAGGATTTTGTGGCTGATGTTTCTGGTTCTCTGCTCTACTAGGGAGCAAGGGCACACAGAATTTCCTCTTTGGGCATCTCTTATATTTGAGCCCAGTGCTTACAGTGCTGTACTCTACTCCCTACCTCCAGGACCAAATTTCGCACATCTATGCCCCTACTGATGGCATTGCCCTCTTTGTTGGCCTTCTGGTAGAATTCACCAGTGGCTCCTTAAGGCTGATCTGCTTTTTCTACAAAGCTGTTTTGGAAGTACTGCCTCCTAGCATAAGAGGAAGGTAGCTAACTATGGAGTTGCATCTGCACCTTGGATAAGCTGAGGTAGCTTGTAGACTACTGTCTTGTCACCTGGCTGAAGGAATAACTGATGTTCTTTTGTGGTCTGCATGGGACAGTTTCCCATCATTCCTTCTCCTTTGCTTCACTGGAAAACACTTCCTTTTGGGTGGGGCTCTGAGAAGGACCAGTTGCGTTTCCAGGGAGAGAGCAGAACACTGGTGGGTTGACATTTTTGGATGCAATGCTTTGCCCCATGACCATGAAATCAGAGGCACCAAGCATGACATCAGAATCTCACACTAACTGCTCCTTTGGTGTCAAGGATCCTACACAAATAAGACAAATGGGAGTGTCTCTAGAAGAGGCCCCTCTGATAGGAGTGTGACATTTAATATATCTGGTGCTTATTATCCAAGTTTCTGCTAAAAGGGTGAATCTCTGGTTTAGCTGGAGGCTCTTTATTCCCCATACGCTCTTCCTATATGCTGACAGGCATTAAGTTGTCTAATTCTAACCCTCCTTAACCTTGACAGCCACAGTGGTTATCCTAAAATAGGAAAAATAAGGAGCTCGGTTCTTTGTTAGGGAGACTGTGTTCTTGGTAGAATCACTATTTAAGACTACTATGTGCTCCTACTGAACTTCTGCTTCTTCATAGAAATTATATGGACCTTAGGCCCACAAATTTAGGTTTTCCAGGGGCATCCCAGGAAAGTGATGGTGGAATATTGTTTTCCTAGATGTCTCTTGGTTGCTTCAAATTCTGAATGTGGAGCTCTTGAGCCACATTCTGTTTAGCCAAATGTTTTTACCATATGTTCAGTAAACTGTCCGTGGTTTTGGACACAGGAAACCAGGTCACTTAAAGGTGACCTAATCCTTGAATTTGCCCCGTAATGCCAGTGATTTATCCTGCATATCTCTACCCCGATTTTCCTGACAATTTTCAATTTAAATAGGATAGTGAGTTTTTCTGATACTCAGAGATGGCATAGCTTTCTAATAGTGGGAGACTGTTTATTTTCAATCTAATTCTGCTTGATCTAGTCCAGGACCAACCTTCTACACTGCTGAAACCAGTTGCTCTAATACTTGGGAAGACCTTGAGCTCTCCAGTTTTTGCTTCCCTGGGAAGCTGGCCTTTGTGGTAAGCAGCTACCCTATTTGGAATGGAAGCAGCATGCCATTAAATCTTCTTTGAGTGTGGTAGGCACTGCTTTAAGATTTTTTTTTTTTTTAAGCCTGGTAGGCTGACTTCTATGAATGTTTTAAATTCACCTTCCTTCAAATCACATAGAATCTGATTCTAAATTCTCTGATCTGAAATTTCCAGTCTGCAGCTGAAAAGTGATTTGGTAGGATTTGTTGGATATCTGCAACCCAGATACAGCTGAGATTGTCCTGCTCCTTAAAATATACAAATTTGCCTCAAAATCCAAATTTCTTATTTTGTGGAAGTTAAGGTGGAGGAGATCTGTGAAAGAGTTTCAGATAAAGTTCAGATTCTATAGGAAGCTGGTTCTATAGGAAGTCCTGGTTCTAAGACTAGCCCCTATATCTCTTTGGCTTTATTTTTACCACTGCTTCTTTGAACTCTGCTCTAGAAGATTATTAGGAGTTCTCAAATATGAGTTGTTCTTTTTCCTCTCCTTGTTTTTACAAATACTCTACATTTAATTACTATTAAATTACTATACACTCACCACCCTCCCATGCTCATTAATTCAGGTATTTATTAAGCACTTTTTGTCAGGTTCTCCTCTCCCTCTTTGTGTGAATAACTCCTGCTTGCCTAGCTAGAATGTCACTCTTTCCAGGAAGCCTTCCTGATCTCCTGTCTCACCCCTGACTTAGCGTATCTCCTCTTTGCTCATAATTCCCTATACGTTGCTTTTCAGTGAACCTTTTTTACTGTTTTTGTAGTTGTCATTAAATGGGGCGGTTCGTGCCAATAACTTTACTGCAGTGCCTGGCACATATGGAAGCAGTGAGTAAATGTTGGTTATTATTGTTTTCAGACTTCCCACCCCTTCCTACTCACAAGCTGCTGAGACCCATGCAGGTCACACTTCGTTGCTTCCTCTTTAGCCTCCTTACTTTACCTACCTTATCCTTGATGAGGGTCCAGGTGGCATCAGCTTCATCCAGTGTCAGCAGGTTGGGGGTACCCACCAACATGGTGGGGTATGGGAGGGATTGGGCAGGGCAGTGGCTGCTGCAGGAACCCCAGGCAGCCCAGGGAGGTGAGACCTGAGGTCTTGGGCCCTAAACCACTGCATGACATCATAGAGGTCCTGCTAGATAATTGTACCTTGGATAGGGGGAGGACAGTGACTTTCCTAGCTTCACTGCAGTCTGTAATTCTTACTCTTGAGTCACCTATCCATCCTCCTGCATTAGGGGAAGAAAATGCAGGGTCTGTTAGGGTGTGTTTGTATATGTGTATGTGTGTGTGTAGTTCTTGGTCTGAGTTCTTTAAGGAAACAGGATCAGGCCTCTCCTCCCTTCAGCAGCATCTCTGAAGCAATTTACTATCTTAGCTGCAGATGCTTCTCTGTGAGGTTGGATTGGGGTCCTAAAGGACACGGGAGAAGTACAGTTATGAGCCACCTAACAGTGTTTTGGAAAATGATATGTGACTGACAGTGGTCTGACGCCATAAGAGTATAATGCCATGTTTTTACTTTACTTTTTCTATGTTTAGGTATGTTTTGATACACAAATACCATTGTGTTACAATTTCATATAGTATTCACTACAGTAACATGCTGTACAGATTTGTAGCCCAAGAGCAATAGGCTATACCATAGAGCCTAGCTGTGTAGTAGGCTATACCATCTAGGTTTGTGTAAGTACACTCTATGATGTTTGCGCAATGATAAAATTGCCTAAGGATGCATTTCTCAGAACATACCCTGTTGTTAAGCAATGCATGACTATATAGATCAGGGCTTATACTGAGAACCAAGCAGTGGTCCCAGCCTTGGCTGCACTTTGGAATTGCCTGGGAGCTTAAAAATTACTGTTGCCTGGATCAATTACTGGTGCCAGAGATTCTGATTTAATTGATCTGGGGTGTGCCTGGGCATCACAATTTCTAAAAGCTCTTCAGGCAATTTTAATGCATAACTTACGTTGAAAACCATTATTAATGGGTGGGTTACAATTGCAATGAAAACCAGGTGTGTGTAGGAGGTTGCTGTGCTGAGCAGTGTGACAATGTGGAGGGTAAGAATATAATTGGGATAATGTTGCCTTAGTAACGAGAGAATTTTCAGGAAGCCAGAATTACCCAGGTAAATTTGAGAAAAAATTTCTTCATGCTCCACTCCCTGTCCTAGTCTGATTTGTGCCTAGTAGCTAGATAAGAGCTGGAATATTAGCTATGTGTTATCTCCTTTGCGTCTTTGTCCAGAGATCTCAACTGTGTTTTGCTAAAGAAGAACCATTCTAGAGAGCCTTTCCTGTAGTTAACTTTTCTACTCCGTACCTTATCTGTTCAAGGAGTCCTTTCTCTGAGTCCCTCTGGAGAGTCTCCTTTGTGCCCAGGAATACCTCTTGTGTGTAGGAGGTATCCTCCCCTAGCCCAGCCCGGCATAGCTCTGTAGAGCAGTCCCACAAAGTTGGCTGTCATCGGAGCTGGCTGAGGTGGTATGAGTGGGGGCATAGGCAAAGGTCCTGCAGTGGTGGGAAAGAGTGTTAGTAAAATTTTCCTAAAGGAGATGTAACTGGCCTCGGGAGGGCAGGTCTCCTTAGATAAAGCTATGAATATGGGTGCTGGGTCTTTGAGCAAAGGTTTTACAGTGGGTGTGGTCCTATTTTCCAGAGAGGAATTAATATCAAACATTTCCAGGAGAGGAATTATGCCAAATATTAATATTGAGCTCTTTTGTGCTAGGAGCTGTGCAAAATACTTTGAATTCATTATATTAATCCATTTGGTATCCTCTTGAAGTAGTTACTACTATTATCTCATTTTACAAGCAAAGAAACAGGTTCAGAGAGGTTGAATAATTACTCCAAAGCATATAGAGTGAGTTTATAGAGGATCTAGGATTCAGGTAAAAGTCTGCTTGACTGAACCTTTAACCAACACGTTCCTTTGGCTCACTTTAGTGTGTGGTGGGAGGAGTGTCTGCCAGATGGAAAGTACCAAGTGGTTTAGTGAAAAGGAAATGGGCAGGATAAGAGAGGAGCCACGATGGGCCGAATCAGAAACCCCAAGTTTCTTATTAAGACAAGTGAAACCAAATTCCTTCCTTTAGCACATTTTGATTATGGTTGACAAAAAGAGGTCACCTGGTGTAGTATAGCTGCACCTCTGTTCTCTCCAGGAAAGAATTCTGAGTGAGGCAGGTGGAGATAGAGCAAGAGAGAGACATACACAAGGACAAGAGACATAGATATGGGATAAAACTGACAAATGGTGCAAGGAGACAGAGATGCAGTGGTACAGAGACAATGAGAGTGACTGATAGAGAATGGTGTACATCCAGATCCCGAGGGGATTCCAGAATGAGAAGGGGAGGGATGAGGTAGGTGCAGGGATGGTGGACTGTGGTGACTTTACCACTATGCAGTCTATGCATATAGCAGAATTGCACTTGTACCCTTCAAATTTATACAAAAAAAAAAAAAAGGACGAGGAGGATCTCTTTAGGACTTTTGGGAGAGGGGCTCACAGGGGAAATTGTGACTGAAAACTTCTGACTGATTACTTCTCAGTTAGAAGCCCATACATTCTTCTGCTGCCTGATTATCATGATTCCCTAGGATCCCTAAATTCCCTACTGATCTACCCCAACACTAAGTAAGTCGGTCTTTCCTTTTGACTCAGAGAGAGACTGAAACTAAAAGTTACTGAAGGAAAATGGATGACTACTTGGTCCTGGATGGAGATCATGAGCCTAAGGGCTGCGCTCTTTGGGCCATATCCTGCTTATAGGATTTGCCTCTGGTATGGCATGAGAGACAGACCATCTGCAGGGTATCTGAGGGTGGTCTGAATGGAGAGCATGGGGGGAATAAACAGATGGATCTTTTTATCCAGAGAACACGAGGTTCTCAGTATGAACCTGTAGGGCAGTATAGAATAGTATTGACAGCAAAGACTTTAGAGTGATAAAGAGCCCTAACAAGTCTCTTCATGTCTCTCAGACTTCAAGGATAATCACACAGACCCCTCACACCTTATTTGAAACTTTTAGGGACAGATATTTTGGAATTCAGTTTTTTTCAGATTATAGAAAAGGAATATGATATATATATATCATATATTAAGGAATACCCCAGTGGGATTCAGGACAGTGCCCTATAATCAAACATCAACATTTCTGAAGTTAGATGTATGAACATTTACACTAAATAAGATAAATAAAGATTATAAATAGGATCATGATGGTTGAGATGTCAGCTTTTGGGCCAAAGTTATAAAAAAATATTGTTTCTTCAGAGTTTTATTTTGGAATTATGGATGAGGGATTGTGGGCTTATAATTAATTCTCAGGTTGTCATGAGGAATGAGAGTGTGGTAAAGCTCTTGAAACACATCATATGGTAGGTATGTATGCAATCTCAATTTGGAACAAGATACAAATGTCCAAGGGAGTGGATTTTTAGCTTGAAGGAAGAAAGTTGCTACAATGGACAACGTACAGCTCTGGAACCAGCTACCTTGAAAAGTTGTGCACAACCAGGGGTTGAAGGTGCCTTAGAAGAGAGTCTTCCTGTGGTGGGAGGGTGACAGAATTCATTGTTTATGAACGTTGGCTGCAGATGATTTCCCTTTCATGTATCAGAGGGGAAAGGCAAAAAATGGTATACCTGTATGTATGTGAGACGCAGGATTATCATACATATATTTATTTATAATCAATAAATATTTTACTGCATATATGCTTGTTCACATCTCAATTATTTTCTTAGGATAGATTTATTAAGGGGGAACTTATATATTTTTGAGACAAGGTCTCACTGTCACCAGGCTGGAGTGCAGTGGTGTGATCACAGCTCACTGCAATAAAGGGGAATTTAGAGTAAGAGAATGATACGAACATCTTCAAGACTTGTGACTCATTAGGATTAGAATTGTGTCACAGTTATCTGCAAAATCATTGCTTGGAGGCCAGTTAAACCCAGAACTTCATGAAAAAAATTAGTCTTGAGAATGAATGAGCACACACTTAGGTTGACTGTAGATTTCCTCTGTATCTACTTGCATGCAGTGTGATGATGCCTGTGAAAATGATACAGAGCTTCTGGGCTCTTTAGTCCTTGTTATTGATGACCTGCTAAGACCCAGTGTGGCACCGGAGATGGCATCATCTGCTTTTTCTGATCTGCAGTCTCCTCTTCTGTGTGGTGTTCCGTGGTCCATCTTGGTCCAGCTATCTGTGCTGAGTGGACTGGGTTGCTCCTGGCTTCAGGTTTTCATGGCTAACTCTAATACCTGTGGTTATGATCGTTTTCCTGGAGAGCTTGGGTTTGCCTTTGCAGTCTGCAGCTTTTTCTGATCTCATAACGGTGACTCCCTGCCTTCTGTCAGATTATACTTATTGTAAGCTCCGTGATAGTATTAAAGACCTTTGTTATGTAATGTCCCTTCCAGTGTGGTGTCTTAGCTGAAAATGAATCCCCTGTTGGGCAACACCACCGCACTTCCTGTTCTTGCTGCCCTGACAGTTACAGAAGTGTGAAATGTTTCATTTCATCATATTGCACTAACATCATGTGCTTCTAATGATGTTGGCCAAGACAAATGGGGGTGCCTATGGGGATTTTATCTGGGGATTATACCTTCTTGTTGAGGGTGCACAGAAGGGCAGATTGACAAGAAACCATAGTAATTCAGCCTCAGGCAATCAGATGATGTGGCTGCAGTGATTTTCTGGGATATCAACATTTCTTTCAGTGGACCCCTGACCTCTGCAGCTGCAGTCACAGGGGAAGAAGTTACAGCTGTTAATTTTGGGGGCTTTGGTGGGAGTTGGGGGAAGGAAGAATAGTAATTACACATGAGACCAAAAGAGGATTCTTTGAATTTGAAGTGGCCAAATTGGTACCACAGGGCACATTATTTAGTTTATCGGAAGGCAGGAGATGAGCCTGTAGAACTCGTTTCCTGAGGGCAGTCTGAAAACAGAATCTGGCTCCAGGAGTAGAGAGGGCTGTGATTTCAGACGGGTGCCCAAGCACTTGACTCCAGGGACAGCGCCACCCTCTGCGGCAGTGCCAAGCACTTCCCTCAAGTTTGGGATCTATAGAGGAGCTTTTGTGTGGAAACGTGGGCAGACTTAGGTTGAAATAATGGAGGTGGGGAGCAGGAAAGGGAGTTGTTAGATCTTGTTTATTATGGTCCTTCACTAATTTTTCCTGCATGGTAGTGTAGCCCCCTGACCTCTACCTCCTGCCTCCTCCCAAGCAGAATACATGTTTAAGTCAAAGTCTACAGATGCCAGTGTTGCACATAGGGACTCCACAGCAAGTACCTGTTAAATGATGATAACAGTCATATGCAGTGGGATGAAAATAACATGATCCACACCCCCAGACTCCCCTCCGATTGTCCCCTCACCTCCACTCTTAGGCTCCATTGTTACCACTGGACATTACAACGGGCTTTTTCTGAATGTGAAGGTTTCCAGGAGTCGGTCTCTGATCTGCTTGGTGCGGGCCCCATAGATGAGGGGGTTGAGGGCAGGTGGCAGCAGCAAGTAGATGTTGGAGAGAAGGATGTGCACAGGCTTTGGGACAGTGTGATGACCAAAGCGGTGTGTGAGGTAGGAGAAGAGACCAGGTATGTAGAAGGCCAGAATGACACAGATGTGAGAACTACATGTACCAAAGGCCTTGGCATGGGCCTCCCGGGTAGGTAGCTGCAGCACAGCATGGGCAATGAGTCCATAGGAGCCAGTGATACCCAGAATATCCATACCTGAGATGGCCAGTGAAAGTGCCAGACCATATAAGTTGGTGGCCTGTGTGTTACCCACCACCAGTTCTACCACTGCCATGTGTGCACAATAGGTATGGCCTATGGTCTTGGCTTGGAAGTGCTCAAACTTTGCCACCAGCAGTGGGAAAGGTACAACAATAGCCACAGCTTTCAGTGCCAGGGCCAAGGCTGCATAACCCACACAGGCTTTGGTGACCAGGACAGGGTAGTGCAGTGGACGCCCTATTGCCGCAGCACGATCACAGGCCATGGCCAAAAGCACACCTGATTCCATGGCAGTCAGTGCATGTACAAAGAACATCTGGACCAGGCACACAGCATATGGCACAGATCGGGGCCCAAGCCACAGCACAGCCAGCAACCCTGGGGCTATAGATGTGGCTAAGCCCAGGTCTGTGGCTGCCAGGATGGCCAACAGTAGAAACATGGGCTGGTGCAGTGTGGAGTCTATCCACACCACTGCCGGCAGTGCTCCATTGCCCAGCAGGGCCAGCAGATAAATGGGCCCAAAGACCAGTGTCAGCCAAGTCTGGGCACTTCCTAGCCCTGGAAAGCCAGTCAGTATGAAGAAGTTTGGGTGTAGGAAGGTGGAATTGAGTTGTAGAGTTTCTGCCATTCTGTGGTGGGCACAACTTGAGGGCTCATGGGGGCATGACTCCTGACAGGGAAGATAAGGGGAGAGATTTTGGGGGTCTCACAGTGGCACAAACCCATCCATGGCATACGTGTAGGAGTAGTGCAGGGCTGGGAGGATCACAGGTTTATAACTTTTGGTTAGGGGGGTTTGGATGGATAATTAAGGTCGCAATTCTAGCTAAGATAGGAGAATCCTTTGCTCCTAAAAGTCTATATGTATTGTAGTGGGAGGAAGGGGTAGTGAGGAAGAGGCTGCCTGCTGCAGTGGTTGGTATAGATAGCCTGAGAGAGCCTTCTAATTGGATGTCAGCAGAGGGTGGAGTGGAGATGAATACTTTTCTTCCTCAGGGTCCAAATAGAGTCAGTCTCAGTCTCTATATGAGGAGAAAGCCAGTGCTGGGGGCAGGGTGGGGAATCAGGCTTCCGGCTGTCCTGTCCCTGCCTGTGTATCCTTGGGCAAGATCTCTGGACCTCAGCTTCTTCAGCTGTATAGGCCTGGTGGGTACAGTGATATTAAGGTTTGCCCAGCTCTGAGCAATTGCCCATTCTCAGCACCAACCATCCAGGAAGAGAGGAGGCAGAGTATAAAGAAAGGGAGAAACCGTAGTGGGAGGCAGATGGAATCTGGAGTGAATCTGGGAGCTTGGTGTGGCAAGGGAAAACTTGCTGGGTTTTTGGGGTGCAGGGTGCTTACGTTCTGAACTTGATGCTGAACACCAGCTGGAGAGTTGAAGTTGGGGCTGGGAAGCAACAGAGAGAGAGATGGCAGTACGAAACGGGACTTTTCTTCTCCGTTTCCTTTCCTTCTTCACGGTACAAAAGTGGGTCCCACTAGAGTCTCATTCCTGGCATGCCAGAGCGAGTGGAGGTGACATAGAGGGAGAAAATGGCACTCAACTCAGAGTAGCAGCCATCTGAGGAAGAAGCATCTCTGACATTGGAGGAGGCAGGACAAGTAGATTGACTTAGGTGGGATCCAGCCCACCTAAGAAGCTTAATACATGTTGAATGGATAAATGAATGAGGAAGAAATCACCAGCAGAAGGCTTGACTGGGAAAGATCTCGAGCACTGTGTGTTGGCAGCTTCTCTTCGCTTTAATCAGTGCCTGTGGGGCTCTTTATGTGGCTGTTCTACCTGCTTCCCTCAGGGCCTTTCTCCCTCCCACCTGTGCCACATTAACTCTGTTTTGTATCTCTTTGCTCAGTGCTGATGGGCTGGTGACTCAGGAAGTAGAGTAAGGAGGCAGAGATGGGGGCAAGCCAGGAAAGAGACTATCAGGTGGAAAGATCTGGGCAAGGAACACTTTCTCAGGGAGGTCTTTGCTGGCTCACTGAAGTCCGGGAGAAAATTCCTTGGTTTATTCTTTAATAGCATCTAGCCCACTCTGTTGTAATTTCTTGTCTCTCAATTCCCCACGAGACAAAAAGAGTTGCAGATATTGCTTTTTATTAGCTACAGTGTCTCTACTGCTTACCACAATGTCTGGCATGTAGTTAGCTATGAATAAATATATATTGCTTTTAAGTGTGGGACAGACTGCTAGTCCAAACAGCTTTTGCTGACTAATAGGGGCTCCTACAGTTTCAGGAGCTTTAGATATCCATGAAGAAAAAGAATTATTCACCATCAACCACAAGTCTACTGAATACAGTTCTTTCTATTATAAGGAGACTTAAACTCACCACACTATGTAAAGTCATACAATAAAGACCACAGGGCCTATTGGAAAAATGAAGTTAGGGGCACAACACTCAAAAACTTCATCAGTGACACATTTGAAAAAAAGATGGGCTGGGCACAGTGTCTCACACCTGTAATCCCAGCACTTTGGGAGGCCAAGACAGGAAGATCACTTGAGCCCAGGAGTTGGAGACCAGTCCGTGCAACACAGTGAGAGCCCATCTCTACAAAAAAATTAAAAAAATTAGCCAGCCACAGTGGTGTGCACTGGTACTTCTACCTACTCGAGAGGCCGAGGCAGGAGGATCACTTGATCCCAGGAGTTCAAGGCTACAGTGAGCTATAATCATGCCATGCACTCCAGCCTGGGTGATAGAGTAAGACCCTGTCTCTAAAAAATAAATCCAATAAAATGAAATTGGGCAGAAAGTTGTAATACCAGATGTGAATGGGTGTGGCTCATAACGCAAGTGGTGAACTGAAGTAGCTGATCGATGTTTGAGGTGTGTGCATGTGTGCATGTTGAGCTTTCTTACTCAGCTCAGTTCAGCTGGGTTCAGTTTTCTGGGTTCACCTACTTTCTTGGAAGTGGAGTTACATGCAAGCAAACACGAAATTCACATTATTCTCAGTCCCCTAATACATATGTCAATTGTCTTTGAATAATTTGTATTTTAAAACTAGCATTATAGCAGAACTAGTTGAATCTCTTTTCTGCCTGGCCTTGTGTCATGTGGTGAGAATACAGTGGCAATAACAAGACCCTGCTGCTCTCAAGGAGTTCACAGTCTAATGGACACAGTGATCTAAACAGTTGTCGAAGGGTTGTTAAAGTAATTGCCTTAACTCAAGTCAATACCAGATACGATGGCAGCACAGAGAAAGAAGACTTTCACTCTTGCTGGGGGAGTCAGGGAAATGTCTGAATCATAGTAGTGGTTAAAAGTCTTGTGGGGTTTCCTGTGTACGTGCACTGCTCTAAGCCTTGACCTCACAACAGTCATTTGAGGTGGGCACAATTCTTTCTTCCATTTTACAAAAGAAACTAAGAGACAGACGTTAACTTGGGGAAGGTCATATAGCTAGTAAATAGCAGAGTTAGGATACTAACTCTGTCTGGCTCTAGCATACTTGCTGTTAGCCACTACCTCAAAAATTGTAGCTGAGGTTTAGAACATGAGTTTTTAGAATAGGTGGAGCAAAATGCACCCATTCCTGGGAGAAGGAGTTCAGGAGATTTTGGGATTGGCAGGTGATCCTAGGATTGCTGAATGGAGAGATGTACAAAGAGCTGTAATTATGTGGCAGTAAATGGTGAGCTGTCATCAGTTCAGGGAGGAGAGGAGTACTGAGCAGGTGGGAGCAGTCGGTTAAGAGCCATGAAGGAGAGGGTTAGGAAAAAGTGCTCTTGTCTTCAAGAGAACACTAATGGAACTTTTGACTGCCTTGGACACTTGCTCTTTGTGCAAAGATTGTTTGTAAGGTAAATTACAGAATCCATAAGCCCAAAAAGTCCAAATTTGAAGTCATTGGGTTCTTGGAAATCTACTGTGTTATGCATTTCCCATTCTCCAGTAATCCAAGATACACTGGGAGATATCATAGACTTCGTCTTTAGAAGGTTCCTTGGTTAGTCTCCCAAGCTCCAGTTCATACTTATAGAAGCTATCTAAGCACATCTTGGGAACCAACTGGCTGGTCTTTTCCTGTGACGTTGACCATTAGAGGAGGGGATCTGACACCTGTGATCTGGGGGCTATATACCAGAGCCTGCTCCCCAGAGCAGGGTGTCAGCTCTCTGTGAGGAGTTGGGTGGGGTAGGGAGAGGGGAGGCTTGTTGGATTTCTTAGTTGCTGTTAGACTGACAAGAAAAATAGGATAGGAGGGTTCTGTCTGGAGACTGACTCTGATTTTCTCACATTTTTGGCTAGTGCAGCTACCACCAACATCTATAGAATAGGGTTCTTAGATAACAGCTGGCTCCATGTGGGCCTGTTCTATTGTTTTCCGCTTAAAATGATCCATGAGCAAGAACACATATGAGTAGCTTATTACTTTACATGATAGATTACAGATCAGAAATCTTGGGTCCTCGCGGTGTTGTACAGCACTAAATCCTCTTCTGGAAACCTACTAAAGCAAACTCAATTGTCAAATCCCAATTCCTGGGTCAGTATGAGATCCTTTTGTGACTAATGGTAGCATAGTAGCCCAGGCCTCCTTCACTCAGTTTCAGGAGAGGTAGAGAGACCCTGTAAGATCAGGTTTGCCCTACCCTATGGAGATGTGGAAGGAGTCGTGGAACCACTATGCCCATTCTTCTAGTATTAGTTTTACTCCTCTACTTCATGCTTCCCAGCCCTTCCATGAGCAGGTCCTTAGTATTCCATAAAGCTCTGGAGCACTGGGCATCCCCAGTTCCTAGGAGGATAGTAGATGTGCTTGCATTGAGGTTGTAGATTTGAGAAGGGAATTGTTCTCCCTCTCCATCACAGTAGGATCTTCCAGAAGTCAGATTATGGTAGGGGTATGGAATAGATCACATCTAGTTTTTAATTAAACCTCTTTCGATCTTGTCTACTCTCCTTATCCATGTCTCCTTCCTCTGCAATAGGGTCATTCCTTCCAATCCCAGAATCTCTGGGACTGACACTAACTTTGACCATATATAGAAGTGACTCTATGCATGCGGAGGTCACAGTTGCCATCTTTGTTTCCGGGGCAACGCTATACCTGTAAAATTGGGTTAGGACCCTGATACTCTCTTAACTTAGCAAATCATTCTATTCCTTCAAGAGATGTTTTTGACTAAGCCTCTCTGACCAGTAGTGGCTGAGGAGAACATTGCTGGGATGGTCTTCCAATGACTTTTAAAAATAGAAGACAAGTAGTTCCCTGTAAGGGTTCTCTAGCATTTAGAAGAGGACTTTTGAAGTGACTCACCTTGTTGAGATTGGGTTGAGGTTATTGCTCAAGAAATTAATTCCCTGATGTTGTTCTCTGAGGTAATAGATAACACTTCTATCTTTTCCCATGATTATCTCCCTCCCTCTGAATTCACATAGCATGGGTGACTCTTACAACCACAAAAAGTACAAATGTCATTCTCAGAATTCAGCAATCATTGTTCAGAACTCACTACATATCAAGCAAAGTACTGCAGATGGGTAAACAGCCTCTCTCATCATTACATTTGTTATGTTGGTGTCCCCCTACTAAATTCACATGTTCCAGCCACAACCCCCAAGGGTATGGTATTTGCAGATGAGACCTTCAGGAGGTAATTAGGGTTAGATGAGGTCATGAGGGTTGGGCCCTCATGAATGGGATTAGTGTCTTTATAGGAAGGGGAAGAGAGAGAGATATACTCTGTGTCTCTCCTCCCACACTGTGTGAGGACACAGTGAGAAGACAGCACGCTGTAAACAGTAAGAGAGTCCTCACTAGGAACTTAATCTGTTGGCAGTTTGATCCTGGGCTTGCTGACCTTCAGAACTGTGAGGAAGAAATGTCTGTTGTTTAAGCCACCCAGTCTATGGTATTTTGTTATGGAAGCCTGAGCCAACTAAACATCCAAACAGCCACTAAGACCTATCTGCTTAAGAGCCCTGTATATGGCTCCTCTCTGTCTCCAGTATAATATGACCTATTTTGCACCTCACAACCTTATTGTGGAATATTGCAGCAACCTCATGACTGATCCTCTGGTCTATAATGTGCTTTTTTGTATTTTATTTTTTGTCATATTTTCGAGAAGTGACAAGTGGATACAAAAGTGTAAAGAATAAGAACATGCACATGTATCAACACACCCAGAACTGACGGTTATTAACGCTTTTTCCTACTTGCTTCCAATTCCTTTTTAATAAAGACAGTAACAATTACAGGTAAAAATGTATCTTTTTAATCCCCTGTAGTGCCTCATTCTCTCACCTTAGAAACAATAATTATCATGAATTTAGGGTGTACTCTTCTGATTCGGTTTTTAATGCTTTTGCTATAATAGTTGGTGCTTTTAAGTGTTTACATAAATTATTTACTACTGTATATAGCAAGTTAAGTTTTTGAGTTCTTTTTATGTGAATAAACAGATCTTTATTATCCCTTTGAATTGTTATGTAGTTCTGTAGCATATGATTATGCCAAATAGTTATCACTGATAGAGTGCAAATTGTTTCTGGTTATCTTGCTATGTATACTGCTATGGATATCTTTATAGATGTCTCCATTTTCACATATGTGAAAGCTTCTCTTGAGCATATAACTAGAACTGGAATGGCTAGGTCATAAGGCATGTACATTTTTATCTTTAGCAGGTATTGTCAAATTGCTCTGCAAAATAGTTGTTCCAATTTGTATTCCCACTAGCAATTTTATGAAAGATCCTGTTGTTTAAAATATCCTTGAAAACACTATATTATCAGACTCTTATGTTTTTGTGAATCTGATTTATCTTTATTTTTCTTTCTTTTTTTTGGTTCAGGTGCTCAGGTGAATTTAATTAATTAGAAGTATTATCTCGTTTTAACATATTTTTTCATATATTTGTTAGTCATTTAGGATTCCTCTCCCTTGTATTTATTTGTAGAAATTCTCTATGTATTCAAGATACTAACATTTTGTTTGATGTTGCAAATATCACCTTCCAGTTAGTTGCCTTTTAATTTTATGTATAGTTTCATTTGTCTTACAGAACATTTAAATTTTAGCTGAAAGCACATCAAGGACATGTGGTTTTTGTATATTATTTATTTTTTCTTACCCTGAGGTATAAAGACAGTATTATATATTTTCTTTTTATAGTGTATAGACCTTGACAACACTTAGTATTGCCTCCCAATTTATGATGTATTGAACACTTACTGTGAGTGAGGCACTGTGCCAGGCACTCTATGCATATCATTTCATTCAATATAATATCCCTATGAGGTAGACACTATTATTATTTCCATTTTACAGATGAAATAGCTGAGGCATAGGTGGCTTACTTCACTTCACAAAACTTCTAATGTGTCTTGATTTGAATTTAGGTCAGTGTGAGTTCTAAACAAGTTTTCTTAATGATTATGCAGTGTCAGGGTTATACGGGCTTCATAAAACTAAATCAGGTTGGTTTTCACTTTTCTCTCCTGGGTAATTTCATTTCTCCTCAGTCTGCATTTCCCCCTCCCTTCCCTAGACAATGCACCCTTCAGGGTTGAAGGAGCAGCCACATTGCTTTGCCTACAATCTGTCGGGAAATAAGATGGCGTTTCTCCTGACCTCTGAATTTATTTGAATATTCTTGCATCCACCCAAATAATTATCTTCTTTATCTTTTCCATTATAGCTTTTTGTCCATGATACAGCTAGGACTTTCTGCCTCCCCTTTGCAGTTGCTATTGTGAATTCTATGTCATACAAACCTCCCTGCCAAAGGTCTACAACTGTGATTTTCAGCTTCCCTAAAGAGTCAGTGAAAAGTTCTGTAATTTCCTGGCCAGCATCCTTTTTCTCCTCTTGCTTCTCTTGCATACTCAAAGCAATGTAAGACACTCTATAGATGTTGCTGTACTCCAAGTGTGTCACTGGCCAGGGCTGAGAATTTATTGCAAATGTCAGCTTTGTCCATTTTCACATTACTCAAGTCTGCAATGTGTCACTGCCACTTCCCTATTGGCCAACCACCTTTGTGTATGTGTTCCTAGCCCATCCTTCTTCATTTTTGTGTGGAGAAGGTAATATTATAGAGTTTTTTGGTAGTCTATGGAGCCTGAATATGGACTCCATAGACTGTTTAGTTCTGGCCAACATGTCATCACAGAGTTTTCTTCTTCAATTTGATGTTTGTTTCTTCTGCTTCACCTGTTGTCATGAAACCTCTCAGCTTTCTTCTTTCCTTGGGCCCTCACCACAACATCCTTGAAGAACTGCATTTACCTCATTTTGCAAATTTTGTTACATTTGACCATCACCGTGCTAAAATCATCCTACAGTCATATTCATACTATTCTTATTTTTTGCTTTTCATCTTATTAGGTTGTTTGCTTTTTTCCAAATCATTTAAATGTATTTAAAAATACTGTTTATTGTCCATGAAAATACAAATTTTGCAAGTATTTACTGCAACCAAAATATAAAGATATGTAAAGAAAATTTTATTATTCATTTATGTATTTATTATACTTTAAGTTTTAGGGTACATGTGCACATTGTGCAGGTTAGTTACATATGTATACATGTGCCATGCTGGTGCGCTGCACCCACCAACTCGTCATCTAGCATTAGGTATATCTCCCAATGCTATCCCTCCCCCCTCCTCCCACCCTACCACAGTCCCCAGAGTGTGATATTCCCCTTCCTGTGTCCATGTGATCTCATTGTTCAGTTCCCACCTATGAGTGAGAATATGCGGTGTTTGGTTTTTTGTTCTTGCAATAGTTTACTGAGAATGATGATTTCCAATTTCATCCATGTCCCTGCAAAGGACATGAACTCATCATTTTTTATGGCTGCATAGTATTCCATGGTGTATATGTGCCACATTTTCTTAATCCAGTCTATCATTGTTGGACATTTGGGTTGGTTCCAAGTCTTTGCTATTGTGAATAATGCCGCAATAAACATACGTGTGCATGTGTCTTTATAGCAGCATGATTTATAGTCCTTTGGGTATATACCCAGTAATGGGATGGCTGGGTCAAATGGTATTTCTAGTTCTAGATCCCTGAGGAATCACCACACTGACTTCCACAATGGTTGAACTAGTTTACAGTCCCACCAACAGTGTAAAAGTGTTCCTATTTCTCCACATCCTCTCCAGCACCTGTTGTTTCCTGACTTTTTAATGATTGCCATTCTAACTGGTGTGAGATGGTATCTCATTGTGGTTTTGATTTGCATTTCTCTGATGGCCAGGGATGATGAGCATTTTTTCATGTGTTTTTTGGCTGCATAAATGTCTTCTTTTGAGAAGTGTCTGTTCATGTCCTTCGCCCACTTTTTGATGGGGTTGTTTTTTTCTTGTAAATTTGTTTGAGTTCATTGTAGATTCTGGATATTTTAGCCCTTTGTCAGATGAGTAGGTTGTGAAAATTTTCTCCCATTTTGTAGGTTGCCTCTTCACTCTGATGGTAGTTTCTTTTGCTGTGCAGAAGCTCTTTAGTTTAATGAGATCCCATTTATCAATTTTGGCTTTTGTTGCTATTGCTTTTGGTGTTTTGGACATGAAGTCCTTGCCCATGCCTATGTCCTGAATGGTAATGCCTAGGTTTTCTTCTAGGGTTTTTATGGTTTTAGATCTAACGTTTAAGTCTTTAATCGATCTTGAATTGATTTTTGTATAAGGTGTAAGGAAGGGATCCAGTTTCAGCTTTCTACATATGGCTAGCCAGTTTTCCCAGCACCATTTATTAAATAGGGAATCCTTTCCCCATTGCTTGTTTTTCTCAGGTTTGTCAAAGATCAGATAGTTGTAGATATGCGTCGTTATTTCTGAGGGCTCTGTTCTGTTCCATCGATCTATATCTCTGTTTTGGTACCAGTACCATGCTGTTTTGGTTACCGTAGCCTTGTAGTATAGTTTGAAGTCAGGTAGTATGATGCCTCCAGCTTTGTTCTTTTGGCTTAGGATTGCCTTGGCGATGCGGGCTCTTTTTTGGTTCCATATGAACTTTAAAGTAGTTTTTTCCAATTCTGTGAAGAAAGTCATTGGTAGCTTGATGGGGATGGCATTGAATCTGTAAATTACCTTGGGCAGTATGGCCATTTTCACGATATTGATTCTTCCTACCCATGAGCATGGAATGTTCTTCCATTTGTTTGTACCCTCTTTTATTTCCTTGAGCAGTGGTTTGTAGTTCTCCTTGAAGAGGTCCTTCACATCCCTTGTAAGTTGGATTCCTAGGTATTTTATTCTCTTTGAAGCAATTGTGAATGGGAGTTCACTCATGATTTGGCTCTCTGTTTGTCTGTTGTTGGTGTATAAGAATGCTTGTGACTTTTGTACATTGATTTTGTATCCTGAGACTTTGCTGAAGTTGCCAATCAGCTTAAGGAGATTTTGGGCTGAGACAATGGGGTTTTCCAGATATACAATCATGTCATCTGCAAACAGGGACAATTTGACTTCCTCTTTTCCGAATTGAATACCCTTTATTTCCTTCTCCTGCCTAATTGCCCTGGCCAGAACTTCCAACACTATGTTGAATAGGAGTGGTGAGAGAGGGCATCCCTGTCTTGTGCCAGTTTTCAAAGGGAATGCTTCCAGTTTTTGCCCATTCAGTATGATATTGGCTGTGGGTTTGTCATAGATAGCTCTTATTATTTTGAAATACGTCCCATCAATACCTAATTTATTGAGAGTTTTTAGCATGAAGGGTTGTTGAATTTTGTCAAAGGCTTTTTCTGCATCTATTGAGATAATCATGTGGTTTTTGTCTTTGGCTCTGTTTATATGCTGGATTCCATTTATTGATTTGCGTATATTGAACCAGCCTTGCATCCCAGGGATGAAGCCCACTTGATCATGGTGGATAAGCTTTTTGATGTGCTGCTGGATTCATTTTGCCAGAATTTTATTGAGGATTTTTGCATCAATGTTCATCAAGGATATTGGTCTAAAATTCTCTTTTTTGGTTGTGTCTCTGCCCGGCTTTGGTATCAGAATGATGCTGGCCTCATAAAATGAGTTAGGGAGGATTCCCTCTTTTTCTGTTGATTGGAATAGTTTCAGAAGGAATGGTACCAGTTCCTCCTTGTACCTCTGGTAGAATTCGGCTGTGAATCCATCTGGTCCTGGACTCTTTTTGGTTGGTAAACTGTTGATTATTGCCAGAATTTCAGCTCCTGTTATTGGTCTATTCAGAGATTCAACTTCTTCCTGGTTTAGTCTTGGGAGAGTGTATGTGTTGAGGAATTTATCCATTTCTTCTAGATTTTCTAGTTTATTTGCGTAGAGGTGTTTGTAGTATTCTCTGATGGTAGTTTGTATTTCTGTGGGATCGGTGGTGATATCCCCTTTATCATTTTTTCTTGCGTCTATTTGATTCTTCTCTCTTTTTTTCTTTATTAGTCTTGCTAGCGGTCTATCAATTTTGTTGATCCTTTCAAAAAACCAGCTCCTGGATTCATTAATTTTTTGAAGGGTTTTTTGTGTCTCTATTTCCTTCAGTTCTGCTCTGATTTTAGTTATTTCTTGCCTTCTGCTAGCTTTTGAATGTGTTTGCTCTTGCTTCTCTAGTTCTTTTAATTGTGATGTTAGGGTGTCAATTTTGGATCTTTCCTGCTTTCTGTTGTGGGCATTTAGTGCTATAAATTTCCCTCTACACACTGCTTTGAATGCGTCCCAGAGATTCTGGTATGTTGTGTCTTTGTTCTCATTGGTTTCAAAGAACATCTTTATTTCTGCCTTCATTTTGTTATGTATCCAGTAGTCATTCAGGAGCAGATTGTTCAGTTTCCATGTAGTTGAGTGGTTTTGAGTGAGATTCTTAATCCTGAGTTCTAGTTTGATTGCACTGTGGTCTGAGAGATAGTTTGTTATAATCTCTGTTCTTTTACATTTGCTGAGGAGAGCTTTACTTCCAAGTATGTGGTCAATTTTGGAATAGGTGTGGTGTGGTGCTGAAAAAAATGTATATTCTGTTGATTTGGGGTGGAGAGTTCTGTAGATGTCTATTAGGTCCGCTTGGTGCAGAGCTGAGTTCAATTCCTGGGTATCCTTGTTGACTTTCTGTCTCGTTGATCTGTCTAATGTTGACAGTGGGGTGTTAAAGTCTCCCATTATTAATGTGTGGGAGTCTAAGTCTCTTTGTAGGTCACTCAGGACTTGCTTTATGAATCTGGGTGCTCCTGTATTGGGTGCATATATATTTAGGATAGTTAGCTCTTCTTGTTGAATTGATCCCTTTACCATTATGTAATGGCCTTCTTTGTCTCTTTTGATCTTTGTTGGTTTAAAGTCTGTTTTATCAGAGACTAGGATTGCAACCCCTGCCTTTTTTTGTTTTCCATTTGCTTGGTAGATCTTCCTCCATCCCTTTATTTTGAGCCTATGTGTGTCTCTGCATGTGAGATTGGTTTCCTGAATACAGCACACTGATGGGTCTTGACTCTTTATCCAATTTGTCAGTCTGTGTCTTTTAATTGGAGCATTTAGTCCATTTACATTTAAAGTTAATATTGTTATGTGTGAATTTGATCCTGTCATTATGATGTTAGCTGGTTATTTTGCTCGTTAGTTGATGCAGTTTCTTCCTAGTCTCGATGGTCTTTATATTTTGGCATGATTTTGCAGCGGCTGGTACCGGTTGTTCCTTTCCATGTTTAGTGCTTCCTTCAGGAGCTCTTGTAGGGCAGGCCTGGTGGTGACAAAATCTCTCAGCATTTGCTTGTCTGTAAAGTATTTTATTTCTCCTTCACTTATGAAGCTTAGTTTGGCTGGATATGAAATTCTGGGTTGAAAATTCTTTTCTTTAAGAATGTTGAATATTGGCCCCCACTCTCTTCTGGCTTGTACAGTTTCTGCCAAGAGATCCGCTGTTAGTCTGATGGGCTTCCCTTTGATGGTAACCCGACCTTTCTCTCTGGCTGCCCTTAACATTTTTTCCTTCATTTCAACTTTGGTGAATCTGACAATTGTGTGTCTTGGAGTTCCTCTTCTCGAGGAGTATCTCTGTGGCATTCTCTGTATTTCCTGAATCTGAATGTTGGCCTGCCTTGCTAGACTGGGGAAGTTCTCCTGGATAATATCCTGCAGAGTGTTTTCCAACTTGGTTCCATTCTCCCCGTCACTTTCAGGTCCACCAATCAGACGTAGATTTGGTCTTTTCACATAGTCCCATATTTCTTGGAGGCTTTGCTCATTTCTTTTTATTCTTTTTTCTCTAAACTTCCCTTCACGCTTCATTTCATTCATTTCATCTTCCATTGCTCATACCCTTTCTTCCAGTTGATCGCATCGGCTCCTGAGGCTTCTGCATTCTTCATGTAGTTCTCGAGCCTTGGTTTTCAGCTCCATCAGCTCCTTTAAGCACTTCTCTGTATTGGTTATTCTAGTTATACATTCTTCTAAATTTTTTTCAAAGTTTTCAACTTCTTTGCCTTTGGTTTGAATGTCCTCCCGTAGCTCAGAGTAATTTGATCGTCTGAAGCCTTCTTCTCTCAGCTCGTCAAAGTCATTCTCCATCCAGCTTTGTTCCGTTGCTGGTGAGGAACTGCGTTCCTTTGGAGGAGGAGAGGCGCTCTGCGTTTTAGAGTTTCCAGTTTTTCTGTTCTGTTTTTTCCCCATCTTTGTGGTTTTATCTACTTTTGGTCTTTGATGATGGTGATGTACAGATGGGTTTTTGGTGTGGATGTCCTTTCTGTTTGTTAGTTTTCCTTCTAACAGACAGGACCCTCAGCTGCAGGTCTGTTGGAATACCCTGCCGTGTGAGGTGTCAGTGTGCCTCTGCTGGGGGGTGCCTCCCAGTTACGCTGCTCGGGGGTCAGGGGTCAGGGACCCACTTGAGGAGGCAGTCTGCCCGTTCTCAGATCTCCAGCTGCGTGCTGGGAGAACCACTGCTCTCTTCAAAGCTGTCAGACAGGGACATTGAAGTCTGCAGAGGTTACTGCTGTCTTTTTGTTTGTCTGTGCCCTGCCCCCAGAGGTGGAGCCTACAGAGGCAGGCAGGCCTCCTTGAGCTGTGGTGGGCTCTACCCAGTTGGAGCTTCCTGGCTGCTTTGTTTACCTCAGCAAGCCTGGGCAATGGCGGGCGCCCCTCCCCCAGCCTCGCTGCCGCCTTGCAGTTTGATCTCAGACTGCTGTGCTAGCAATCAGCGAGACTCCGTGGGCGTAGGACCCTCCGAGCCAGGTGCGGGATATAATCTCGTGGTGCGCAGTTTTTTAAGGCGGTCTGAAAAGCGCAATATTCGGGTGGGAGTGACCGGATTTTCTAGGTGCATCCGTCACCCCTTTCTTTGACTCAGAAAGGGAACTCCCTGACCCCTTGCGCTTCCCAAGTGAGGCAATGCCTCGCCCTGCTTCGGCTCGCGCACGGTGCGTGCACCCACTGACCCGCACCCACTGTCTTGCACTCCCTAGTGAGATGAACCCGGTACCTCAGATGGAAATGCAGAAATCACCCATCTTCTCCGTCGCTCACGCTGGGAGCTGTAGACCGGAGCTGTTTCTATTCGGCCATCTTGGCTCCTCAAGAAAATTTTAATAATCTTTTCATCCTGTCCTCTCTCCAGCCTCTCCTCTACTACCAAGGTACCTTTTATTAACATCTTCTTATGCATCTTTTCACACATTTCCCCATACTCATATGTACTTATACAAACATAAATATTTTTAGTTTTTAGTTTTTTTATTTTTATAATTTTGGAATCAAATAATATATATATTTTCCATAATTTCCTTTTAGTCATTCAATAAATAATGAGCACCTACTTTATACTGAGTACTATACTTAAATATTTAACAATAACATATTGCATACATTCTTTAGGTCAATAGATACAGCTGTTCTTTTTAAATACAGTTATGTGTTGTTTAGTGATGTGGATATGTTCTAAGAAATACATCATTAGGTGATTTAGTTGTTTTGCGAACATCATAGAGTGTACTTACACCAACCTAGGTGGTGTAGCCTACTATGCATCTAGGCTGTAGGGTATAGCCTATTGCTCCAAAGGTACACACCTGTATAGCACGTTACTGTACTAAATATAGCAGGGAGTGGTAACACAATGGTAAGTCTCTAAACATAGAAAAGGTAAAGCAAAAATATGACACTATAATCTTATGGGACCGTTACTGTATACGTAATCTGTCTTTGATTGAAATGTCATTATGTAGTGCACGACTGTAGCCAATTTCACATACACATACATTTTTCATTATAGGTTACTGTATATTCGCTTGTAGTTGTAAGAAACAATACAGAGAGATTTCAGGTAATATTTGTCTAATTTCCCCCAATAATAATACCTTGCAAAACTATAGTACAGTGTCCACAACCAGTAGAGTGACATTGGTAAAATCAAGATACAGACTAGCTGCAGCACTGCAAAGATCCCTCCTTTTGCCCTTTTATAGGCATATCTACCTCATTCCTTCCTTCCTACACCTCCAGTGATAACCCCTAGAAACCACTACTCTTTTTTTTCCATTTCTATAATTTTGTCATTTCAAGAATGTTATATAAATGAAATCCTACAGTATGTAACCCTTTGGAATTTTTTTGACTCAGTATATAAATAGTTCATTCATTTTACTACTAAGTGGTTTTTTTTTTTTTTTTGAGATGGAGTTTTCACTCTTGTTGCCCATGCTGGAGTGCAGTGGCACGATCTCAGCTTACTGCAACCTCTGCCTCCCAGGTTCAAGCGAGTCTCCTGCCTCAGCCTCCCAAGTAGCTGGGATTACATGCATGTGCCACCACACCTGGCTAATTTTGTAGTTTTAGTAGAGATGGGGTTTCACCATATTGGCCAGGCTGGTCTTGAACTCTTGACTTAGGTGATCCACCCACCTTGGCCTCCCAAAGTCCTGGGATTACAGGTGTGAGCCACCGTGCCTGGCCAAGTGGTATTTTATTGTATAAATGTGCCTCAGTTTGTTTAACTGTTCATCTGTTGAAGGATATCTAGCATGTTTCCAGTTTTTGGCTAATAGTAATAAAGCTTCAGTGAACTGTTGTATATGAGTTTTCTTTGGAAACATAATTTTTATTTTTCTGAGATAAATGCCCAAGGGTACAATTGCTGGGTCATATATAGTGGCATATTTAGATGTTTAGTTTTATAAGAAACTGCCTGCTATAGACTGAATGTTTATGTCACCCCAAGTTTATATGTTAAAACCTAATTCCCAATGTGATGGTATTTGACAATGGGCCTTTGGGAGGTGGTTATGTCATGAAAGCAGAACTCTAATGAATGGGATTAGTGCCCTTGTAAAAGAAACCCCAGAGAGCTCCCTTATCCCTTCTGCCATATGATGAAACAGTGAGAAGACAGCTAGCTATGAACCAGGAAGCTGCTTATTAGACACTAAATCTGCTGCTGGCTTCATCTTGGATTTCCCAGCCTTCAGAAGTGTGAGAAATAAATGGTAAAGTCACCCAGTCTATGATATTTTTGTTAACAGCAGTCTGAGCTAAGATACCCAAACTATTTTATGAGTGGGTATACCATTTACATTCCTACTAACAATTTCCCATCTGTATGCCTTTTATTTCTTTTTCTTATCTTATGGAAGTGGCCAGAAATTCCAGTATGATGTTGAACAAGATTGATGAATGGATATCTTTGTCATGTTCCTGACCTTACAGAAACAGCATTCCATTTTCACCATTAGTACGATGTTAGCTGCAGGTTTTTTTGTTAATGCTCTTTATCAAGTTATGGTAGTTCTCTGTTCTACATTGCTAAGAGTTTTAGTTATGAATGGATATTGGGTTTTGGCAAAAGGTTTTCCTGCTTCAATGGATATGATTTTATGATTTTTCTTCTTGAGCTTATTCATATGGTAAATTACACTGATTGATTGTTGAATGTTGAACCAACTTTACAAACCTGGAAAAAAATCTCACTTGGTTGTGGCATATAATTTTTAAAAATACATTGTTGGATTTAATTTGCTAATGTTTTGAGGGTTGTTTTCTGTATGATCTTCATCTGATTTTGGTTTGGGGCAATATTGGCTGCTTGAGAAGTGTTTCCTAGTCTTCTATTTTCTGGAAAGAATCATGTAATAATTGGTGTTAATTCTTTAAAGTTCAGTAGAATTCTTCAATGAAACCATCTGGGCCTGGAGAGTTCTTTTTTATTAATTAAAGATTCCATTCTAAAAATAGTTATGAGGCTATTCTCAGATTATCTATTTTGTCTTGAGTTTAAAGAAAATTTGTGGGTTTTGATAAATTGGTCTATTTTTTCTAAACAGTCAAATTTGTGAGCATAAAGTTGTTCATATTTTTTCCTTATTTTTTGTGGTGATACTAGAATCTATAGTGAGATTCCCCCGTTTTATTCCTCATATTGATGATTTGTATCTTCTCTTTGTCAGTCTTGCTAGATGGCTTATTAATTTTCATGATGTGTTGAAGAGCCAGCTTTTAATTTTATTGATTTTTTTATTTTTCCATTTTTCAATTTCTTTAATTTCTGCTCGTAACTTTATTACTTTCTTGTTTTTGTTTGCTTTGGGCTTATTTTTCTCTTTCTCCCCTAGTTTCTTGGGATAGGAACTTTGATTATTGATTTGAGACCTTTTCTTTTTTCTAATGTAGGCACGTAGTGCTAAAAATTCCTTTCAGCATTTCTTTAGCCATATCCCACCCATTTTTATATTTTATATTTTCATTTCCATTCAGTTCTGTTTTTTAAAAAAATTATTTTATGACTTTTTTGACCCATACTTTATTTAGAAGTCTATTATTTAATTTCTAATTATTTAGAGACTTTCTTGTTCTCCCTCTGTTATTGATTTCCAGTTTGATTCCAGTATTGTCAGGAACACAGTCTATGTAATTTCACTTTTTGGTAGTTCTATATCCTTACTGATATTCTGTCTTGTAGTTCTGTTTTTTTTTAATTTTCTTTTATTATACTTTAAGTTCTAGAGTACATGTGCACAACTTGCAGGTTTGCTACATATGTATACATGTGCCATGTTGGTGTGCTGCACCCATTAACTCGTCATTTACATTAGGTATATCTCCTAATGCTATCCCTCCCCCTTCCCCCCAACCCCACAACAGGCCCTGGTGTGTGATGTTCCCCTTCCTGTGTCCAGGTGTTCTCATTGTTCAGTTCCCACCTATGAGTGAGAACATGTGGTGTTTGGTTTTTTGTCCTTGCGATAGTTTGCTGAGAATGATGGTTTCCAACTTCATCCATGTCCCTACAAAGGACATGAACTCATCATTTTTTATGGCTGCATGGTATTCCATGGTGTATATGTGCCACATTTGCTTAATCCAGTCTATCATTGTTGGACATTTGGGTTGGTTCCAAGTCTTTGCTATTGTGAATAGTGCCGCAATAAACATACATGTGCATGTGTTTTTATAGCAGCATGATTTATAATCCTTTGGGTATATACCCAGTAATGGGATTGCTGGGTCAAATGGTATTTCTAGTTCTAGATCCCTGAGGAATCGCCACACTGACTTCCACAATGGTGGAACTAGTTTACAGTCCCACCAACAGTGTAAAAGTGTTCCTATTTCTCCACATCCTCTCCAGCACCTGTTGTTTCCTGACTTTTTAATGATTGCCATTCTGACTGGTGTGAGATGTTATCTCATTGTGGTTTTGATTTGCAGTTCTCTGATGGCCAGTGATGATGAACATTTTTTCATGTGTCTGTTGGCTGCATAAAAGTCTTCTTTTGAGAAGTGTCTGTTCATATCCTTTGCCCACTTTTTGATGGGGTTTTTTTTTTTTTTTCTTGTAAATTTGTTTGAGTTCTTTGTAGATTCCGGATATTAGCCCTTTGTCAGACGAGTAGGTTGCAAAAATTTTCTCCCATTCTGTAGGTTGCCTGTTCACTCTGATGGTAGTTTCTTTTGCTGTGCAGAAACTCTTTAGTTTAATGAGATCCCATTTGTCCATTTTGGCTTTTGTTGCCATTGCTTTTGGTGTTTTAGACATGAAGTCCTTGCCCATGCCTATGTCCTGAATGATATTGTCTAGGTTTTCTTCTAGGGTTTTTATGGTTTTAGGTCTAACATTTAAGTCTTTAATCCATCTTGAATTAATTTTTGTATAAGGTGTAAGGAAGGGATCCAGTTTCAGCTTTCTATATATGGCTAGCCAGTTTTCCCAGCATCATTTGTTAAACAGGGACTCCTTTCCCCATTTCTTGTTTTTCTCAGGTTTGTCAAAGATCAGGTAGTTGTAGATGTGTGGTATTATTTCTGAGGGTTCTGTTCTGTTCCATTGGTCTATTTCTCTGTTTTGGTACCAGTACCATGCTGTTTTGGTTACTGTAGCCTTATAGTATAGTTTGAAGTCAGGTAGCATGATGCCTCCAGCTTTGTTCTTTTGGCTTAGGATTGACTTGGCAATGCGGGCTCTTTTTTGGTTCCATATGAACTTTAAAGTAGTTCTTGTGCCATGGTTTTCAGCTCCATCAGGTCCTTTAAGGACTTCTCTGCATTGATTATTCTAGTTAGCCATTCATCTAGTCTTTTTTCAAGGTTTTTAACTTCTTTGCAATGGGTTTGAACTTCCTCCTTTAGCCTGGAGAAGTCTGATCATCTGAAGCCTTCTTCTCTCAGCTCATCAAAGTCATTCTCCGTCCAGCTTTGTTCCATTGCTGGTGAGGAGCTGCGTTCCTTTGGAGGAGGAGAGGTGTTCTGATTTTTAGAATTTTGTTTTTCTGTTCTGTTTCTTCCCCATCTTTGTGGTTTTATCTACCTTTGGTCTTTGATGATGGTGACATACAGATGGCGTTTTGGTGTGGATATCCTTTCTGTTTGTTAGTTTAACAGTCAGGACCCTCAGCTGCAGGTCTGTTGGAGTTTGCTGGAGGTCCACTCCAGACCCTGTTTGCCTGGGTATCAGCAGCAGAGGCTGCAGAACAGTGAATATTGCTGAACAGCAAATGTTGCTGTCTGATCGTTTCTCTGGAGGTTTCGTCTCAGAGGGGTACCCGGCTGTGTGAGGTGTCAGTCTTCCCCTACTCGGGGGGTGCCTCCCATATAGGCTACTCAGGGGTCAGGGACCCACTTAAGGAGGCAGTCTGTCCGTTCTCAGATCTCAAACTCCGTGCTGGGAGAACCACTACTCTCTTCAAAGCTGTCAGACAGGGACATTTAAGTCTGCAGAGGTTTCTGCTGCCTTTTGTTTGTCTATGCCCTGCCCCCAGAGGTGGAGTCTACAGAGGCAGGCAGGCCTCCTTGAGCTGTGGTGGGCTCCACCCAGTTCGAGCTTCCTGGCAGCTTTGTTTACCTACTCAAGCCTCAGCAATGGCGGGCGCCCCTCCCCCAGCCTCGCTGCCACCTTGCAGTTTGATCTCAGACTGCTGTGCTAGCAATAAGCAAGGCTCCATGGGTGTGGGACCCTCTGAGCCAGGCGCAGGATATGATCTCCTGGTGTGCCGTTTGCTAAGACCATTGGAGAAGCACAATATTAGGGTGGGAGTGACCCGATTTTCCAGGTGCCGTCTGTCACAGCTTTGCTTGGCTATGAATGGGAATTCCCTGACCCCTTGTGCTTCCCAGGTGAGGCGATGCCTCGCTCTGCTTCAGCTCGCGTTTGATGTGCTGCACCCACTGTCCGACAAGCCCCAGTGAGATGAACCCAGTACCTCAGTTGGAAATGCAGAAATCACCTGTCTTCTGCGTCGCTCACGCTGGGAGCTGTAGACTGGAACTGTTCCTATTTGGCCATCTTGGAACCCTGTAGTTCTGTTATGAGTTGCTGAGATAGAACTTCAACTGCAAGGTGGCTTTTGAGTTCCCAAATTTTAATTGTGGATTTGTCTATTTCTCCCTTCATTTATTTCAGTTTTTGCTTCTGAAAATGTTTTGAGACTCTGTTGTTTGAAGCCTACATACTTGAGATTGTATCTTCATGGTGAATTGATTACTTTATCATTTTGTAATGTGTGACTTTATCACCAGTAATTTTCTTTGCCCTGTAGTCCACTTTTTCTGAAATATTAGCATTCTTGCTTTCTTTTTGGATAAATAGTTGCATGATACATTTTTTGCAAACTTGTATTTTCAGTCTACCTATGTCATTGAATTTGAAGTTAATTCTTGTAAACATCATATAGTTGGATCATATTTTATTTTTCCACTTTGCCAATCTGTTTTTTAATTGGTGTATTTAGACCATTACAGTTATGGCAATTATTAATATGTTATGGTTTTCCTGCCATTTTATTGTTTTCTCTTTGTTTCTTCTGTGTCTTATTCCTCTGTTTCTGTTTTCTTCCATTTCTGTGGGTTACTTGAATATTTTTAGGATTTCCTGTTGATTTATTTATAGCACCAGTCCCCACCCTTTTTTTGGCACCAGGGACCAGTTTTGTGGACAACAATTTTTCCACAGACAGGGGAAGGGCGGATGGTTTCAGGATGAAACTGTTTCACCTTAGATCATCAGGCATTAGATTATCATAAAGAGCACGCAACCTAGGTCCCTCACATGCTCAGTTCTCAATAGGGTTCAGGCTCCTATGAGACTGTAATGTGTGGCAGATCTGACAGGAGGCAGAGCTCAGGTGGTAATGCTCGCTTGCCTGCCGCCCAACTCCTTCTGTGTGGCCTGGTTCCTAACAGGCTACAGGACCCCTGATTTATAGTGTTTTTCAGTGTATTGCTTTGTATAATTTTCTTAGTGATTGCTTTGTGTATTAAAATACACATATGTGACTCATGATAGTCTGCTAGTATCGATATTTCACCACTTTTGTGGAAACTTTACTTTTATTTAAGTTCCTTTACTCTTTCCACTTTTAAATATCATTGTCTTTACTATCAGATGGTTTATAATTTGTTTTAATTATTGCATATATTATAAAGAACTGATGAGAAGAATTTACTCATATTTCTGCTCTTTCCATTGCTGTTTATTCTTTACTAATAGCCCCAAAAGTCCTTTGGACAATTGCAGACACCTATGTAACTTACACTCACCTCAGAATGTAGAATATTTTCATCAAAGAAATGTCCTCTGGTTCTTCCCACCCCAGAGACAATTGCTATTCTTATTTCTACACTGTGGACTAGGTTTTATCTGTTGTAGAACCTCATATAAATGCAATCCTACAGCATGTAGACTTTTGTATCTGGATTCTTTCACTTGACATAAAGATCTTGAGTTTAGTCTGTATTGTTGCATGTTTTAGTAGTTTGCTCATTTTAATTGCTGAATAATATTTCATGGTATGAATATATCACAATTGGTTTGTCCATTCTCCTGTCGGTGGACATTTCTTTTTTTTTTCTCAACTTTTGGTTATCATAAATAAAGCCACTATAACATTTGTGTACAAGACTTCTTGTGTGTTTTTTTTTTTAGTAAATATCTAACACTGGTATTCTACCCCCTCTTCCCCATTGTTGGATTCCTAGCTATTTCATTGCTCCAAAAGTTACAAGATGATTTGGGAAGAATTATTCTCCTCTCAACAATGTTGGAGTACTTTAATTAAATGCTCATAGAAGGTAAATTTACTTTTTTCTTCAGTTTTCTATTATGGTGAAATTTACATATCATAAAATTTACCATGTTGACCATTTTTTAATTGTATAGTTCAGTGAGATTAAGTACATCTATATTGTGCAACCATCACCACAATCCATTTCCAGAGCTCTTTTCATCTTATAAAACTAAAACTCTATACCTACTAAGCAATGACTCCCCATTCCCTTTCCCCTAAGCCCCTGGCAGCCACCATTCTACTTTCCATCTCAGTGATTTTCACTACTGTAAGTAGCTCATGTAAGTGGAATTGTATGATTCCACTTGTCTTTTTGTGACTGGTTAATTTCACTTAGTACAATGTCTTCAAGGCTCATCCCTATTGTTGCATATGTCAGAATTTCTGTCCCTTTTAAAGCTGAATAATATTCCATTGCAGGTATATATAATATTTTGCTTACCTATTCATCTGTCGATGGACACAGTTCCCTCTGTGTTTTAGCAATTATGAAAAATGCTGCTGTGAACATGGTTGTACAATTATCTTTTCAGGACTTGGCTTTCAATTCTTTTGAATATATGCCTAGAAGTAGAATTGCTATATCATATGATAATTGTATTTTTAAGTTTTTGAGGAACCACTATTCTGCTTTCCACAGTGATTGTATCATTTTACATTCCCCCCAACAGTGCACTGGGCTCCGATGTCTGCAAATCCTGGCAAAAACTTACTTTCTGTTTTTACATTTAAATTTCAGATTTTTTATGGTAGCCATCCTAATGGGTGTTAGGTGCGCATTGTGATTTTTGATTTGCATTTCCCTGATAATTAGTGACATTGAGCATCTTTTTACGTGCTTATAAATTTTGCTTTGAATGATGCACACATTTTAGTCAATCTTCATTTATTCTGTTCTTTTTTTCTTGAACTTATCTTCAGTGATTGACCCTGTAGGGTTGCTTCAAAATTACTCCTCCAAAATTATAGTTTCTGAGGAATTAATGAGTGTTTTCATACTGAGTCAGAACACTTTGACATGTTCACTTGAGGACTTTTGTCTTTTCTGCTTATCAACTACTTAGTCTTTCTAAGCCTCCATTTTCTCATCTGCAAAATGGATACATAATAATGGTGCCTTTTCTCATTGGGTTGTTCTGATAATTAAATAAGATAATTTATGTTAAAAACTTAACATAGTGACAGGGATATAGTAATCGATCAACAAATGTTAGCTGTTATTATGTTATTTTATTGTTGAGATTTCTGTCATTGCTCTATGCTGTGTCTTCTAATACTTTATGCACTTTCTGTCTGGAGCTACTAATTATCCCTAGAGTTAGTGTTCCCTGTTGGCACTAGGGGAAGTGTTTTTGTATCTCCTTTTGCTCATTGACCCCAGGCTCAATGATCCCAGGGGTGACTCCGACACCTGCCTCCAGAAGAAGGAAGCGTGTAGCTTCTCAGTGTGCAGATATAAGGGTCCTGTACAGGGCAGGAACAGTGACATCTCCTCATGCCACCAGCTTTCTCTTTTCTTTTCATTCTTCTTTCCTCAGAATAAGCAAAGTGAGTTTTTTTTCAGCTCTTCCCTACCATTTTCTCAATCCTTCAGCTGATATTGTGATACAGTAGGTGAGTTTAAGAGCATTGGTGGTGGCAGAGGGAGGGATTGGCAGGTGTGTGTGTGTGTGTGAGTGAGAGAGAGAGAGAGAGAGTGTGTGTTTGTGTATTTAGGGGTATCTGTAAAGGACAAAGGCTGCAGTTGTGAAGAAAGAAATGGGTATGTGGGAGAAAGATAAGGGGTCAGTGAGACAAAGGATGAGAGAGGGATTGCAGCATGACAGCATAGAGTGGGGAGTGTGGGCATTGGGAGATACATCAGTGGGTTTAGGCGGTAAACACTGATGAGAGATAGGAATAGGAACGCAGAGAGGGGCAAGGAAAAGCACCAGGAGCACATGAGAAAGAGAAAACTTCCTGTTTAAGGGTTTCAGGGCAGTTTTTAGAGCCATCAGAATCAGACTATACCAGGGAAGGGTATATTAGTGGGTGCTATTCATGAAAATGGCTTGGGTTTTGATCAACACCTTGTTTTGGGGAAATAAGCAAAGCTACTGGAGAAAGATTAATTCACTAATTCCATGGCTTATTTTTTTCAAATATTTCCTAAGAACCTACAATGTGTCAGGCTCTGTACTTAGTGCTATGAGCTCCTCAGTCCCAAAGTCTTAAGGAAACTTTCTTTTGGTAATCTTGGTGTCAGTTGTGTCTAAACTTGAAAAATCCTCTTTTTTCTGTTTTTTGTTTTTGTTTTTTTTTTCAGTTTTTTGTTTTGTTTTGTTTTTTTTGTCCTGCATCTTGTAGAACAGATATAGACATTGGGAAGGAAGAGGTGGTGCTTTGGGGCTGGGGTTCTCCACATTTTTGCTACTACATCACAAGAACATAGAAGATATTTACACATGATACATCACCATATGCTTACTCAAGCTTGGCAAAATACCCAAAATGTTTATAGATAGTAAAACAAATGGATAGGTGGGAATTTTTCTCAAGATGTTTATTCATTACAAAAGTAAATCATGCTGGTTGCCAGAGGCTTGAGATTCAGGGGTGATTAGAGAGATGTTGGTCAAATGAAAAAACAATACAATTAGGAGGAATACGTTTAAAAAATCTATTGAACATCATGCTGACTATAGTTAATAACAATATATTATATACTTGAAAATTGCTGAGAGTAGATTTTAAATGTTTTAACAACAAAAAATAAATATGTGAGGTAATAAGCATGAATTGGCTTGATTTAGCCATTCCACAATGTATACATTTATCAAAACATCATGTTGTACAACATAAATGTATACCATTTTTATTCGTCAGCTAAAAAATAAGTAATTAAAAAACCATGAGTTACTGTTAAGGGTTGTCTGAATTAAGGGAATTTTAGTGCCTCTGCATCATGGATAGCACTGGCTTTAGATTATGAAAACATCTTCTTACATGCTAGCTTTAAGTGCACATGGGCAAGAGTGAGCTTATTAAAGGTATACATCTGAATTTTCCCCAATATATTAGAAGGGTAAATAATTTATAAATTTTGAGACCTTATATGTTATTAGAAACAAATTTCTTATGACACTTATTATAACAAAGCCTGCAATATATTGTGCTGCAAACAGAGACCAGTCTTACAAGCAGAGGACAGTGGGGTAGTGAGGTTTGCAGCTGTTTTATCCATTAGGGACATGGCTTTAGTGTACAGAGACTGTGCATTTTGAAGAACCTAAGACTTGTGAAAAATACTTGACATCTAAAATGCACATAACAAGGAAAATGGCAAAGTGAAATTAATACTTGTATAAATAAATATCTAGATAATACAACTCGGCAAAAAGGTAACTCAACTCCTGTATAGTTACCTAAAAATTATATCACATGTGGTTTGTGAACACATTTGAATACATTGTTATGATGGAAGGAGAGTCTTCTGAATTGAGATTGCATAAAGACATAAAAGACCTTTATATAACCCCCTAAAGAGGAAACAGTTATTACCAAAAAATAGAGCTGGTTAGGAAGTCTGGTCAGGAGCTGCAGAGAAGTGGGCTCCATTTCGCCTTTAAAGTGTGGACCAAATCTTCTCTATAATTCCCACTTCCAAATCTCCTCAGTTCTGCAGTTGAAGCTGACTCCCATTGTTCTGTGATGTTCCTGAGGCTTCTGTAAATGATGGAGATAATTTCTCTTTGTGTTGAGACAGGTGGATGTTTTTCAGAGCATTTACAGGAAGACTGCCAGGTAGTCCTCACCCAAGCTAAGTCCATCAGTAGTGGATATGCCTGGTGCACCACCCAAAGCCCTTGGGTCTGGTTTTTGAGACACCAGGTTTATCTGAGAGATCTGGTCTCAGGCTATTTTCCTTTCATTGGGCACTTCCTTCATTCCTTTTCCTCCTCTTTCTTCCTGAGAAAGGAGTTTCCTTTGGTCATATTTGGATGAAGAATAAGACTTTAATGTTGCTAAATATTCATTAAGGTGTTTTGCCTACTGGAAAAAATACAAGAGAATGATGGCCAAACAGAGGTAATAATGATGATGATGATGATGATATAAACAAGAATAGTAACCTACTTTTCTGAGCACTCAATACAAACTTATTTAATCCCCACAATTACCACATGAAGTTTTTTTTGGTATCCACATCCTTTTTTTTTTTTTTTTTTTTTTTTTTATATCAGGGATTCTTTTTTTTTTTTTATTTTTTTTAATTTTTTTTTTAATTTTTTTTTTTATTATACTCTAAGTTTTAGGGTACATGTGCACATTGTGCAGGTTAGTTACATATGTATACATGTGCCATGCTGGTGCGCTGCACCCACTAACGTGTCATCTAGCATTAGGTATATCTCCCAATGCTATCCCTCCCCCCTCCCCAGGTATCCACATCTTACAAATAAAAAAACTGAGGCATGCAGAAGTAAAGTGACTTGCCCAAGATCTAGTTAGTTAGGGAAGAACTGGGAAATGAATGCAGAAAGTCTGGCTCCGGAACTTAATATCTACACCTTCTTTGTTGTGTTCTTTCCCAGCTAGCTTGGCTCCTGCTCCATCTCTACTATTCTGGCTCTTTTTTTTCTCGCTCAGCTGGATGTTCTCTTGGGAGCTCTGGGAGGTACTTCTGGGAGACGTTGGATATTCCTCTTTTTGCCTGTGAGTTTCCTTTCTTCTCACCCTTAACTCTTTCCTAAATGAGGCTCGAACGCTCCAAAGGTGCTTGACAGAGGAGCAGCAGGGCTTTGATGGAGCTCTAAGACGCCACTGGATAAAATGAAAGTCCTTCTTTCCATGGGCAGTAACCTCCTTTCCAGGACCTCATTAACAGCCATCTAGGCCTCATTGCCCCTCTCTCCACCCTGCCTTTGGTACTCACTGTTGGAGTGATAAAACATCACAGAGTCATAAGCAGAGAGCAGACTTGTTTTGATGAGGACGTATATCAGGTGTCTTACTGTTTTATTGAGAAGGAGTATGTTAATAACTGGAGGGGTTGGGAAAGTTGTGAGAAAATAAATGTCCAATAAATTTCCTCCTAAGGAAAATGAATTTGTTTTTTTTGCTGGGGCTTTTGCTTGTATAAATTTGAGTTCAATACTTTAAAATAGAGCCAGAGCAGTGCTACTAATGACTTCTTCTCTGTGCTCATTCCAGCAAAGCTCAGCCTCTCTTCTAAGTAGAAGTTGAACATACATATATACACACGCACATATATATATACATATATGTGTACATATAATATGTATTTTATATATATACATATATGTATATATATATATTTTAAAGAGACAGAGTCTTGCTCCATCACCTAGGCTGGAGTGCAGTGGTGCCATCATAGCTCATTCACTGCAGCCCCAAACTCCTGGGCTCAAGAGATCCTCCTGCCTCCGCCTCCAAGTAGCTGGGACTACAGGTGCGTGCCACCATTCCCGGCTAATTTTTAAATTGTTTTGTAGCGACAGGGTCTTGTTATGTTACCTAGGCAGGTCTTGAATACCTGGCCTCAAGCGATCCTCCCATCTTGGCCTCCCAAACTTCTGGGATTATAGGCATGAGACACTGTGCCTGGCCCAAATATTTAAAATATACTGACTTGAATGCTGTCAGATTATTAGCCTGCCTGCGGCCTTTACTTGTCTGGATCTGGCTCTATTCCCTTCCTTGTACCCATCTGGAGTCCCATTGCTCCCTCCCCACAGCCCACTGTGCTCTGAGAAAGTTCATTTGCATAGAGGCAGAGGGATGGACTAATAAACTGAGGATTTGATTCCTTTGCATCTCTTCTTTGGGGCCCTCTGAATACCATTATCAGAAGATCAGTCTAGTGTTTATTTGGTACCTTTATAGTTCTGATTCTCTCTTTACTGTCTCTGTGGTCCCTTTTCTTCATGTTCCCTTCTAGATTCTTAATCATACACTCTTTCCCTAGTCCTAATAGCTGACAGATAGTTCAGAACTTCAGAATGAAACAAATATTACCTGAGTGGCAGGCAAGCCAAGAAGGGCTCTATACTTAATCCTTCTTGGCAGCAGGGAAACATGGTTCCTTCTGAGCGTTGGGGAACAGTGGGGTGGGAAGAAGGGCAGTATTAGTGGAGTCAGCAGAGTTTACAGGTGGGCAATAGATTGATTTCTTTTGCTCAGAATCGTTTTCCTGGGGGGCTTCTACAGATAAGGAAGCCCAGACATAACCAAGAGGCTCCTGTATAGAAATATTTGAGGAGGAGCATGAGAAGTCCATGAGGAGCTGGTGATGAAAATTGCCTGTCTCAGTTTCATTGGCTGCCCCATTGCTCACTGCATTAGGGAAGATATGAATCTGGATCAGAGTGGAGAAATGTACCCCTCTAGGCTTCCTCTGGATTCCCACTTGATACTCTACTCCCTTGCACAAGGGGCCAGAGGTGCAAGTGTCCTGTGAAATGTTCAAGGCAATAGCCAGATAAACTTAATAGGATTAAATATAACCCAGTTAAAATATAGTTTAGTTAATAGTTTTTTAGGAAGGAGATATATTGCTATGAACACAGACCATTACAAAGTGGTATGTCTTGAGGACTTATTTTAAGGTTAAAATTTTGTTAAACAGAAGTAGAAGGGGAGGGAAATTAAAGGTAAATGCAGAACAAAATCTTGGGGAAAGGGACAAGTACAACACAGGTAGGTGGAAAATGCTGCTTGTGTGGAAATAGTAGAATGAGGTCAGAAAGGGAGAGTGAGGCCAAACTCTGGGGGCAGGGTGGTTGCAGGAAGGTGCTGCCACTTCTGTTCATACTTGAAGCATTATTGCCACAGAAGCTCTATCTGCAAAGGAAGCACTATGGGCCAGAAGCCATTCCTATACCAAGTGAACATTCTCTGGGAGTACTTGCTGCTGGAGAGTCCAGCAATTTAGAAATCCATGCTGTCTTTTATGATATTTATACATATTCGGGAGTGCTTTCTGTTTCTATCACTTTCAGTAGACTCATCAGCTTCTAAGTCATTATAGAGAGGACCATAAAGTGCATCATGAGTCACACCAATGTTACCATCTTCCATCCTGCAGTTTTTGTCCTTCCTGGCATCCCTGGGTTGGAGGCTTATCACATTTGGCTGTCAATACCTCTTTGCCTCATTTACATCACTGCAGTCCTGGGAAACAGCATCCTGATAGTGGTTATTGTCATGGAACGTAACCTTCATGTGCCCATGTATTTCTTCCTCTCAATGCTGGCCGTCATGGACATCCTGCTGTCTACCACCACTGTGCCCAAGGCCCTAGCCATCTTTTGGCTTCAAGCACATAACATTGCTTTTGATGCCTGTGTCACCCAAGGCTTCTTTGTCCATATGATGTTTGTGGGGGAGTCAGCTATCCTGTTAGCCATGGCCTTTGATCGCTTTGTGGCCATTTGTGCCCCACTGAGATATACAACAGTGCTAACATGGCCTGTTGTGGGGAGGATTGCTCTGGCCGTCATCACCCGAAGCTTCTGCATCATCTTCCCAGTCATATTCTTGCTGAAGCGGCTGCCCTTCTGCCTAACCAACATTGTTCCTCACTCCTACTGTGAGCATATTGGAGTGGCTCGTTTAGCCTGTGCTGACATCACTGTTAACATTTGGTATGGCTTCTCAGTGCCCATTGTCATGGTCATCTTGGATGTTATCCTCATCGCTGTGTCTTACTCACTGATCCTCCGAGCAGTGTTTCGTTTGCCCTCCCAGGATGCTCGGCACAAGGCCCTCAGCACTTGTGGCTCCCACCTCTGTGTCATCCTTATGTTTTATGTTCCATCCTTCTTTACCTTATTGACCCATCATTTTGGGCGTAATATTCCTCAACATGTCCATATCTTGCTGGCCAATCTTTATGTGGCAGTGCCACCAATGCTGAACCCCATTGTCTATGGTGTGAAGACTAAGCAGATACGTGAGGGTGTAGCCCACCGGTTCTTTGACATCAAGACTTGGTGCTGTACCTCCCCTCTGGGCTCATGAATCTTCATGTCCAGCTCCTTCAAGGAAGCTAGATGTGAAATACAGAGATTTCCTGGACTGAGAAGGCTTTTCTTCCTCTTCTTTCTATTTCATCTTCCGCCCCCAACTTTTCTTTCTTTTCTCATAATTCTTCCTCCTTCTCTTGTTTGTTTTCTCTAACCTCTTTACATATTCCTCCCTACAACCCAGAAATAATAACTAAGTGTACATGCCTCTGATATGAGGCTTTGGTACCCTCAGTAGACTAGATAGACGCCAGAAGCGCAGGGATCTGAACACCACATGAAATGAGGTTATAAAGAAGTGGATAAAAATAATTTTATATTTACCATTTTAAGGGGTTTTAATTTTTTAAAAAAATCCCAAATGTGCATTGATTCTTTGTACAGAATCAAGTGGCCTGCCACCCACTACCACAATGGCAGGTGAGTTTGAGGAACAGCCATGCATGACCTTTGGTCATCTGGAAAAACTTCCTTTCCTTCAAATTTTAGTTCAAGAAAAGTTGAGTCTTTTCTAATTTCTCCAGGCAAGCCAAGGGTCCTATGTTTGCATGTCTAGTGTATCTTGTACAAATCTCCAAATGTGCATAATAAATTGTAATGTAATGAGTTGTTCATTTATTTGTACCCTCAATTGACTGCAAACTCCTTGAAATCAGAAGAGTGTATATTATTCATATTTGTATCCCCAATGCATTACAAAATGCCTGACACATACTACATTTTTGAAAAATGAATGGGAGCGCAATTATCTCCTTGAGATCAGAACAGGCATCTCTATGGTACACTGAAATGACCAGCTAAATTATTTCACAAAACCAGTGATTAGTAAATCAGCTCCTCATGAAGGCAGTTTGGCATAATTGAGCCAAATCAACTGCTGATTTGCAGTACTTCTCTCTGCTGTAACTCAGGGACCAGCGAAAAGACAAAGTAGGAGGAAACAGGGTACTCTTGATTCTCTCTTATATCTAGTTTTTGACCAGACCCAGAATTAGGAATTATAGTACATTGTTCATGGCCAGGTTGGCAAAATTGGAGTACTCTCTTGGGATTCACAGTCTCAACTCTTATTCTTTTATGCTTTTCCAGAAAAGGTCATGTACACTCATTTCTTTAGCCACCACCAACACTAATGAGTCCCATATCCCTGTCTCTAGTCTAAAGCTCTCTTTTGAGTGTTAGACACATAAATCCACCTATTAACTGGTTATTCTTCCTAGGATGTAGAACTCCCACTCCACTTTTCTTCCTACATTTCATTTCTTGGGAACTAGATTATGATGATCCCATCAACTTCACTGAGCTGGAAACCCTATAGTCTTTTTCAACTTTCTCCTCTTAGGGCTGATACTCAAAAAGTTATTGGTTGATATTTATATTGATTGTACCACTAAATAAGTATATGGATAGTATTTGGACTCATATCAGGACTCAAGTCTTGTCATCATCATTTTCTAGCTATGCGAACTTGCACAGTTTGTTTAACATTTTTGGTTCTCAATTTTTAAATCTATAAAATGGGTACTTTATAGGTTACCTTCACAGGGTTATTTAGAAGATTAAATGAAATAAACCTTATGACTATACTTAACATAATCTTTAGCTCATAGTTTCTGAGAAATATTTTGTTAATACTTACTAGTATTGTTAGTCTTTTCAACACTGCCTATACAAATTACTTATGACTTTTCTCATCTTTCACTTCAGATATTGCATTACTTTCTTAGCTGAGATCAATGTTTTCAATCTTTTACGCATTAGCCTAAACTATGAAATGACTCTACATTAAATTTTCTAAAAGACAGAGCTTATCAAGGCACTTTCTGTCAAATACTTTGGAGGGTTTTTCATTAATTACAGAGAGTTTTCCACAGAATATTCTGTAGCAGTAGATATCAGATATAAATAAATGTTTTATTAAAAAGTTTCATGGTCAGATAATTGTGGAAAATGCTGATATTCTGTGAGTCATGCACATGGCTGTCCAAGAGAAAGTTAGAGTCAGCAGTGTTCCCCACACTTCTGTGACCGTAGATATCTATATCAATGTCCACATAATTTTGGCATAATTTTGATAAGCATATAAATTTACATCTGTAAAATAAACTAGTGTTCCATTAGACATAGTTTGGAAATCACAGGACTACATAGTAAGTTCTAAGCTAAGCATTAATTTAATAATCTTGTCCTAACTTATTTTCCATCTCTATCACAAAACATACTACATAATAACACAAAATATTAACATGATAATATTAATGATAACAATATTACAATAACAGCTGTTTATTTTATTTAAAAAAAATTAAATCACCTTAAGCATTTATATTTTGACAAACGATCCAATTATACTCTTTTATTTATTTACTTTTTGAGACAGAGTCTTGCTCTGTCACTGAGGCTGGAGTGCAGTGTTGTGATCTCGGCTCACTGCAACCTTTACCTCCCAGGTTAAGCAATTCTCATGCCTCAGCCTCCCAGGTAGCTGGGACTACAGGCACCCATCACCATGTCTGGCTAAGTTTTTGTATTTTTAATAGAGATGGGTTTCACCATGTTGCCCAGGGTGGTCTTGAACTCCTGAGCTCAGGCAATCTACCCGCCTTGGCCTCCCAAAGTGCTAGGATTACAGGCGTGAGCCACTGAGACTGGCCCAATTATACTTTTAGTTATTTTAAAATGTGCAATTAAATTATTACTGACTATAGTCACCCTGTTTTGCTAGCAGATACTAGGTCTTATTCATTCATTCTATTTTTTTTTTTTTGTACCCGTTAACTATCCCCACTATCCTTCCCAGCCTCTGGTAACCATCCTTCTCTCTATCTCCATGAGTTCAATTGTTTTAATTTTTAGCTCCCACATGAGAACATGCTAAGTTTGTCCTTCTGTGGTGGGCTTATTTCACTTAACATAATGAACTCCAGTTTCATCCATGCTATTGCAAATGACAGGATCTCATTTTTTTTATGGCTTACTAGTACTCCATTGTGTATATGTACCACATTTCCTTTATCCATTCACCTGTTGATGGACACTTAGGTTGCTTCCAAATCTTGGCTATTGTGAATAGGGCTGCAGATATGGGAGTGCAGATATCTCTTTGATATACTGATTTTCTTTCTTTTGGGTATATATAGGAGTGGGATTGCTGGATCATATAGTAGCTCTATTTTCAGTTTTTTGAGGAATCTCCAAACTGTTCTCCATAGTGGTTGTACTAATTTACGTCCCTGCCAACAGTGTATGAGGGTTCTGTTTTCTCCACATTGTCTCCAGCATTTGATATTGCCTGTCTTGGATAAAAGCCATTTTAACTGGGGTGAAATGTTATCTCATTGTAGTTTTGATTTGCATTTCTCTGATGATCAATAATGTTGAGCACCTTTTCATATACTTGTTTGCCATTGGTATGTTTTCTTTTGAGAAATGTCTATTCAGATATTTTGCCCATTTTTTGGTCACATTATTAGATTTTTTAATGTAGTTGTTTGAGCTTCTTATATGTTTTAGTTACTAATCCCTCATCAGATACATAGTTTGCAAATATTTTCTCTTATTCTTTGGGTTGTCTCTTCACTTTGTTGTTTTCTTTGCTGTGCAGAAGCTTTTTAACTTGAGGTGATCTCATTCGTCCATTTTTGCTTTGGTTGCTTGGGCTTTTGGAATAAAACTCAAGAAATCTTTGCCTACTCTCATATCCTGGAAAGTTTTCCCATTGTTTGCTTTTAGTAGTTTTATAGTTTGAGGTCTTAGATTTAAGTCTTTAATCCATTTTGATTTGAATTTTGTTTATGGCAAGAGATAGGGGTCTAGTTTCATTCTTCTGTGTATGGATATCCAGTTTTCCCAGCACTATTTTCTATTGAAGAGAATGTCCTTTCCCCAGTGTATGTTTTTGGCACCTTTGTTGAACGTGAGTTCACTGTAGATGTATGCATTTGTTTCTGGGTTCTTTATTCTGTTCCATTGCTCCAAGTATCTGTTTTTATGCCAGTGCCATGCTGTTTTGGTTACTACAGCTCTGTAGTATAATTTAAAGTCAGGTAATATGATTCCTCCAGTTTTGTTCTCTTTGCTCAGTACAGCTTTGGCTATTCTGGATCTTTTGTGGTTTCATAGAAATTTTTTTTTCTATTTCTGTGAAGAATGTCATTGGTATTTTGATAGAGATTGCATTGAATCAGTAGATTGTTTTGGGTAGTATGAACATTTTAACAATAGTGATTCTTCCAATCCATGAACATGGAATATCCTTCCATTTTTTGGGTTGCCCTCTTCAATTTCTGTCATCAATGTTTTATAGTTTTCATTGTAGAGCTCCTCTAATTCTTTGGTTAATTCCTAGGTATTGTATTTTATCTGTAGCTATTATAAATGACATTGCTTTCCTGATTTTTCCTTGAGATTGTTTACTGGAGGCATATAGAAATGCTACTGATTATTGTATGTCAATATTGTATCCTGCACCTTTACTGAATTGTTTATCAGTTTGAATAATTTTTCTGTGGAATCTTTAGGTTTTTCCAAATATAAAATCATATCATATATCTGCAAACAAGGATAATTTGGCTTCTTTTTTTTCCAATGTAGATGCCCTTCATTTTTTTCTCTTATATGGTTACTCTTGCTAGGATTCCCAGTATTACGTTGAATAACACTAGAGAAAGTGGGTATTCTTGTCATGTTACAGATCTTAGAAGAAAGGCTTTTAGTTTTTCCCCATTCAGTATAATATTAGCTGTAAGTCCATTGTATACGGCATGAGCTATGTTCCTTTTATCCCCAGTTTTTTGAGGGTTTTTATCATGAAGAGATGTTGAATTTTATCAAATACTTTTTTTTTAGCATCAATTGAAATGATTATGTTGCTTTTGTCCTTCATTCTGTTGATATAACGTATCACATCGATGGATTTGCATATGTTGAACCAATCCGGCATCCCTGGGATAAATCCCACTTGGTCTTGATGAATGATCTTTTCAACGTGCTGTTGAATTCAGTGTGCTGGTATTTTGTTGAGGATTTTTGCATCAGTATTCATCAGTGATATTGACCTATAGTTTTCTTTTTGATATGTCTTTGGTTTTGGTACAAGGGTAATACTGGCTTCATAGAATGAGTTTGGAAGTATTCCCTCTTCCTCTATTTTTCAGAATAATTTGAGTAGGATTGGTATTGTTTTTTCTTTAAATGTTTGCTAGGATTCAACAGTGAAGCCATCAGGTCCCAAGATTTTTTTTTTTTTAAATTCTGGAAGACTTTTACTATGGCTTCAATTTTGTTACTTGTTATTGGCCTGTTCATGTTTTGAATCGCTTAATGGTTCAATCTTGGCAGGTTGTATATGTTTAGGAATTTATTCATTTCTTCTAGATTTTCTAATTTATTGGCATGTAGTTGCTTATAGTAGCCACTAATGATCCTTTGAATTTCTGCAGTATCAGTTTTTATAATATGTCCTTTTTCATATCTGATTTTATTTATTTGGACCTTCTCTCTTTTATCTTATTTAGTCTGGCTAAAGGTTTGTCAATTTTGTTTGTGTTTTCAAAAAACAAACTTTTTGTTTCATTGATCTTTTGTATTTTCTTCATTTCAAATTCATATAGTTCTGCTCTGATCTTTATTATTTCTTTTCTTCTGCTAATTTGGGGTTTGGCTTGCTCTTGCCTTTCTAATTCTTTAAGATGCATCATTAAGTTGTTTATTTGAAGTCTTTCTTCTTTTTTGATGTAGACACTTTTAGCTATAAACTTCTCTGTTAGTACTTTAGTACTGCTTTTGCCGTATGACATAGGTTTTGGTAAGTTGTATTTCCACTATCATTTGTTTCAAGAAAATTTTTATTTTCCTTCTTAATCTCTTCATTGATCCACTGGTTGTTCAAGAATATACTGTTTAATATCTTTGTGCCTTTATACTTTCCAAAATTCCTTGTGTTAATGATTTCTAGCTTTATTCCATTTTTGTCAGAGGAGATGCTTGTTTCATTTGTTTAATGTTTTAATACTTGTTCCATGATCTAACTTTTGGCCTATCCTTGAGAATGATCTATGTGCTGAGGAGAAGAATGTGTATTCTACAGCCATTAGATTAAATGTTCTGTAAATATGTATTAGGTCATATTTGGTCTATAGTGCAGATTAAGTCCAATATTTCTTTGTTGATTTTCTGTCTGGATAATGCTGAAAGTGGGGTGTTGAAGTCTCTAGCTATTATTATATTGGGACCTATCTCTCTCTTTAGCTCTACTAATGTTTACTTTATATATCTGGGTGCTCCAGTGTAAGATGCATATATATTTTAAATTGTTATATTCGCTTTCTGAACTGACCTTTTTAATCATTATATAATGATCTTTGTCTCATAGTTTTAGCCTTGAAATCTATTTTGTCTGATATAAATCTTTTCCCATCCCATTATTTTCAGTCTCTGTGTCTTTATAGGTGAAGTGTGTTTTTTGTAGGCAACAGATTATTGTTGATTCTTTTTTGAATCAGTTCAGCCATTTTGTGTCTTCTTATTGGAGAGTTTAGTCAATTTACATTCATTGTTATTATTGATAAGTAAGAACTTACTCTTGCAATTTTGTTATTTTTTTTTCTGGTTGTTTTGTGGTCTTCTCGTCCTTCTTTCTTTCCTGTCTTCCTTTTAGTGAAGGTGATTTTCTGTAGTGGTATGCTTTAATGTATTGCTTTTTATTTTTTGTGTATTTATTGTATGTTTTTTGATTTGAAGTTACCATGAAGCTTGTAAATACTATCTTCTAACCCATTATTTTAAACTGATGACAAGGCGGGGGGTGGTGGCTCATGCCTGTAATCCCAGCTCTTTGGGAGGCTGAGGTGGGCAGATCACCTGAGGTCAGTAATTTGAGACCAGCCTGGCCAACGTAGTGAAACCCCATCTCTACTAAAAAATACAAAAATTAGCCAGGCATGGTGGTGTGCGCTTGTAATCCCAGCTACTCGGGAGGCTGAGGCAGGAGAATTGCTTGAATCCAGGAAGTGGAGGTTGCAGTGAGCCAAGATCGCACCATTACACTCCAGCCTGAGCAACAGAGCAAGACTCTGTCTCAAAAATAAATAAATAAATAAACAAATAAATAAATAAAAACAAACTGATGACAGCTTAATACTGACTGCACAAACATGCAAAAAGTAAACTAACAAAAACTCTTCACTTTAACTTTGCCTACTTTTTAAATTTTTGTTGTTTCTCTTTATGTCTTATTGTACTATGTCTTAAAAAGTTGTTATAATTATTATAGTTATTATTTTTCATAATTTAGTTTTTCTACTTAAGTCAAGAGAAGATTATACACTACAATTACAGTGCTATACTTGTGAAAGAAAAAATATCTTGGGTCCCCAAAGTCACCAAGCTAAAGGGAACAGTCAAGCTGGGAATTGCTTAGAACCAACCTGCCTCCCATTCTATTCAAAGTTACCCCTCTGCTTACTGAGATAAATGCATATCTAATTACCTGCTTTGGAGGGGCTAATCAGAAACTCAGAAGAATGCAACCATTTGTCTCTTTTCTATCTATGACCTGGAAGCCCCCTCCCTGTTTGAGTCATCCTATCTTTCCAGACTGAACCAGTGTTCACCTTACATGTGTTGATTGATGTCTCATATCTCCCTAAAATGTATAAAACCAAATTGTGCTTTGACCACCTTGGGCATATGTCATCAGAACCTCCTGAGGCTGTGTCCTCAACCTTGGCAAAATAAACTTTCAAAATTAACTGATACCTGTCTCAGATTTTTGGGGTTCACGTACTGTCATGTGTTTTTTTCTGTTTACTATTGCCAGTGAGTTTCATAACTTCAGATGACTTCTTCTTGCTCATTAACATTGTTTTCTTTCAGATTAAAAACTCCCTTTAGCCTTTCTTGTAGGATATGTCTGGTGATGATGAAATCCCCCAGCTTTTGTTTGCCTGGGGGACTTAATGCTTAGCGGATATTTTCACCAGATATACTATTCTAGGTTAAAAGTTTTTTTTTTTCTTTCAGCACCTTAATATGTCATGCTGTCAGAGGCATGTGAATCAGAACAACTCCATCTTGACTAGGAGCTGGGTAAAATGAAGCTGAAACCTACTGGGCTGCATTCCCGGACAGTTAAGGCATTCTAAGTCACAGGATGAGATAGGAGGTGGCACAAGATACAGGTCATAAAGACTTTGATGATAAAACAGGTTGCAGTAAAGGAGCCGGCCAAAACCCACCAAAATCAAAATGGCGACGAGAGTGACCTTGGTTGTTCTCACTGCTACACTCTCACCAGCACCAGGACAGTTTACAAATGCCATGGCAATGTCAGGAAGTTACCCTATATGGTCTAAAAAGGGGAGGGATGAATAATCCACCCCCGCCTTTTTTTTTTTTTTTTTTAGCATATCATCAAGAAATAACCATACAAATGGGCAACCAGCAGCCCTCAGGGCTGCTCTGTTTATGGAGTAACCATTCTTTTATTTCTTTACTTTCTTAATAAACTTGCTTTCACTTTGCATTGCAGACTCACCCTGAATTCTTTCTTGTGTGAGATCTAAGAACCCTCTCTTGGGGTCTATATCGGGACCCCTGTCCTGTAATATATTTCTGGTGACTACAAAGGGACTATAATGCAGAAATCCTGACCCAACGGCTACCTTTGGGTAAAGCTTGGAGTCCCGTAACATCTTTCGGGCGACCACAGAAGCGACTACATTGTGGAAACCCCTGACCCAAAGGCTAACTTTGGGTAAGTGGTGGGGTCCAGTAACATCTTTCTCACCAACCACAAAAGGGACAATACTGAGGAGACCCCCCTGCCCCCCTACCCCCCACCCCCGCCCACTGAACCAAAGGAAACAGACTGCAGCACTGATTGGATGAGTTTGGGCAAGTTGTGGAGTACCCTGGTGAAGAATGGGTTTGTGTCAGAGGCCCTACTTAGGGGAGTTAGAGTCTCTCCTAAGACAGAGTAGGTTAGAGACCCCTCTTAATAAAAGGCAAGGATGCTTGACCGACCTTGGATTAGAGGCCCAACTTAGGAGGGTTAGAGTCCCTTCTAAGATTTAGGGCATTACAGGCCCCTCTCGGTAAAGACCCTCTCGGCTAAAAACAGGTTTGGCACTATGGAATGTTAACTTCTATTCTCTTTGGGCTAATCTACCTTGCACTCATTGCTGATGGCTGTGGGTTACAGGGCTGGGCATGTACAGGATCATGGGACATAGGGAGCTTTTTCCTCCCTAAGAGGGGAAACTTGAGCGCTGATGGCACTGCTGGAAAAGATCCCTTTGCTACTACTGACAAGCGGCTGCCTGAACTTTTCACTGTTGCTGCAATGAGTGGGTCTTTTCTCTGGCCTCCCTAAGCTCTTTACTCTCCTTACCCTGCCACAGGCAATACTTTCCATCTCTACTTTTCCTTTCCTATCTTTTCTGTTACTCAGCGCAACCATCTTGCCCAGAGACCACGTGTGGAAACTCCAAGTTAGAGGTTGGATTAACGATGACAGGGCCCATTTGGGGGCAAATTTAAGCCTTGCTCGTTCTATTGGGTGCTAAACAGAGTGGCTAATGTTTATGTTTTATCACATGTATTTTGCTCTGGCCAGAACAAAAAAAAAATAATTTTCCTTTATGATGTGGCTTGGCCCCTAGGGCAATGGGGCTGCAAGCCAGAAAACTAGGGCCACTCAGGGAAAGGGAAGCCAGAAGCCTGGCATGCCGGCAAAAGGGTTAGAATTTCTTAGCAGTCAGATTTCTGGCTTCTTTCTCTCTGTGCAAACAGTTGAATGAATGGAAAAAAAATCAACGTTTATCTCCTCTGTAAAGTTTTTATTAATATGAAAAAGAATTCTAAGGCTAGTCTTAAGCTGGTGTATTTTGTGCAATGAATCCATTTTTCTGTGTTGAGGGGTACTTTAGCATAAAGCATGGGCTTAGAACACCTGTAAACCCACTTTTCAAGACGACCCAGCAAAAACAAACAAAAAAATGGGATGAAGTCTCCACCTTGCTTAATGTCCTTAGGAGCTTGACCTTTTAACCATGTGATGTACTTTCTCTTGGTCTCCACCTTCCAGGGAACAGGAATTTTAGAGTTCATGTCATAGTTACCTCTAAAAAATATATTAAACAGTTAAAAGACTATGCAATCTCAAAATGAACTACTCTAGACTCCTTCTGGGAAAAGGAATGGAGACTGCCCTGTGCTGTGTAGCTCAGTAGCTAAGGTTTTACACTTTCACAGTGGTGGTCTGGGTTGGATTCCCCATATAGGAAGTAAGTTATTTCTGGTTTATTATCTGTGTGACCTTGTCTATTCTCTTCTTCTCCACAGACTGTCTTAAATTTCCCTTTCTCTAAGCATCTGGGAGGTTACCTTTGATAAAGTTCAAAAGCCAGAAATATGGGCCGTTTGGCATAAGAAATTCTAAAAGGACTTTATTAAAAACTGCTATGGTTAAACTCAGTTTAATTTAAAGCAGATATTCAAGCTCTAACAGCCTGGACTACTTGGGAAAAACAGGAGGCACCAGAGACCCCTTTCCTGGCCCTGTTCTTCTAAGGGCTCAACCCTAAAGCCAGTAATTCAATTAAGAAACTTCAAAACTGGCTGGGCGCTGTGGCTCTTGCCTGTAATCCCAGCACTTTGGGAGGCCAAGGTGGGTGGATCTCCTGGGGTCAGGCATTCCATACCAGCCTGGCCAACATGGTGAAACCCCGTCTCTACTAAAAATACAAAAAATAGCCAGGTGTGGTGGCACACACCTGTAATCCCAGCTACTTGGGAGGCTGAGGCAGGAGAATCACTTTAATTCTGGAGACGGAGGTTGCAGTGAGCCGAGATCACGCCACTGCATTCCTGCCTGGGAGACAAGGTAAGTGAGACTCCATCTCAAAAAGAAAAAAAAGAAACTTAAAAACTGGCAAATGAAAAATCTTACACCTACTGTAGTAATCTTCTTTTGTTGGGTGTTGTTTTAAATTTTGTTGTTGTTGTTCTTTTTCACTGCTCCAGTCAAAGGAGAGACTTGGGTGTTTTGACCTAAGCCATATCTGCACTAGTAGGCACCCCAAGCCTAGTAACACTGGTGTTTTGCATACTTATAGAAGCACCACCTTGTCAGTCTTAAATAATAACCAGAAGAATTATTTGTATTATTAGGCAGAGACTCTTGTTCTCTTCCCTTATTTACTGCCTAGCTACCACCTGTGTTTGCTCAAGGCCTTAGGGGTCTATGATCAGCATGCAATGAAGCCAGCCAGTCTTGTGTCCTTCCCTTCAGGGCGATAAGTTTTCCCAGGGCCTGAACAGGTCCAGAGATGCTGTCTAAGGACCAGGGACTGCAGTAAAAAACCTTGTAAATTTGCCTGGTGCTCTATTCTTTGCAGCTATGCTGGCACTCAAATCACGAGATACCAGGGAAGGAAAGGGAAGATCCCACTCTTTCCTTTCCCAGGCAGAATAGCTTCTTCCCATGGCCACCACCCCATGGCCCATGGGGAGTACTGCCAAACTACTACTGATGTTTACCTAAGGCTCAGGGCTCTTCAGTCAGCTATGGTGAATGCTGCCAGACCTGGGACTCACCCTTCAGGGTAGTGGGCTCCCCTCTTGCCTAGGGCAGGTCCAGAAATGCTATCTAAGAGCTAAGACCTAGAACTGGGAACGCTGAGTCCACTTGATGCTCTACCTCACTGGGGTTGAGCTGGTACCTAAGATGCATGACAAAGTCCCCTTTACTTTTCCCTCTGCTTTTCTCAAGCAGAAGGAATCTCTCACTATAGCCACCACAGCTAGAAATGTGCTGGGTCTCACCTGAAGCCAGCACGTCTCAGAGTCTCACCTAAAGCCCACGACTACTACTGTGGTACTACCTGTGTAGTGTTGCTGATTATTCAGGGACCAAAAGCTCCTTAGTCAGCAGCTGATGAATCCTGCCAGAACTTAGTCCTTCTTCTCAGGATGGTGGGTTCCCCTCTGGCCCAGGGTGTGTCTAGAAATGTCATCTGGGAGCTAGGACCTGGAATGAGGGCCTCATGACTCTGCCTGGTGTCCTATCCAACTGTGGCTAAGCTGATATCCAAGTTGCAAGACAAAGTCCTCTTTACACTTCCCTCTCCTCAAGCAGAAGGGAGTCACTTTCATTTGTGTGAGCTGTGCTGCCTGGGGTTGGGGGAGGGGTGGTAAAAACATTCCCTTAGTCACCTCAGCTGGTGTCTCACTAGATTTCATGCCTCCCACGTCCACTAGCTCTGAGCCCACCACAGCACTAGAACTTGCCTATGAGTTGCAGAACTTGTGCCCTAAACTGTCTTTCAAGTTTATTTAGGACTCCAGAGAACTTTAGCTTGTGGTGGTGAAACTTACCAAAGCTCAAGTTCCAATCGCTGACATGGACGATTCACCTGTGGCTAGGGCTTATCTAAATGCTCCCTCTGTGGGTATTGGCTGAGTTGAACCTGGTTTTGCTTTCTACTGTGACAGGGCAGCACTGAGTTCCAATGCAAAACCTTCCACAATCGCTGCGCTCTTCCTCCCACAAGTGCACAGATTCTCTGTGTCACGTGGCCACTGCTGGGGGGTGGGGGAGGGGTGGCGTCAGTGATTCAAGACTATTTTTCCTACACTCTTCAGTGCCTCTTTCAGTGATATAAAGTTAAAACCAGGCACTGTGACTGCTCACCTGATTTTTGGTTTTTATGAAGCTGTGTTTTTGTGTGTAAATAGTTGTTAAGTTTGATGTTCCTGTTGGGGGACACTCAGTGGAGGCTTCTATTTGAACATCTTGCTCTGCTCCTCTCAACAACTCATGTTTATTAAGGGATGACTCTATGCTAGAAACCATGTTCAGTTCTCTGCTGCATTATCTCATTTAATTCTCATACAACCCCATTAGATAGTGCTGCTATTATCTCTGGTTAATACACAGAGGTACCCAAGGCACAGAGAGAATAAGTAGTCAAGGTCACTTACTTGGTAAATGGTAGAGTTCTTTGAACTCTTCACTGATCCCCCCAATTCAGAGGTAATCACCTTATCTTCTTGGTCTCCAAACCAACGACGTTTATCATCTCAACTAAATATTAATAACTCTACTTATGAACCCACGAGAACTTGAGTTCTGTGAGGGCAGAGAATGTCTTCCTCATCATTATAGTTCCAATATCTAGCATAGAGCATACATATGTATATTTATGGATTGAAATATTGGTGAGGTGATTGACCTCTGAACCCTTGTTAAATATTGTCTAGTTTTGTAACTGGAATCACTTACACACACACACACACACCCACCCACCCATACACTTAGCTTCTTTTGACCTACTATTTCTTCTATCTCTCCACATGTTTATATGTATATTGAGGTCTAGTAGGTACAGCTTGGCCTTTAATATTCTACGTATTAACTAGTAGCAGCTCTAATCCATTCTGTGTTTATGTGTTAGAGATATGGAGTCATTAGGAAACACAGTATGTACAGAGCGCTGCAGGAAGGACAGTTAGATTACCCATCCTCTTTGGTTCCTGAGGCAGTGATCACTGGAGACTGGTTCTGCTGGGGTCTCCATCTGTCTAATTAAACCAAACACTCCCTAAATACCTAGTAGGGTAGAAGCTGTCTCCTCACCCCAGGGATTCCTAAGGATGAAGTACAATTACCGTCCTGTTTCACTCCATACTGTGCATCTGGCAGCTCCTTCCCCATGTTGGAGAATAACTTTCTCTTCAACTGGGGTAAGTTTTGGGGCAGGGAATAAATGTTTGTTTCCTAGGATTTTTAGGTTTTCCTGAAATAAATCCAATAAACTGTTGATTCAGACAAGATCTTCACAATTCTTCTGGACAGTGTATTATAAGTACACACTATCTAATGTGTACATCTTGACATCTTGAACTGCTGCAGACATTTCTCCTATGCAGGGCTAGGACTAGGGTTAATTTTTTTTTCTGGAATATTAAAGTATTTTAAATATATTGAAATATCTAAAAGTAAGCATATTAAAACTCATAACATTAGTATAAGTTTAAATATTTTATTTAGATAAAAATTAGAATTAAAAAAATTTTATTGGCTTTAATGGAAAAAATAATGAATAATATATTCAAAATAAAATTATTGAAAAAATTTAGCTATTAATAATACATGAAAACATTTATAAGGGCTTCAGACTCCAAACAATAGCTCAGTATATAGCACTGTCAGATCCTATCTTTATTTAAAATTTTAATATTGTGTTCACTGTGAATTTTTTGCATTAATTTTCATTCTGAAACATTGTATTAAAGTATTTATCTTGCTTACTGTGGTTTTTTGGTACCTACTTAAATTTTGCCCTCAAGGTAAGTGTCTTACTCATCTCACCTTATTTCTGGTCCTAGGAGAGTCAATATCTGGAGGGCTAAGAGAGTTATAAAGAAATAGTGCCCCCAATAATGTCTTGAATCTTTAGATAAACCTGATACTAGAGTCATATTTTTCAGTTACAGGGCAAAGACATCCCCTTTGTTGCAGGCCAAAATCGAGTTGGATTTTCTCTTATTCATAATATAAAGTATCCTGATAGACAGAAAAAAGAATTATCTTACACATTTTAATCTTCAGTTTGCTTTTTTAAACTTAACTACAAGAGCCTGGGCATGGTGGCTCACACCTGTAATCCTAGCACTTTGGGAGGCTGAGGCGGGCAGATCACCTGAGGTCAGGAATTCAAGAACAGCCTGGCCAACATGGCCAAACCCTGTCTTACTAAAAATACAAAAATTAGCCAGGCATGGTGGTGTGCACCTGTAGTCCCAGCTACTTGGGAAGCTGAGGCAGGAGAATCGCTTGAACCCGGGTGGTAGAGATTGCATTGAGCCGAGATCATGCCACTGTACTCTAGCCTGGGCAATAGAGTGAGACTGTGCCTCAAATAAATAAATAAATAAATAAATAAATAAATAAATAAATAAACAAACTGTATGCCATGATGAATACTTTTTAATTTTTAATGGAAACAAAACATTCCATTGTAATATGGATATGGAAGTTTTAACAGTTTCTTTTGCCATTGCAGCAATGTACCAAAGAATATCCTTATAGATATATCTCTATGTTCTTAAGCTGTAATTTCAGCAGGTAGTTGCCAAAAGTGATATTATCAGATTAAATGATTTGAACAATTAGAATTCTTAATAGCTACTGTTAAATTACTTTCCAAAATCACTATACTAAGTTACCTGCCACCAGCAGTGGGGGCTGTTTTCCTAAAGTTTTCCAATATAATAAGAGAATTATGATATTTCAAGATGATGCTAATTTTCATTTCTTGAAATTTTGTAAGGTCAAGCATCTAGTCATATGTATATTGGCCATCTGTTTTTTTCATTGACTTTATCTATTTTAATTCTTTGGACATTTTCTAATTTTTTCTTTTTCAATTATACCAACTTTTAGTGTTTAAGAATATATTAACCTCCTGTATATTACATGTTTTGTGTTTTTTTCTCCAAAAATTGTTATTTATTATTGACTACATTTTTACATAATTGCATCCTTCAGTGGCTACTTTCTATGAAATTTGGTTTTCTTATCTCAGTCAGATCTTTCAACCTTCAAAACATTTTATCATGTTTCTGCTTCAGACCCTCATTTAAGTTTAGAAAATATTTTTATAGTTTCATCTTAAAAATGTACATATTTTATTAATCTGGAATTTCTGTTTGTTTACTGAGTAAGGTGGGAACTAATTTTATTCTCTTACAAAAATAATATAGTCCAATATCTCAAAGCCATTAATCAAATAGGCTTTCCTTTCCCCCACTAAATTGAATGCTACTTTATCACATTTTGAATTCTAAATATATTTTTATTGGTTTCTAACATGTCTACTAAGTTGTACTGATCCACATAATACCAATAACTAGCATTTGTTTGGTGTTTCTCTTCCAGGCACTATGCTTGGCAGTTTGCAGAAAGTATTTAAATTAATTCTTGCAAAATAAGTGTGGATAGTTCAATTTCACAGATCAGGCTAAATTTCTGATATGTGAAAAACTCTTTTTGCCAATAATCAGAAAATCAGAAGGCTAGGATTTGAACCTAGGAAAGGCTTCCCCAATAATAAATATTTAAGCTGTGAATTGGAAGATCAGTGTTTCAACAAACACTAAAGATAGAAAAGTATGTTCCAGGTTAGGGTAAAAACTTGAGAAAAGTCATGAGAGTTAGAAACCCAGGTTTTGTGTGGAGAATATTTAGTATAAATAATCTAATTTAGCTTTATTAGAGTCTACAGGCGATTAAAGCTGGAGAAGAAAGTAACAGTGGGATTGTGGAGGGCTTTGCATGCTTGAGAACTTTGGACTTCATAAGTCAATAAATAATTATATAAGAGTAATAAGAGAAAACAGACGAAGATATTTGTTTTGAGCATACCAACCAGACTGCAACATAGCTGATGAATGTGAAGGAGTTGAGGTTGGGAAGCTGGAAGACAGGGAGACCAGATTAGTTTAGGACACTGTTGCAACAGAACAGGTAAATGATGATCAAAGCCTGAGCAAGAACATGCCAATGAGAATGGGGAGGTATGTATGGCTTCTAGATATTGCTGAGATGTGATCAGAAACCTTTGTTTATATTTGTATCTGCAATTATAATGTGAGAAGTGGAAGAATAACATTATATACTCTCAGTCAAGGCATTAGTGATTGATTCCATGTTCAACTTTTAGTGGAACTTACAACTGGCTCTGCTGACTAACTCTCATGTTCTTTAGTCTTCATAGAGAGACTCCAAAAGAAGGCATGTTTGGTGCTAATCTCACCACCTTCCATCCCACTCTATTCATTCTCCTTGGCATCCCAGGACTGGAGCAATACCACATCTGGCTTTCCATTCCTTTCTACCTTATGTACATCACTGCAGTCTTGGGAAATGGAGCCCTCATCCTAGTTGTCCTCAGTGAACACACCCTCCATGTCTTCCTATCCATGCTGGCTGGCACTGATATCCTGCTATCCACCACCACTGTGCCTAAGGCCTTGGCGATCTTCTGGGTCCACGCTGGGGAGATAGCCTTTGATGCCTGCATTACTCAGATGTTTTTCATTCATGTTGCCTTTGTGGCTGAGTCAGGAATCCTGCTGGCCATGGCATTTGACAGTTATGTAGCCATTTGTACTCCCTTGAGATACACTACCATCTTAACTTCTATGGTAAATGGAAAAATGACCCTGACAATCTGGGGACAAAGCATTGGGACAATTTTTCCTGTCATATTCCTGCTGAAGAGGCTGCCATACTGTCAGACCAATATCATCCCCCACTCATACTGTGAGCACATTGGGGTGGCCCAATTGGCCTGTGCTGACATAACTGTCAATATCTGGTATGGCTTTTCAGTGCCAATGGCATCGGTTTTGGTAGATGTTGCATTCATTGGTTTTTCCTACACTTTGATCCTCCAGGCTGTGTTTAGACTTCCTTCCCAGGAGTCCCAGCACAAAGCTCTTAACACCTGTGGTTCTACATTGGAGTTGTTCTCCTCTTCTTCATCCCATCATTTTTTACTTTCCTGACCCACCGCTTTGGCAAGAATATCCCCCATCATGTCCACATACTTCTGGCAAATCTCTACTTGCTTGTTCCCCCATGCTTAACCCCATTATCTACGGAGAGAAGACCAAGCAAATCAGGGACAGTATGGCTCATATGTTATCTGTGGTGGGGAAGTCTTGAGACATCATGGTCTCTTCACAGTTTTCTCTTACCAGTAGGAGAAAAGAGAAGTTGCCAATCAAGTTCCCAAGTTTAGGCCCTATAGTGTGTTGCAGCAGAAAGCACATGGACTTTGGAATAAAATATACTTGGATTCAAATCCTGGCTCCTTCACTTTCTGATTTTGAAAAATCATGGAGAGGTTCCCATCTTTTGAAAATTTAGTTTTAACCTGTAAAGTTGAACTGCTCATATCTATGCTCTAAAGTTTTTGTAAGGATTAAATTAAATATGTAAACTACTTGGCACATTGCCCAGTATTACGTGGGATCTCATGTTAGCTATAATTTTAACTTGAAGTTTGTTGCCTGAGGAAGATGTCTTAGATTTGATGTATATGAGAGTCCCAATATTTCCAGAGGCTCTTCTGCCTCCTCCTGCTTACCTTCCAAGGCTGTGTCATGATCATCATCATCTCCAGCATCACTGCTGTCATTATCACAAGTTTGTGGTGAAAATCAAACTGGGTAATAAATATTTAAAAAATGCTTTTGAAAAACATGAAGCAGACCAGAATGGTGGCTCACACTTGTAATCCCAGTACTTTGGGAGGCTGAGGCAGATGGATTATTTGAAGCTAGGAGCCCGAGACGAGCCTGGCCAACATGGAGAAACCCCATCTCTACTAAAAATACACACACACACAAAATTAGCTAGTCATGGTAGCGCATGTCTGTAATTCCAGCTACTTGGGAGGCTGAGGCAGGAGGATCATTTGAACCTGGGAGGCTGGGGTTGCAGTGAGCCGAGATCACACCACTGCACACCAGCATGGATGACAGAGCAAGAGATTGTCTCAAAAAAAAAAAAAAAAGGTGTGTGTTGGGGGAACTCCACTAAGCTGTTGAAAAAGGATTAAGGTTTGCATTGATTATATTTTATATGTAAGGAACGATCACCATTATTATATTTTAAAATCCTTTTACAGGTTGGGCACAGTGGCTCATGCCTGTAATCCCAGCACTTCGGGAGGCTAAGGTGGGTGGGTCAGCTGGGGTCAGGAGTTCAAGACCAGCCTGACCAACATGGTGAAACCCCATCTCTACTAAAAATACAAAATTAGCCAGACATGGTTGCGGGTGTCTGTAATCCCAGCTACTCGGGAGGCTGAGGCAGGAGAATTGCTTGAACCCAGTAGGCAGAGGTTGCAGTGAGCTGAGATCGCGCCATTGCACTCCAGCCTGGGCGACAAAGTGAGACTTCGTCTCAAAATAAATAAATAAATATAAAAAAAAAATCCTTTTACTCATCCAGGAAATGGGCCAGGTGACACTGACACAGGCACTACTCATAGAGAGCTGAGGGTCTGAACTCACAGGAACAAAGAACAAGTTATGGGCCCACACTGATAATAGGAAAAATGATATATCATATATTCAGATGTTAGAAAAATGAAGCAAGCTAATATTCTATGATGTTAGTTCCTCTTACCTATTTGTACCTTTTAAAAAATCTAATCAGAGCTAAATTTGAATAGCTTTAAATTCCATTTATAAATTATGATTACTTCCAAACTGCTCCCTTCAGCTCAGCCTTTTCCCTTGAGATCCACATTTATATAGTGAACTATTTCTTGACTTCTCCAGTTGTATATTTAGTAGGTATCTCAAAATAAACATGTCTGTATTAGAAGGGTAGCTTAGGCTATGCTACAGTAATGCATCATACAATTTCAGTGAATTATCAAAACAAAGTTCATACCTCTATCCTTTAAAGTGTAGTGTGTGTCAATAGGATCTATTATCCATTTAGTGGCTCAGGAATCCTGAATCCCTCCATCTTGTGATGTTATGTAAACATACATTTTTCAGAGTTGCTAAAGCCAGGAAAGAGAGAGAAGCATGAGATAGAGCAATTATTAACTGTCTTGGTCTTAAGTAATTCATCACTTTTATTCACATTTTCACTGATAAGCCTGTGGCCTCATGGCCCAAACTCAACTGCAGGGAAAGCTGGGAAATATAGGAGTACTCATGGATTTGCAGTATTAATTGTCTCTGTCACCATCTGTACTTTTGGTTACTTAATATTTATTTGCTCCCTTTTCACAATGTAGAGACCACACCCAAATTCTCTCCACAGGAGAGACTCCAAAGTCCCACCCAACACTCCACAGGTGGGAATTGTTCAATTCCCACCTATGACTGAGAACATGCGGTGTTTGGTTTTTTGTCCTTGTGATAGTTTACTGAGAATGATGATTTCCAATTTCATCCATGTCCCTACAAAGGACATGAACTCATCATTTTTTATGGCTGCATAGTATTCCATGGTGTATATGAGCCACATTTTCTTAATCCAGTCTATCATTGTTGGACATTTGGGTTGGTTCCAAGTCTTTGCTATTGTGAATAATGCCGCAATAAACATACGTGTGCATGTGTCTTTATAGCAGCATGATTTATAGTCCTTTGGGTATATACCCAGTAATGGGATGGCTGGGTCAAATGGTATTTCTATTTCTAGGTCCCTGAGGAATCGCCACACTGACTTCCACAATGGTTGAACTAGTTTACAGTCCCACCAACAGTGTAAAAGTGTTCCTATTTCTCCACATCCTCTCCAGCACCTGTTGTTTCCTGACTTTTTAATGATTGCCATTCTAACTGATGTGAGATGGTATCTCATTGTGGTTTTGGTTTGCATTTCTCTGATGGCCAGTGATGGTGAGCATTTTTTCATGTGTTTTTTGGCTGCATAGATGTCTTCTCTTGAGAAGTGTCTGTTCATGTCCTTTGCCCACTTTTTGATGGAGTTTGTTTTTTTCTTGTAAATTTGTTTGAGTTCATTGTAGATTCTGGATATTAGCCCTTTGTCAGATGAGTAGGTTGCGAAAATTTTCTCCCATTTTGTAGGTTGCCTGTTCACTCTCATGGTAGTTTCTTTTGCTGTGCAGAAGCTCTTTAGTTTAATGAAATCCCATTTGTCAATTATGTCTTTTGTCACCATTGCTTTTGGTGTTTTAGACATGAAGTCCTTGCCCATGCCTATGTCCTGAATGGTAATGCCTAGGTTTTCTTCTAGGGTTTTTATGGTTTTAGGTCTAATGTTTAAGTCTTTAATCCATCTTGAATTGATTTTTGTATAAGGTGTAAGGAAGGGATCCAGTTTCAGCTTTCTACATATGGCTAGCCAGTTTTCCCAGCACCATTTATTAAATAGGGAATCCTTTCCCCATTGCTTGTTTTTCTCAGGTTTGTCAAAGATCAGATAGTTGTAGATATGCGTCATTATTTCTGAGGCCTCTGTTCTGTTCCATCGATCTATATCTCTGTTTTGGTACCAGTACCATGCTGTTTTGGTTACCGTAGCCTTGTAGTATAGTTTGAAGTCAGGTAGTGTGATGCCTCCAGCTTTGTTCTTTTGGCTCAGGATTGACTTGGCGATGCGGGCTCTTTTTTGGTTCCATATGAACTTTAAAGTAGTTTTTTCCAGTTCTGTGAAGAAAGTCATTGGTAGCTTGATGGGGATGGCATTGAATCTGTAAATTACCTTGGGCAGTATGGCCATTTTCACGATATTGATTCTTCCTACCCATGAGCATGGAATGTTCTTCCATTTGTATCCTTTTTTATTTCCTTGAGCAGTGGTTTGTAGTTCTCCTTGAAGAGGTCCTTCACGTCCCTTGTAAGTTGGATTCCTAGGTATTCTATTCTCTTTGAAGGAATTGTGAATGGGAGTTCACTCATGATTTGGCTCTCTGTTTGTCTGTTGTTGGTGTATAAGAATGCTTGTGATTTTTGTATGTTGATTTTGTATCCTGAGACTTTGCTGAAGTTGCTTATCAGCTTAAGGAGATTTTGGGCTGAGACAATGGGGTTTTCTAGATATACAATCATGTTGACTGCAAACAGGGACAATTTGACTTCCTCTTTTCCTAATTGAATACCCTTTATTTCCTTCTCCTGCCTGATTGCCCTGGCCAGAACTTCCAACACTATGTTGAATAGGAGTGGTGAGAGAGGGCATCCCTGTCTTGTGCCAGTTTTCAAAGGGAATGCTTCCAGTTTTTGCCCATTCAGTATGATGTTGGCTGTGGGTTTGTCATAGATAGCTCTTATTATTTTGAGATATGTCCCATCAATACCTAATTTATTGAGAGTTTTTAGGATGAAGGTTGTTGAATTTGTCAAAGGCTTTTTCTGCATCTATTGAGATAATCATGTGGTTTTTGTCTTTGGTTCTGTTTACGTGCTGGATTACATTTATTGATTTGCGTATGTTGAACCAGCTTGCATCCCAGGGATGAAGCCCACTTGATCATGGTGGATAAGCTTTTTGATGTGCTGCTGGATTCGGTTTGCCAGTATTTTATTGAGGATTTTTGCATCAATGTTCATCAAGGATATTGGTCTAAAATTCTCTTTTTTGGTTGTGTCTCTGCCCGGCTTTGGTATCAGGATGATGCTGGCCTCATAAAATGAGTTAGGGAGGATTCCCTCTTTTTCTATTGATTGGAATAGTTTCAGAAGGAATGGTACCAGTTCCTCCTTGTACCTCTGGTAGAATTCGGCTGTGAATCCATCTGGTCCTGGACTCTTTTTCGTTGGTAAGCTACTGATTATTGCCACAATTTCAGCTCCTGTTATTGGTCTATTCAGAGATTCAACTTCTTCCTGGTTTAGTCTTGGGAGAGTGTATGTGTTGAGGAATTTATCCATTTCTTCTAGATTTTCTAGTTTATTTGCATAGAGGTGTTTGTAGTATGCTCTGATGGTAGTTTGTATTTCTGTGGGATCGGTGGTGATATCCCCTTTATCATTTTTTCTTGCGTCTATTTGATTCTTCTCTCTTTTTTTCTTTATTAGTCTTGCTAGCGGTCTATCAATTTTGTTGATCCTTTCAAAAAACCAGCTCCTGGATTCGTTAATTTTTTGAAGGGTTTTTTGTGTCTCTATTTCCTTCAGTTCTGCTCTGATTTTAGTTATTTCTTACCTTCTGCTAGCTTTTGAATGTGTTTGCTCTTGCTTCTCTAGTTCTTTTAATTGTGATGTTAGGGTGTCAATTTTGGATCTTTCCTGCTTTCTGTTGTGGGCATTTAGTGCTATAAATTTCCCTCTACACACTGCTTTGAATGTGTCCCAGAGATTCTAGTATGTTGTGTCTTTGTTCTCGTTGGTTTCAAAGAACATCTTTATTTCTGCCTTCATTTCATTATGTACCCAGTAGTCATTGAGGAGCAGGTTGTTCAGTTTCCATGTAGTTGAGCGGTTTTGAGTGAGATTCTTAATCCTGAGTTCTAGTTTGATTGCACTGTGGTCTGAGAGATAGTTTGTTATAATCTCTGTTCTTTTACATTTGCTGAGGAGAGCTTTACTTCCAAGTATGTGGTCAATTTTGGAATAGGTGTGGTGTGGTGCTGAAAAAAATGTATATTCTGTTGATTTGGGGTGGAGAGTTCTGTAGATGTCTGTTAGGTCTGCTTGGTGCAGAGCTGAGTTCAATTCCTGGGTATCCTTGTTGACTTTCTGTCTCGTTGATCTGTCTAATGTTGACAGTGGGGTGTTAAAGTCTCCCATTATTAATGTGTGGGCATCTAAGTCTCTTTGTAGGTCACTCAGGACTTGCTTTATGAATCTGGGTGCTCCTGTATTGGGTGCATATATATTTAGGATAGTTAGCTCTTCTTGTTGAATTGATCCCTTTACCATTATGTAATGGCCTTCTTTGTCTCTTTTGATCTTTGTTGGTTTAAAGTCTGTTTTATCAGAGACTAGGATTGCAACCCCTGCCTTTTTTTGTTTTCCATTTGTTTGGTAGATCTTCCTCCATCCTTTTATTTTGAGCCTATGTGTGTCTCTGCCCGTGAGATGGGTTTCCTGAATACAGCACACTGATGGGTCTTGACTCTTTATCCAATTTGTCAGTCTGTGTCTTTTAATTGGAGCATTTAGTCCATTTACATTTAAAGTTAATATTGTTATGTGTGAATTTGATCCTGTCATTATGATGTTAGCTGGTTATTTTGCTCGTTAGTTGATGCAGTTTCTTCCTAGTCTCGATGGTCTTTACATTTTGGCATGATTTTGCAGCGGCTGGTCCTGGTTATTCCTTTCCATGTTTAGCGCTTCCTTCAGGAGCTCTTGTAGGGCAGGCCTGGTGGTGACAAAATCTCTCAGCATTTGCTTGTTGTAAAGTATTTTATTTCTCCTTCACTTATGAAGCTTAGTTTGGCTGGATATGAAATTCTGGGTTGAAAATTCTTTTCTTTAAGAATGTTGAATATTGGCCCCCACTCTCTTCTGGCTTGTAGAGTTTCTGCTGAGAGATCTGCTGTTAGTCTGATGGGCTTCCCTTTGAGGGTAACCCAACCTTTCTCTCTGGCTGCCCTTAACATTTTTTCCTTCATTTCAACTTTGGTGAATCTGACAATTATGTGTCTTGGTGTTGCTCTTCTCGAGGAGTATCTTTGTGACGTTCTCTGTATTTCCTGAATCTGAATGTTGGCCTGCCTTGCTAGACTGGGGAAGTTCTCCTGGATAATATCCTGCAGAGTGTTTTCCAACTTGGTTCCATTCTCCCCGTCACTTTCAGGTCCACCAATCAGACGTAGATTTGGTCTTTTCACATAGTCCCATATTTCTTGGAGGCTTTGCTCGTTTCTTTTTATTCTTTTTTCTCTAAACTTCCCTTCTCACTTCATTTCATTCATTTCATCTTCCATCACTGATATGCTTTCTTCCAGTTGATCGCATCGGCTCCTGAGGCTTCTGCATTCTTCACGTAGTTCTCGAGTCTTGGTTTTCAGCTCCATCAGCTCCTTTAAGCACTTCTCTATGTTGGTTATTCTAGTTATACATTCTTCTAAATTTTTTTCAAAGTTTTCAACTTCTTTGCCTTTGGTTTGAATGTCCTCCCGTAGCTCGGAGTAATTTGATCGTCTGAAGCCTTCTTCTCTCAGCTCATCAAAGTCATTCTCCATCCAGCTTTGTTCCGTTGCTGGTGAGGAACTGCATTCCTTTGGAGGAGGACAGGTGCTCTGCTTTTTAGAGTTTCCAGTTTTTCTGTTCTGTTTTTTCCCCATCTTTGTGGTTTTATCTACTTTTGGTCTTTGATGATGGTGATGTACAGGTGGGTTTTTGGTGTGGATGTCCTTTCTGTTTGTTAGTTTTCCTTCTAACAGAGAGGACCCTCAGCTGCAGGTCTGTTGGAGTACCCGGCCGTGTGAGGTGTCAGTCTGCCCCTGCTGGGGGGTGCCTCCCAGTTAGGCTGCTCGGGGTTCAGGGGTCAGGGACCCACTTGAGGAGGCAGTCTACCCGTTCTCATATCTCCAGCTGCGTGCTGGGAGAACCACTGCTCTCTTCAAAGCTGTCAGACAGGGACATTGAAGTCTGCAGAGGTTACTGCTGTCTTTTTGTTTGTCTGTGCCCTGCCCCCAGAGGTGGAGCCTACAGAGGCAGGCAGGCCTCCTTGAGCTGTGGTGGGCTCCACCCAGTTGGAACTTCCCAGCTGCTTTGTTTACCTCAGCAAGCCTGGGCAATGGCGGGCGCCCCTCCCCCAGCCTCGCTGCCGCCTTGCAGTTTGATCTCAGACTGCTGTGCTAGCAATCAGCGAGACTCCGTGGGCGTAGGACCCTCCCAGCCAGGTGCCGGATATAATCTCCTGGTGCATCGGTTTTTAAGGCCGTGGGAAAAGTGCAGTATTCAGGTGGGAGTGATCCGATTTTCCAGCTGCCGTCTGTCACCGCTTTCTTTGACTAGGAAAGGGAACTCCCTGACCCCTTGCGCTTCCCAAGTGAGGCAATGCCTCGCCCTGCTTCAGCTCGCGCACGGTGTGCGCACCCACTGACCTGCGCCCACTGTCTGGCACTCCCTAGTGAGATGAACCCGGTACCTCAGATGGAAATGCAGAAATCACCCGTCTTCTGCGTCGCTCACGCTGGGAGCTGTAGACCGGAGCTGTTCCTATTCGGCCATCTTCACCAACACTGTATTTTCTAACATCTCTTCTGCTAGAGCTACAAGTCTAGGAGGCAGCTGGTCCATTCTCCTGACATGCTGTAGGTATACCAACTATTTGTCTATTGCATAGCACAGATCACCATTTTTTCAATTTCTGTTATCAGATTATTATCTCCCCACTTGCAAATAAAATTCTGCATCTATACTGTTTTCCTCCATTTTTGGTATTTACTTCCAGCCATGAAGATGGGTGAGACAGTCTAGAGAACTCATAGTCCTCTTAACTGTCAATCACATTCCCAGGTGTAAACTCATTCACATGATCTCCAGCAGTCAATTAGGCTATGATGCAGTAACATTTAAGCCATTCTGCTCCTTCCATAGGAGAGAGCTGTTCCTGGGAAACAGCTAACAAGCTAGTGATACATTAAACAAATAATAATCTTTTTTTCTAGATGGGACTACATAACTAGGATGGCCAAAGAAATGTGGGCAGAAGTGATGTGTGTCACTTCCACATTGAGGTACTTAAATATCCAGTGTAGCATTTCCATGTGCTCTTTCTTGTTCATGGTGACATCAGAGAACACATGCTGAAAATAGCAGCATTTCAAGTAAAGAAGAGTTTGGAATCCTAAGTCAATACTTGGAGGAGAGCCAATCAGTAGCACAATTCAACCAGCAACATCATCATTTTCTTCTTTTCTCTGTGAACAGCAAATCATGTTTTATTGTGTTAACCAAAAATTTGAAGTTATAACCTTATTAACAGAGTAAGTCATTGAATCACTGTGATTCTCAGAATTTTTTGGATGTGAAGAAGCATATTTAGCAGCATTTTATGAGGACTAAACGAGATTGTGTTTGAAGTAATTTCTAATCTGCCAAGTATTTCATATAGGATATAACTGTTACTCTTATGCCTCTTCCAGATGGAAACATAGACGCTATTGGTTTAATTGAAACCCTTTTCAGTGATTGCCTCTCTCCTTGCCTCTATTCTTTGGTGTCTGAAATTGCTAATCACTGGTGAGAGCAGCAGCTTGTCTTGTTAGAAAAAAATGCAGCTTCTGTCTTCACAGTTATCTCTCAATAGCTCTCAAGTTCATCCATCCTAGTGTAAGGGCTGATTACTTGTAGCTCTGCTGTGGGCTTTTAAGCCCCTGTGTGATGTCCTTCATTAAACCATTCAGTCCTGATGGCCTCATGGTTCCTATCACTGCTCCACATCCAGGTTCTGTCCTCCAAAGAGGTGATCCTCAAGAGTGGATTCATCCATTTCCTGAAGACTACCCTCAGTTCATGGTCTAGATTTTTTCCTCTGACTGACTGAGCTATTCATACAGAGTATCTTAGGCCGCTGTGGGATGTAGAGTCCTGTGCTAGACACATTGCTTTGTCCAGAGTTTTACTAGATATAAAAATAGGAAGTCGGGTATGGTGGCTCATCCCTGTAATCTCAGCACTTTGGGAGACCAAGGAGGGCAGATTGCTTGAGGCTGGGAGTTCGAAAGCAGCCTGGTCAACAGAGTAAAACCCCATCTCTACTAAAATACAAAAAAATTAGCCAGGTGTGGTGGTACACGCCTGTAATCCCAGCTACTCCGGAGGCTGAGGCACAAGAATTGCTTAAACCCGGGTGGTGGAGGTTGCAGTGAGCAGAGATTGCACCACTGCACCCCAGTCTGGGTGACAGAGTGAGACTCTGTAAGAAAAAAAAAATTATTTCGGCTCCACCAAAAGGGCACTTAGAATATTTTTTCCAGGCTTTGAATTTTATTGCAAATTAATTTTAATTACCAGTATATGGATAGCACATTCAAGGCATATTCTCTTGTTATCTTTTGAACTTCTTAACATCCTAGTTACGTATTTACGCAATTACTATTTCCTATGTACAAATAAAAAAATAGGGAGGGTAGGTAAATTGAAAAGGACACTATTTGTTCTGTCTTTTAGGCTGCAGCTGACCAAAATAGAGCACACACTGTCAAGCATAATTGGAAATTATTGGCTTATAGGCTAGAAGGAAAGACTTAGCAACTAGACTGTAGGAAGGGCAAGGATATTAGTCTATAAGAAGGACTAGAACTAGCCTCCTCCATCTGTCATCTCTATTTTCGGTCTGGTATTTTTATATCATGCTAAGATTGGCTTTCTCCATAGCCTGGAAGCAAACAGTTTTTCAGCTTTACATTTTGAAAATTTTGTCCGCTGGAGAGTGACAGTCTAAAAATTTGGGGGAAGGATCTCTTGGCTCAGCTAAAGTCAGGTTCCTACTCCTAATCCAGAGTGCTGTGATGAAGGGTGGGATGCCATTACACAGGCATGGTTGCTCCATGTCAACCATAGGAATAGGGAGGGCGTTTTTCAGAAAAGGAGAGCAGGGCAGATAGAAGTTGCTGACTACAGTCAAGTGGCAAATCAGAGGCAGAATCAGGTGCAGGATCTAGATCTGATTCTCAGAGACCCCTGTATTCAGATGTATTTCTGTGTTTTCTGTGTAGGTTCTCTTTCAGACTATAAACAGTATGAGGGTGAGATGATGGCTTCCTTGTTCACTACTGCATTTCCAGCAATTCACACTCAATAAATAAATATATTTTGAAGAAGTGACTTCAAAAGATAGCCTACAGTTGCTTTTTTTCTAAACTAGTTTATTGTTTTTATCTAGAAATTTTTGAGTAACAACTCATAAAAATATGTAGTCTTAAGAAAAAATCTATTATTCTTCCACAAAAATGTATAAAATTTTAAGTACTTTCTGATCTAGATAAGGGATAGCTTACTGAATAGGTTTTATAGTTTTCTTTTAAAAATTTATATTATTTCATAAGAAATTTATCCTGTGATTATAAAGGTCTGCAGACATAATGCATTTAATCTTGTGAGTACAGATGCAATGAGGATTTTTCTAAAGAAAAATTTTTAAATATATTATTTTCTTTAGATCAATATTTAGGATAAAATTACTAGTTTCATTGATTTCCTTTATTTTTCTGTTTTCTACTTCATTGATTTCTATCCTGTTTTTATTATTTCTTTTGGTGTTTTTTTTTTAAAGTCTTATCCTTCTACAATAGAAGTATATGGGTTTGTCCTGAAAAATATTCATGTGCACTTGAAAAGAATCTATAGTCTGCTGTCATTGGATGGAATGTTCTATAAGGGTCAGTTATGTCAAGATGGTTGATAGTGTTTGTTGCTCAAACCTTCTAAATTCTTGCCGATATTCTACTATGTCAATTATTGAGAGTGGCATATTAAAATACCAGCTATTATAGTTGAATTGTGTGTTTCTTCTTTCAATTATGTAATATTTTGCTTCATACATTTTGGGGCAATGTTTATATATTTTATAATTAATGTATCTTTACTTATAGACACTTTAAACATAAAATGACTCCAGAAATATTTTGTGTCTTAAAGTCTATTTTATTTGATATTGATATAGTAACTTCAGCATTCTAATGATTATTGTTCACATAACTTATATTTTTACTTTCTTTTTGTTTCAAGCTACTTTTATTTTTCAACCAAAGTGCTTTTGGTTGGAGTGTGTAGTCCATTTACATTTGGTGTTATTGCCAGTATGTCTGGGTTTACATCTGCCATTTTTCTTTCTTTTTCTTTTTTCTCCCCTGAGAAGGAGTCTCACTCTGTCGCCCAGGCTGGAGTGCAGTGGCACGATCTCAGGTCACTGCAACCTCCGCCTCCCTGGTTCAAGCGATTCTCCCACCTCAGTCTCCTGAGTAGCTGGGATTACAGATGTGGTTTTGCCATATTGGCTAGGCTGGTATCGAACTCCCGACCTCAGGTGATTTGCCCACCTTGGCCTCCCAAAGGGCTGGGATTACAGGTGTGAGCCATCACGCCCAGCTTCATTTTTCTTTTTATGTCTCAAGTTCCTTTTTTTGGTTCCTCTGTTACTCTTTTACTACTATTTGACTTATTTTGTGGAAAATCATTATTTTTAGTGTACCAATTTCTTTTCTCTGTCGATTTTAAATTATGTTTTTGTTATTTTTAGCTGTTCTATGGATTTTTAAAAATCACAGTTTACTTCAGATTAATACAAACAGTTCTGAGAAAATGTAGAAACTTTGCTCCAATAAAGGTCCATAACTTCACCCTTCTGTGCGATTACTTTTTTTATAATGCCAAGTTTTATTTTATTTTTAATAAATATCAACTATTCATTTTCAACTTTTATTTTAGATACAGGGAGTACATATGCAGGTTTGTTACATGGGTATATTGTGTGATGCTGAGGTTTGGGGTACAGATCCATCATTCAGGTAGTGAGCATAGTACACAATAGGTAGATTTTCATGCCTCCCTCATTCCCTCCCCCATCAGTAGTCTGCAGTGTCTATTGTTCACATTATGTTCATGTGTATTCAATTTTTAGCTCCTACTTATAAGTGAGATTTATATTTTAAACCATCTTTGTATCCCAGTAATAAAACTCACTTAGTCATGGTATATAATCCTTTTAGTATGCTGCTGAATTTGGTTTGCTAGTATTTTGCTGAGGATTTTTGCAGCAATGTTCCTAAGGGATATTGGTCTGTAGTTTTTTTTTTTTCTTCTTTTTCCTGTAGTGTCTTTTTCTGGCTTGGTATCAGGGTAATGCTGGCCTTGTAAAATGAGTTTGGAAGTATTCCCTCCTTTTTAATTTTTTGGAAAAGTTTGAGAAAGATTGGTGTTAGTTCTTTAAATGTTTGGTGGGATTCACCAGTGAAGCCATCAGGTCTGGCAAGGCAGGGCTAATGACAGCAACCTCCCTCAGCTTTTGTTTCTCTGAGAAAGTCTTAACTTCTTTCTCATCTTTGAGGTACAGTTTGGCTGGACATAGGATTCTTGGGTGACAGCCTTTTTTTTTTTTCGCTCTGAATATATTGGCCACTGCCTTCTATGCTCCGAAGTTTCTGATGAGAAATCTGCTGATAATCCTATTGTACATCACTTGTATGTGATGTTAGTTGCTCCTCTCTTGCTCCTTTAAAGATCTCTCATTGTCTTTGATTTTAGAGAGTTTGCTTATAATGTGTCTTCATATGGGTCTCTATGAATTCTTCTTACTTGGAAATTATTGAGCTTCTTTAATTTCGTATTTTTGTATTTCATCAAATTTTGGAAGTTTTTAGCCACTATTTCTTCAAATATTCCCTTTGCCCCCTTTCCTCTCTCTTTTCTTTCTGAGACTCTATAATGCTGGTTGTTGTTTGGTTATGTTGGTTGGCTTGATGCTGTCCTGCAAAGCCCTTAGGCTATGTTCACTTTTCTTGAATTTTTTTTCTTTCTGTTTCTCATACTCAGTAATTTATATTGTCCTATCTTCTGGTTTGTTAATTTTTCTTTCTGCTCAAATCTGCCTTTGAATCTCTCTAGTAAATGTTTCAATTGTTGTCTTTTTCAGCCCAGAAAGGTTATTTTTTGGTTTCATTTTAGGTTTTCTATCTCTTTATTGATATTTACATCATGTTTATACATTGTTTTCTTAACTTTCTTCACATCTTCCTTTAGTTCTTTGAGCATTGTTAAGACAGTTATTTTAAATAAAGTGTTTAGTAGTTCTGCCATTGGTTCTTTTTCAGCAAGAGTTTCTGCTGATTAATTATTTCCTTTGAATAGGCCACACTTTCCTGTTTTTTTTTTTTTTTGGTATACTTTGTAATTTTCTAATTGGAAATTGGATATTTGAATCTAATTATGTGGTAACTCTGGAAATTAGATTCTTCCCCTTCTCCAGGGTTTGATTATGTATTTATTTATTTGTTATGATTGTAGGCTGTCTTCAGGATTAGCCTGAGGTGAGAACTTAGGGTCCTCTCAAGTCTTTTCTGAGCCTGTGCCTTTTCCTGACTTGCACAGTCACTTTCTGATTTTCACTATATATGCAATGGCTTTTGAATGTCCTAGTATTTAATGTCTAGCTTCCAAAAGGGGAAATAAAATAAAGGGGGAGGGCAGGGAAATTGGACCAGCCCTTTAAATTCTCTGGAAGTCACTTCAGCTGGATGAGGGGGAGAAGTTTGAACAAACGAGTGAAAGAGCAACACCAATGGCTCCTGTCTGTCTGTATCATTGTGATTAGAAGCAGCAATCAGTGATAAGAACCTAGATCCATGATGTTTGGAGGACAGGGTGTATTTTTGCACACTGAGACCCCTGCAAGCTGCATGCAAGCTGCTCCTAGAGCACGTGCACAGCTGTCTGCCACGGGACTGATGGTGGGGAATGGGTAGCTGCTATTGTGCTATGTGCTGAAATTAACTAAAATTAACCACAATGATCTGCTTTGGGTATATATAAAATAGGAGTTGCTGGGTCATATGGTAGTTCTATTTTTAATTTGATTAGAAACCTCCATACTGTTTTCCATAACAACTGTACTAATCTACATTTTTTCCAGCAATGGAATATGGCATCCTTTTCTCCACATCCTTGCAAACTTCGTTTTATCTTATCTTTTTGAAAATTGTCACCTAAAAAGTGAGAGGTGATATCTCATAGTGGTTTAAATTTGCATTTTGCTGATGATTGGTAGTATTGAATACCTTTTCATGTACCTCTTGGCTATTTTTATGTCTTCTTTTGAGAAATGTCTATTCAGCTTCTTTGCCATTTTCCAATTGGGTTATTTGTTTTTCTGCCATTGAGTTGTAAGAGTTCTTTATAAATTTTGAATATTAATTCTTTATTAGATATGCAGTTTGTGAATATTTTTACCAGACTGTAGATTGCCTTTTCATTTTGTTGATGTTTGTTTCTTTGCTGTGCAGAAGCTTTTTAGTTTGATATGATTTCATTTATTTATTTTTGTTGTTGTAGCCTGGGCTTTTCATGTGATATTCAAAAAAATTGTTGCCAAGGCCACATCAAAGAACTTTTTCTCCTATGTTCTTTTCTAGAAACGTATGGATTCAGGCCTTATATTTAGGTCTTTTATCCGTTTTGAGTTGATTTTGTGGGTGGTGTAAGATAAGGGTCAATTTCATTCTTTTGTATGTGAAAATTCATTTTTCCAGGCACCATTCATTAAAGCAACTATCCTTTCCCCACTGTATGTAGAAGGGTTGTGAAAAGAATTTCATGTGTGGTCAAGTGGGCTAAAACTGAATGAATTTATTATGTGGTTTTTTAAATGAGTATTAATATAGAAGCATCTAATCTTTTTTTTTTTATTATACCTTAAGTATATATGTACTTAAGGTATGGGTACATGTACACAACGTGCAGTTTTGTTACATAGGTATACATGTGCCATGTTGGTTTTCTACACCCATCAACTTGTCATTTACATTAGGTGTTTCTACTAATGCTATCCCTCCCCCAGCCCCCGATCCCCTGACAGGCCCCAGTGTGTGACGTTCCCTGCCCTGTGTCCATGTGTTCTCATTGTTCAACTCCCACCTATGAGTGAGAACATGCAGTGTTTGGTTTTCTGTCCTTGTGACAGCTTGCTTAGAGTGATGGTTTCCAGCTTCATCCATGTCCCTGCAAAGGACATGAGCTCATCCTTTTTTATGGCTGCAAAAAAAAAAAGCACAAAATAACCCAGGATTTCCTTGGAGTGTTTATAAAAGACTATGAAAGGTATTCTTTACCCTTTAAGTGATCTGCATAAGGAAAAATAAAGAAGAAATTCTGTGTTTTACTAAGATAATTTCTTTTACTTTATGTTGTCTTTTATTAGGTCTTTTGATTGCTTAAAAAATAGAATCTTCTTAAGATTAAAAGAGCTACTTTTTTTTAACTATGTAACTTTTCCGTATTTGCTTTTCATTGTTTCATAATTACTGATGATCCTGTTTAACCATGTGTTTTAAGCCTTTTGACATTTTTTACTAACTTTCCAAAATCAAATTCCAAATGCTGTCTTTTGACCTTGAACTATTTGATATGTTAAATTATATGGGAAGTATTATTAAATAAGAAATTATATTTAACCTTCTTTGAGTTACATTTGTATGAATATGTTATTAATATGTGTTCCAGAAACTGTTTGAAATTCCTAGCAATCTGATATGTCTTGGTATAAGGCTATCTGCCATAATTTTGATTGTGTTAAGATGTTGTACACCACAAAATAACAAAATTTCTTTGCCAATTGTGTCATTATTATAGTAAGCTCTTATCATTTCTTTAGCCATGCCATTTTGTTCACAGTTAATTACTTTATTCTGATGCTTTTCTGAAAGTTTTTTTTTTTTTGTAAGCCATTATATTCCTAAAGTGCTTCATCCTTAAGGAGATTCATGGGAAGGACTCTGACAGAAACAGGTTTCTGATGGTTTTCAGATAATACCTTTGAACTAGGTAAGCATTTCCAAAACTCTAATGAAGAAACTAATGGCTTCATAAAACTACTAACCAAAATCAAGCAGAATGAGAATTAATTACATGGAATTGGATGAACTGATGAAGATGTTTTAATGACTTTTCATTTTGGAATTGTGCTGGTTCTTTTGATGTTTTGTTTTCCAGATTTAAGGAAACCTTTTTCTTTTAAGCTATCTAAAGTTTCTAGCAATTTTGTAAAGTTATTTTTGTAAACAAAAATGAAAATATTTACTTCCCCCCCACCTGATCTCTTCGGAATTTGGAAATTATTATGACCATTCTTATTTTCATGGCAATATAGTTATTTGCATAAGTTCAGGAATAGTCTTCTCTCTTTATGACAGGATACGTAATTGGAAATATTGGTTAAGTAACCAATGCTTTGGCTAGGAAGTCAAAATGAATCTATAAGTACTTCAGCCAAAGTCTGAAGTCTGCCTTGGTTTGGCTTCCGATTCTTGAGGTTTTTAAAAGTGCAATCTAGGATTCCTTATCAAAAGTTCCAAGAAAACAAACTTTAACAAAGCCGTGTTGTCAATCACTAGTTTTGTGTCACTTATGTAAATAATCAAGCCAAGTTTGATGACATTAAGCTTATTTTGCAAACAAATTAGACTTACTGTATCTTTTGTAGAAATAGAGGTGATTGTAGAGAGACAAACTATGTTCCAAGATAAAAACTATAGTACACCTGTTATTAGATTGTAGCTAATACTCATTGTTTTTGAGCTTTTATTATCTACCTGTAGACTGGACTGGATCCTGAATTATTCTAATTTCTTTCAGTATCTGGCTACAATTCTCCAGCTAAGAGCAAGAAATGCTCTGTTCATGAAGCCATATAAGGTGAAGCTGGACAACTAGATGTAAATTTCAAGGGACAAATCTTGTACCTGATGTTTGGGCCACTCAGAGAGTCCACCAAAATGTGATGTCATAACCACAGATGTTCAAACTGCAAACTAGGACAAGAAGTTGGCAACTTCACGCTGTGCACAGCTTTTCCTAAGACATCGGACAAGACTCCCTATCATAATGAGACTCTTACTCCTAATTTTTTTTTAAAAGATATATTGTCTCACTCCATCACTGAGGCTGGAGTGCAGTGGCGTGATTAAAGCTCACTATAACCTCAAACTCCTGGGCTCAAGGAATCCTCCTGCCTCAGCCTTTTGAGTAGCTGAGACTACAGGTGTGTACCACCATGCCCAGGTAATTTTTAAATTTTTGGTAGAGATGAGGATTTGCTGTGTTGCTCAGACTGACCTCAAACTCCCTGGCTCAAGTGACTTTCCCACCTCAACCTCCCAAAATTCTGGGATTGCAGGTATGAGGCACTGCACTTGGCCTTACCTCTCTTTAAGTTTTTCTCACTTGTGCCTACCTCTTTCTCTTGGTAGGATAATGCTGTAGTTATTATAGAATTTCACAATCAGTAGCTTCTGTAGGCGACATGACAAAATGTCAGATATGTCATGCTAAATCCAGTTTTTTACATGACCTAAGAGATCCTCTAGTCCACCCAGTGACTAACTAGTAACAGCCCTGATATAACTGCTTTTTCAAATTACACTAGTGTTCTATTTTATAGAGCCAGACTTCTAGACCCACATGTTCTCACTCCTTGCTTTTATTTAACTTAGTTATCAGATACTAGATAACAGAATTGCTATTTAGTAGCTGGACAGGGAGGAGTCTGTGCAGTTGCTAACACTTCTCGTTAAACATGGATAAATGCATTGGTATTTTCGAGATTCAGTTTCAAAAAATAAATGAGTAGGCTACTTGGTTAAAGTGGGTAGATTCCTCATGTAGCTCATTCTTTGATCTATTTAATTTTAGTTGGTTTTGTTCATGGGGACTCTGGCCGAAGGGCATACTCAAACTTTTGGTATTATCCTCTTTAGAGTCAACATATTAGCCTGTTCTCATGCTGCTAATAAAGGCATACCGGAGACTGGGTAATTTATAAAGGAAAGTGGTTTAATGAACTCACAATTCCACATAATTGGGGAGGCCTCACAATCATGGCAGAAGATGAAGGAAGAGTAAAAGCATGTCTTACATGATGACAGGCAAGAGAGCTTGTGCAGGGGAACTCCCATTTATAAAACCATTAGATCTTGTGAGACTTATTCACTACCAGGAGAACAGGATAGGAGAAACCGCCCCCATGATTCAGTTATTTCCACCTGGCCCTGCCCTTGACATGTGGGGATTGTTACAACTCAAGGTGAGCTTTGGGTGGGGACACAGCCAAACCATGTCAGTCACAATAGTAGTAGTAGTAATCTTCCTAGCGTGCTGTATACTCTCAAAAATCTTAATAGCTACATGCAGCCATCTGCTGAATGCTAAATGGTCTCTCTCTGCCTGGCATGACAAACTCCAGAAGATGCATGATAACAAGGACACTGTAATCTATGAATAACATGATGAGACTGAAAACTCAAAACAATGGTGATGGAGAGTGGCACTGATGCTCTAACCTAGGTGAGAGCATGACCCAAAGCGGGGGGAATGGTTAAACAAAGTTTATGGGATACTATTGTTTTGGACTAGCCTTCTATACTAGGCCCCAGCAGACCAGCTCAAATCAGAATGGAGTCACTTGTGCTAGGTGCCAGGTAATCAAACCAAACTTTGAAATGGGCCAGTTTTCCATCAAATAACAGAAATTTCAGTCAACCTGAGTCAGCATAATATGGAATTCTCCTCTGTTTTAATTCCATCAGGAAAGAAACTTTGAAATGTCCAACCTGCTTTTTGTTCTCTGTTTCTACTTTCTTCAGCTCTTTTATGGCTAAAAAGCCAACCTCCTCTGCTGAGCTAATCAGAACCCCTCATTATATTTTATACAATGAGGTGTTACCTGATTCTAGAATAATAAATCAAAGCCAATTGTATTTTTAACCTAAATTCATTGTAATTTTGTCTTTTGACACTGCATTCAGTCAGTATTTCTAGTGGATGAAATTGAACATAAGCAAATGTAAAATTCAGTTAGGCTTAAATTGTTTACTAATATATCAATAGTGTTGTTAACTAACATATGTGTGTGTTCAAAATAAAAGAACAGATGTGATTGTATTCCCTCTCCTATATTAACAGTCTTTTCCTCTCTCCTGAATCATGCTCCTTAGTATACAAAGATTCCAAGGACTGCCAGTTTCAAAAAATACCTCAATTCCATATACATCTTAGGTCTTTCGATGGCACTTCTTAGTCTCTCTCCTGTATCCCTAAGGTCTACTTTTCACTGACCCAACCTCTTGTAAGAGACATTCTTGTATATTGCCTTCACTTCTTTATCTTTAAAATCTATGGCCATCCATATAAAATCTGTCCTATCACTGTGTTGAAACTGCCCTTTCTTTTTTTCTCTTTCTTTCTTTCTTCTTTTTCTTTTTCTTTCTTTCTTTTCTTTTTCTTTCTTTCTTTCTTTTTCTTTCTTTCTTTTCTTTTTCTTTCTTTCTTTCTTTCTTTCCTTCCTTCTTTCTTTTTCTTTCCTTCTTTCTTTCTTTGAGTCTTGCTCTTTTGCCCAGGCTGGAGGAGTAAAGTGGCACGATCTCGGCTCAGTGCAACCTCCACCTCCCGGGTTCAAGCCATTCTCCTGCCTTACCCTCCAGAGTAGCTGGGATTACAGGTGCCTGCCACCACACCCGGCTAATTTTTGTATTTTTGGTAGACACGGGGTTTCACCATGTTGGCTAGGCTGGTCTTGAACTGACCTCGGGTAATCCACCTGCCTCGGCCTCCCAAAGTGCTAGGATTACAGGCGTGTGCCACCGCGCCCAGCAAAACTGCTCTTTCTAATGACTTGCATACTCCCAAATTGAATGAGCAGAATGTTAGTCTTATTACAAAACAGATAACCCAGTTGTTTTTATTTTTTATTTTTATTTTATTTTATTTTATTTTTTTTGAGATGGAGTCTCCCTCTGTCGCCTGGACTGGAGTGCAGTGGCACGATCTCAGCTCACTGCAACCTCCTCCCCCTGGGTCAAGCAATTCTCCTGCCTCAGCTTCCCTAGTAGCTGGGATTACAGGCATGCATTACCACACCCAGCTTATTTTTGTATTTTTAGTAGAGACAGGAGTTTCGCCATGTTGGCCAGGATGGTCTTGAACTCCTGACCTCAGGGAATCTGCCTGCTTCGGGCTCCCAAAGTGCTGGGGTTACAGGATTGAGCCACTGCACCTAGCCAACCCATTCCAATTTGAATACTTTGAGGAGGGCATACTTATAATGAGACATTTATAAGGATGTGGTCAGGTAAAGATCCTTAGTGATACAGTGCAGTTACTTTCTCTTCTTGATATGTGGGGTCACTGTTAAAAACAGGTGAAAGCACAGGGTCCAATTCTGCTTTGTCCAAAGATACCATAATGCCTTGCTATCGCTATCTGACTCTATCAAAGGGAAGATGATTTAAGTGCCTGAGTTGTGATGGCTTAAGGTTCTCACACATGGACTTTCAAATTTACTGGCACAAGTTAGGCTTCTCTTCACAAAGTCTGCCATAATGCCTTGTGACTGGGTCAGGATAGACTTCCAACCTCATCCTGCAGCCAATATTTCACCCTTGCTGAGCTACATACTCTAGCATTTAAATAAATAAGAAACAATTTTACTAACTTTCTCTTCTCTCTGTCTCCAAACATATATCATTTTTCTTATGAGGAAAGTTCCTCTTTAGAGACCTTTGGTGTCCTTTATACTGTCATTGAACTACAAGACTTCATTGAGATTTCTTTTTTTGTTTTTTTTTTTGTGTTTTTTTGAGACAGAGTCTCACTCTCACCCAGGCTGGAGTGCAGTGGTGTGATCCCAGCTCATTGCAACCTCCGCCTCCTGGGTTCAAGCAATTCTCCTGCCTCAGCCTCCCGAGTAGGTGGGACTACAGGCATGCGCCACCATGCCCAGTTAATTTTGCATATTTAGTAGAGACAGGGTTTCACCATGTTAGCCAGGCTGATCTCCAACTCCCAGTCTCAGGTGATCCACCCACCTCGGCCTCCCAAAGTGCTGGGATTACAGGCGTGAGCCACCGAGCCTGGCCCCATTGAGATTTCTTAATTCATTAGAGAAGTTCAAGTAGTGTTGAGGGTTTAAAAAAAGTGGTTGGGATATTCCTTTTGGAGCTCTAATGCAAATTAACTCAAGAGTTGGTAAAGAGTTTGTGAAGTCACAAAATAATTCCTGTCAAATTCTTGATTTACATCTATATAAGTAGGTCCACTAGAACGAGTCTTTCTAGAGGATTTAAAATCTACTCTCTTTACCATTAGAGAGAAAAACTGGCCAACTTTAAAATGGAATTTGCTTTTATTAAAAAGAAGTAATATGTAATTTCACCTTGTTTATCTTAATTTGCATTTAGAAAAATTAGTAGTGAGGTTAAATAGAGAGAAAGAGTTAAGAGACGGGACACTGAAGGCTGATTGCTTCAGTTCAAATCTTACTCTGCAACTTCCTTCCCCTGTGACCTTGGGCAAGTTTCCCAACTCAGTTTCCCTATCCTCAAAGTGTATAAATAACAATTGTGCTTGCCTCATAGAGTTGTTACAGGATTAAAAAAGTTAATATATGTGCAATGCTTAGAGCAATGCCTTGCACATGCTATGTTCTATACAAAAGAGATAAATTAATGTGAATCAATCTTCCTAGCAATTGGGAGAGATGGAATTTTAACCAAGGTGTGTTGGACTCCAAAGACTGTGCTCTTTCTTCAGCATTGCATATAATATTCTGCTATTTAAAGTTAGCTCACTTCCTGGACACATACTCGCCCAAACCAAGCAGCTTCTGGAAGCCTGCTCTCAGCTCCTAGGTCCTAAGGGCATATACTATGGGGTTAAGGGCTGAGGGGATGACAATATGCAGCACATTGAGGAGAACAGGGATGCGGGGAGCCCTTCTTCCTGCCAGGTGGTGACAGATACTACAATAATAGCTGTGTAGAAAAAGAGAATGAGGATAAGGTGGGAGCTGCAGGTATTCAGGGCCTTAGATGTTGCTTTAGCAGAGTTCAGCTTCAGCACTGAGTGAATAATCAAAGAATAGGAAGCAAAGACCAGACCCATGTCACTCCCAACCACAACCCAGACCAAGGCCAGCTGGTAAAACCTGTTAATAGTGGTGTCATCACAGGCCAGACTTGTGACCCCCAAGTTAGAGCAGAGGCACTGATCAATCTCATTCCTGGAGCAGTAGTGTCGCTGGGCAGCCAATACTGGCACTGGGATGGTCAACAGGCCATTCCTGAGCACTACTGACAGTGTGGCTTTGATGACAAAAGCTTCAGTAACTATGGAAGTGTACTGAAGGGGATAACAAATGGCCATATATCTATCCACTGCCATGCAGAGGAAGATGCCTGACTCCATGCACATGAAAGAGTGGATGGCATAGATCTGAGCAAAACACTCAGGGAGGCTGATGGCCTTGGCATCAAACCAGAAGATGGCCAGGATCTTGGGCATGATGGTGGTGGCCAGGCCAATGTCCACCACTGCTAATATGCCCAGCAAATGGTACATGGGTTCATGTAGCATGGTCTCATGTTGAATGGTGATTATGATGAGGAGATTGGCACCAAGAGCTAAGGGCAGGGAGAGCCAGTGCTGCCACTCATGAATGCCTGGGAACCCTATCAGAATGAACTCAGACAGTTGAAACCCTGAGCTATTGGCTATACTCAGGCCAATATCCATATCATGAGATGTTTTGTTCTCAGCATCTGCCTGTGGATTAAGTGGAAACAGAATAAGACTGTGGTTAGCTCAGCTGAGGGTCAAAATTTCTGTACAAAAATAAGGCTCACCCACAATCCTCAGTCATTTTTAACATAATGCATTCTCTACACTCTTGAGACACTTGGAAACAGTTCAGATAAGAACAGACAGGCCAAAATAGATGCTAAGATAAAAAATTTTAGTAGAATATTGAGTAGAATTAAAGAGAAAATTTTCTAGCTTTATTTTCCTGAAATTCCGGGAGGTGGGGAATATAGATAGAAAGTATGAGACATGTACAGTATAAAGAACCTGATTTTCAGCAGGTAAAGTTAGAGGGCAGAGGTGTCGTCTCCATTCTTGGGAACCTTTGAGAAGAGAATAAGTAGCCATAATGGAAACCCTGACCATGCCTTTCTTTTAAACAATGCCTGTGGTTGGCAAATTGTTTCTGAAACAAACCATCTCATTTAATCTTCGCCATGCAGATATTGTTACTCACATATGAGGAAATAGGTTGAATGAGTCGTCTAGATAAGAATCATACGTTGAAAACACTGGTGACTAATCTGTAGAAAAAATTTTAATCTTTTACATTTAATTCCAGCACTCTCTCCATCAAATAGTAGCCCATAGGTCAGTACCCTTTAGGAATATCATTTGTTTCCTCTTCTGATTATGAAGCTAATGTTAAAGATATACTTAAAATTATATTTTCAAATAATCGATTTTATTAATAAAAGGTGTAAGGAGAGAAAATCACCAGTGAACTTCCAACCACATCCAGATTTTTCTGTGGAATAATTTGGAAATATAGCAAGCATTTATTGCACACATTTTGACTTTTTAAAATTAAGTAATTTTATGGCTCATTTTTGGCCCTGTAACACTTGGTTCTTTTCCCTCTTACTTTGTTTATTCTTGAATTGTTGCAAAATATTTTCAAGTAATTGTATCAAAAAGTGTACTTGGACAAAATGCCTGGAGTCCTTGAATATCTGAGAATTCTTTATATTGCCTTTATCTATGAATAATATCTTACCTTGTTAAATATTTAGGTATCAATATTATCTTTCCCAGATCTCTGCCTTTGCTTCATTTCATGGTATTAAGTGTAAGATCAAGGCTCCATCCCTCACTGCCTCTGAGAAGAATGAATGACTATGCCATTTATTCATTATAATAAACATATATCATGCATGAAATTGATAAAAAGAAAAATAAAACAATAACACTTTTAGAAAACAAAAATGCAGAAAAATAGCTATAAATAAAAATCCTAGCAAAGATTTAACATTTCAAAATATTTAATTTTTATCATTTTTCTTTGCAGTCTTCTTACACAGTTCCTGTTTCATGAAAATAGGATCTTTCAAACTGTGCTTTTTCTTAACATTATGCATATAAACTTTCCAATTCACTGGAAAACTCCTTATAGACATTTTAAATTTTTATAAACATGTTTTCAATGACTACTAAATGTTATCAAATCATTTTATAACATTTCCCCCAATTTTTGTTTGGTTTTATGTACTGTAAATATATACATATATGCAATATTATACTATTTTCCCTTTATGAATTTTTTATCTTTTATGCTTAAAATAGGACTCTTTAATCAAGAATTTATAGATGGTCTCATGGAAGTTTGTGAACTTCCTAAATTTGTAAGTCTATATTTATACTTTTCTAGAGAGAGGATCTGTTTTTCATCAAATTCTCAAAGCATTCCACAATACAAACAAAAAACAATTACAAAATATTATTCTTTACTCAAATTTTGATCAATATTTACTTCTCTATATTTTTAATAGTTGGCTTTTTGGTTTTGTGACACAACTTATTTACATGGAATTACTTTTGCTGTTAATGAGACTTACGTAAATAAATAGATTTCAAATAGACAATGGCTTCTACAGCTCTCACCAAGTGATTATTACGTGTCATTTGTCACATAGTGAATTTATACACATATAGATAAAATTCCATTTCTGGGATTCTATTGTTTCTATTTCTTTCTGGTTATTTTTGTGTCAATATTAAACCAAATTTAAAAATTAAGTTTTATAATAAATTTAACACATAACAGAACTATATTCCTTTTATTATTCTCATTAATTTAAAACCCTTTTTATGTATTTATCTTCCAGATTACCCTTCGAATTCTGTGTTGAGTTCTAAAATAGCATGGTTTTGGTTGGGATTGTGTTAAATCTGTAGATTAACTTTGAAAAAAAGTTGATATGTCTACATTATCAAGCCTTCTCATTCATAATATAGATTCTGTCTGCCTTTATTTAAATCTGAAAAAAGTTTCATTAAAATTTTGTATTGCAATGTTCTTATCATTATTAGTATTTGGAATGTTTTTAGTGAATATGTTTTTCTGCATTATACTTCTTTTTTTTTTTTTTTTTTCGAAATGGAATCTCACTCTGTCTCCCAGGCGGGAGTGCAGTGGCACTATCTCGGCTCACTGCAACCTCTGCCTCCTGGGTTCAAGCGATTCTCCTGCCTCAGCCTCGTGAGTAGCTGGGATTACAGGTGCATGCCACCACACCCAGGTAATTTTTGTATTTTTAGTAGAGATGGGGTTTCACCATGTTGGCCAGGCTGGTCTCGATTCCTGACTTCAGGTGATTTGCCCACCTTGGCCTTTCAAAGTGCTGAGATTACAGGAGTGAGCCACCATGCCCAGCCCGCATTATACATTCTAATTGATATAATAACACTAAAAAAGATGAATTCAGGGGGATCCATATCACAGAAATATACATTACAATGTATCTACATATCTGTGCTAATGTGATGCATTAGAATATATATGAGAATGTTTTTATTTCCTCTTGCATTTACCTACTTTTCTAAACTTGTGTCATTTTTAAATGTTTTGTGATTTTTTTTTGTATTATAGCAACCAATTATCTGTTGCTGGTAAACATCTTGTCTTTATTATTTTATAGAGGTGCAGTTGCATATGTTTTGTTATTTTGTCTTGTGTATCATCCATTTTGCTAAACTATTGTCAATTCTTAGAATTTTTCCATTTATATTAAATTTTTTTCTAGGTAGAATAAAAAGTTGCTTGCAAACAATAATATAAATTCCTTCTTTACAAATATTGATGCATCTTAATTTTTGTTTCTTGTCTTAATGAAATGGTTGGAAATTCAAAATCAATGTAAACTAATTATGATGGCAAACATCTTGGACTTTTTGGTTGAATTTAACGGGTAGTGCAGCTAGAATTTACATTAAATATGGTGTCTTTTGTTTTTAAAGTTGCATGTATTTTATCAAATGTAATAAAATAGTCCTTTGTTTGGAGTTACTTTTCATTCTGGGAATCTTGAACAAAGAATTTATTGTATTATTCTAGATCCCTTGGTTTATCATTTATTCACTGATCATCTTAGCTCAGCCTCATTTCTCTCCTGTTTCCTGATCACAGACCTTAGTCCCTACAAAGGTGAAGAGTCTGGGCAAAGTGGGGAACTGGAGGTGAAGAATCAAACAAGGAAAGCTGACTATGGAAACCAAAGATAAGACACGTAATCAAGTTCAGAGATTAGGACAGAACTACAGGACATGGACCATGTCTGTTCCCTTACCTCTCAAGATTCAGGTCATTGACTGCTTTACTTACTACATCAGGAAGGGCTATGAAGAAGCTCTCAGGCTGGCAAAGTCTTCTGTAGCTGCTTCTACCTTCCTGGCCACAGCTGCCTATGTTCACCCTTTTGTTGTTCAGAACAGATTCCTGCCCTTGCTCAACACTCTTGGAGTTTATGGATTTAGAGTGAGTTAGATCCCTGAGATACCTGGTCCTGTTGTGCTGCTCTTTATGCCCTCCCTACTCTACAAGCATCCTTGAGGGCCTAACGCTTTTAACATTGCAATGGGAATAGGACCCAGGTACTCTTTGGGGTTAGCTGACTAATTTCTAGGAGTATACCCCTTTAGCCCTAGTCCCAGGGGCAGCCCACCAAATAGTTTTTCATCCAGACTCCTCAGGCATTAATTCATCCCTATCTGATGAATATTGCCCCTCATTACAGTAAGGTTCTGAAGTCTCCACACGTCAAACATATCTTTACTCCATATCCCTTCCAGAGATTGCCCCTATCTACTTCCCTTTTCCCAGACTTTATGAGTAGCTTCTTTATTTTGCTCTCTCTCTCACTTCCTGAATGCGTTTTAACTCACTGCAATTTACTTTTGTCATAACATCACACAAACTGCCTTTGCTAATGACCTTAAATTGTCAAAAATAACAGGTATATTTTAGAACTTAATCTTACCAGAATCCTCTCCAGTAGTTAATCCGTGTTGATCAGTTCTTTCTTTTAGGATCACTTGTCTCTCTTGCGATTCATGACATCATATTTTTAGTGTTAATTAAACTGGAACAAAAGAGTGATGAAATTACTTTCCCTGATAGAAATGTTAGTCTGTTCTGGGACAGATTGTTCTCTGTGATAGTTTTTTTTTTTTTTAATCAATCAACTTACCCCAAAGAAAGATAAATCTGCTCAATGGATTTTTTTTCATGATATTAGAGGAGCTAAATGATAACAATTTAGTAAGATAGAATTATAACCATTTTAAGATCACAGACAATAAATTGCTGATATGATCTGAGATGAACCTTGAATTACTGAATAATGTCAGGAATCTCATTACGGCATGGTATATTATGGAAAACTTTATGAGCTCGGAAAGTGAGAATTTAAAGAGGCATATGTTACAGCTCATCAGAAAAATACTCTTCTGAATTCAGAAGTGGACTAGAATCAACAACTGAATGTTCTAATCTGCTTCCTGGAAGAGTATTTTTGGGTTTCTGAGATGAGTGGTCGTGAGGCTATTCTAGCGATGCTGTAATGAGAAGTAAGTAAATAGGTAAATCAGATAGATAAATCTAATCTACTGAATCCCTCTGAAGTTCAAAAGTGTTTTGCTTGTCAACATGATAATGAGAGACCTAAGCCACTATGAGCTACTGTCTAGACTGATATATCGCTAGCAAGTGGATTTTATTGGCCCCAGGAGGTTACTAATAGTTCCTAACTGGGATAGGGAGATATTCCGGATTTCAATTTGCATGTATAGTAAAGGAAGCAAATGCTTCAAATGTCATAAGAGGATTAGAACAGAAAATATTTTAATTTGGACCCTATGTTTATATATTCTCATATCAAAGGGCTCATTTTACTGCCTTATACCACATAACTAACAGAAAAAAAAAAGACGTTAATCTATCAGTTGCAATGATTGATCCCAATTACCAAGGGGAAGTTGAGTTGCTTCTATATAGTGGAGACAAGGTTCCTCCAGGTTCTGGTAGAGGTTGGGGAAATATGGTAGATATCAGCTTGGCTTTGTGACCAATTATAGAAATAAGAACCGTAGCAGTTTTAAATATTTTTATTTGCTTTTTATATGCATGCTTTTATTTCTATATGTTAACCATTTTCTTCTCTCTCCTGTCCATTTTTATTTTATATACAAGCTATTAGAAGTTAACTTTACAATTCAGTCTTTTCTTTATGATACAACTAGTAATTTCTTAAGACCATAAATTCCATTACAGTGACCCCGGTAGGCAATTCTATAAAGTTTTGGGCTACTTTTCATGTGGTTTTGATTACATTTGTCTAAAGATCAGTGATGTTGAGCTTTTTTTTTCTTTTTTTTTTATTATACTTTAAGTTTTAGGGTACATGTGCCCATTGTGCAGGTTAGTTACATACATATACATGTGCCATGCTGGTGCACTGCACCCACTAACTTGTCATCTAGCATTAGGTATATCTCCCGATGCTATCCCTCTCCTCTCTCCCCACCCCACAACAGTCCCCAGAGTGTGATATTCCCCTTCCTGTGTCCATGTGATCTCATTGTTCAATTCCCACCTATGAGTGAGAATATGCGGTGTTTGGTTTCTTGTCCTTGCGATAGTTTACTGAGAATGATGATTTCCAATTTCATCCATGTCCCTACAAAGGACATGAACTCATCATTTTTTATGGCTGCATAGTATTCCATGGTGTATATGTGCCACATTTTCTTAATCCAGTCTGTCATTGTTGGACATTTGAGTTGGTTCCAAGTCTTTGCTATTGTGAATAATGCCACAATAAACATACGTGTGCATGTGTCTTTATAGCAGCATGATTTATAGTCCTTTGGGTATATACCCAGTAATGGGATGGCTGGGTCAAATGGTATTTCTAGTTCTAGATCCCTGAGGAATCGCCACACTGACTTCCACAATGGTTGAACTAGTTTACAGTCCCACCAACAGTGTAAAAGTGTTCCTATTTCTCCACATCCTCTCCAGCACCTGTTGTTTCCTGACTTTTTAATGATTGCCATTCTAACTGGTGTGAGATGGTTTCTCATTGTGGTTTTGATTTGCATTTCTCTGATGGCCAGTGATGGTGAGCATTTTTTCATGTGTTTTTTGGCTGCATAAATGTCTTCTTTTGAGAAGTGTCTGTTCATGTTCTTCGCCCACTTTTTGATGGGGTTGTTTGCTTTTTCTTGTAAATTTGTTTGAGTTCATAGTAGATTCTGGATATTAGCCCTTTGTCAGATGAGTAGGTTGCGAAAATTTTCTCCCATTTTGTAGGTTGCCTGTTCACTCTCATGGTAGTTTCTTTTGCTGTGCAGAAGCTCTTTAGTTTAATGAGATCCCATTTGTCAATTTTGTCTTTTGTTGCCATTGCTTTTGGAGTTTTAGACATGAAGTCCTTGCCTGTGCCTATGTCCTGAATGGTAATGCCTAGGTTTTCTTCTAGGGTTTTTATGGTTTTAGGTCTAACGTTTAAGTCTTTAATCCATCTTGAATTGATTTTTGTATAAGGTGTAAGGAAGGGATCCAGTTTCAGCTTTCTACATCTGTCTAGCCAGTTTTCCCAGCACCATTTATTAAATAGGGAATCCTTTCCCCATTGCTTGTTTTTGTCAGGTTTGTCAAAGATCAGATAGTTGTAGATATGCGTCGTTATTTCTGAGGGCTCTGTTCTGTTCCATTGATCTATATCTCTGTTTTGGTACCAGTACCATGCTGTTTTGGTTACCGTAGCCTTGTAGTATAGTTTGAAGTCAGGTAGTGTGATGCCTCCAGCTTTTTTTTTTTTTTTTTTTTGAGACGGAGTCTCGCTCTGTCGCCCAGGCCGGACTGCGGACTGCAGTGGCGCAATCTCGGCTCACTGCAAGCTCCGCTTCCCGGGTTCACGCCATTCTCCTGCCTCAGCCTCCCGAGTAGCTGGGACTACAGGTGCCCGCCACCGGGCCCGGCTAATTTTTTGTATTTTTAGTAGAGACGGGGTTTCACCTTGTTAGCCAGGATGGTCTCGATCTCCTGACCTCATGATCCACCCGCCTCGGCCTCCCAAAGTGCTGGGATTACAGGCGTGAGCCACCGCGCCCGGCCGATGCCTCCAGCTTTGTTCTTTTGGCTTAGGATTGCCTTGGCGATGCGGGCTCTTTTTTGGTTCCATATGAACTTTAAAGTAGTTTTTTCCAATTCTGTGAAGAAAGTCATTGGTAGCTTGATGGGGATGGCATTGAATCTGTAAATTACCTTGGGCAGTATGGCCATTTTCATGATATTGATTCTTCCTACCCATGAGCATGGAATGTTCTTCCATTTGTTTGTATCCTCTTTTATTTCCTTGAGCAGTGGTTTGTAGTTCTCCTTGAAGAGGTCCTTCACATCCCTTGTAAGTTGGATTCCTAGGTATTTTATTCTCTTTGAAGCAATTGTGAATGGGAGTTCACTCATGATTTGGCTCTCTGTTTGTCTGTTATTGGTGTATAAGAATGCCTGTGATTTTTGTATGTTGATTTTGTATCCTGAGACTTTGCTGAAGTTGCTTATCAGCTTAAGGAGATTTTGGGCTGAGACAATGGGGTTTTCTAGATATACAATCATGTCGTCTGCAAACAGGGACAATTTGACTTCCTCTTTTCCT